>NC_000003.12:46676666-46979696 GCF_000001405.40 Homo sapiens | reverse complement strand
CACCCAAGTCTGCTCGCTCCTCCTCCTCACTGCCGGCCGCCGCCCAGCTTCCTGCACTTCGCTGCAGTCACCGCCGCCCCGCCTCTCCTGGGACCATGTAAAGGGCGGAGAGCCTGGCAGGAGGAGGGGCCTATGGGCCGGGCGGCCCGGGAGGGTGCCCCGCTGCCCTGCCCCACCAGTGCCATTGGAAGGGCCAGCCTGAGCCTCCGGGACGAGGGTCGGGGTGAGGAATTCCAGACTTCCCCAGGGTCTGAATCCGCCCAGGACGCTGCTCGCCTGACTGCATTTGCCGCCATTCAGGGAAGGGGCGGCGGGCCGCGTGGAGGTGGCGAGGGTCCTTCAACAATAATCTCCACCACCACCATGACGACCCCTTGTAGCGCTTATCAAATGCCAGGTGCTACTCTGTCGCTTTATGGGAAGACCGAAACGCAACTTTTGAGCTCTAGCTGTTTGTGGAGTGTGATGGCGGGAAGTTAGAGAGTAGCAGGACTAGCCTGAAATACCTTCGGGGCCGCGGTGCCCTCCCAGATCCCAGAGAGGCTTAGACCGTTGCCACGGGTCCCCCTCCCTCCTCCAGGAAGCCTTCCCAAACGCTCCAGTGGAGGGGCTCCCCCCATTCCCCAACTCCAGGGCCCAGAACTTGCTTCACATATGTTGTTTCTTTAACCTCAACAGGTGGGTGCCTCATGGCTCTGTTTTTTGTTTGTTTTTGAGACAGAGTCTCACTCTGTCGCCCAGGCTGGAGTGCAGTGACTCGATCTCGGCTCACTGCAATCTCCGCCTCCTGGGTTCAAGTGATTCTCCTGCCTCAGCCTCCTGAGTAGCTGGGACTACAGGCGCGTGTCACCAGGCCCAGCTAATTTTTTGTATTTTTAGTAGAGACGGGGTTCCACCGTGTTAGCCAGGATGGTCTGGATTTCCTGACTTCATGATCCACCCGCCTCGACCTCCCAAAGTGCTGGGATTATAGGCATGAGCCACCGCACCCGGCCGGCTCTGTTTTACAGATGGAGAAACTGAGGCCCAAGTTGACCAAATGAGGACCACTTGGGCAGCAGGGGCAGGGACCCAGGCTTGACTGACTCTTTTTTGGGTCCCTGCCACCATCACCCCGTGCCCCCTTCCCCATCCCCTTACCTCACAGTCTGGACACGGGGAAAGGGGCACGGGGTGATGGTGGCAGGGACCCAACCCCTGGTGTTGGGCAGGGATCAGGCTCTTTGTTGGGGCTGGGGAGAAGTTTTCTGGGCCCAGAGGGGTGCTACTCGTTCCAGGAGTTGACCAGTCTGGAGACTCCTAGACCTTGGTTGGCCAAGACAACAGAGACCCTGTCCTGTTTTGTTCTCCCAGCTTCTTGGTTCACCTCTGGCCTTTTGTCCTGCTTCATCCATCATAGCTCTGAGCTGAGGTTTCCTGAGCACCTCCAAACTGCATGCCAGGCCTTGGCAGAGCAACCCATCCACTACAGGGAAGAAGGCTTAGACAGACCCAGGTTAGTGAGGACAAGAGGGTTAGTGAAGGGAGGGCTAGATCTGCAGTCTGTGGCCCATGGGCCTCTGAAGGGAGTTGGAAGGGGAAGAGTGGATGTCCACCTGTAGCCAGCTTGGGAAGGGAAGACTCAGGGAGGGAACAGCCTAAGAGGCTAGTTGTCCCCTGGCAGTGGAGGTGGAGAGGGGGCGGCATGGTCTCCTATTCCCAAGTGAGAGGGGGTGTGGCTTTGGGGACCCCCACATACTGAAAGAATATCTTGACTTCAGCCTAAGTGGTCTCGCGGTTATCAGGACACTCTAGTTCATGCAGGAAAGAAGACTCTGGCAGCTTCTGCTGGGTAGCCATGAATCTTGTGGCGACTTGCAGTCGAGGCCACCCCAAGTCTTTCTAAGCTGGGGATTGGGGGCAGTACTTGAGGCCCACTGGACCCAGGTTGGGGTTTGCTCTTCCCCGGGAAAGGTAACTTGACCCTGAGGACTTTGCTGCTCCAGGAGGGGATGGGAATGAGAGGGGATCATCTTTGAGTCCAGAGGGAAACAGCCATACAGTCAGGTCCCCCTCACTGTGCAGGCTTTGTCTGAGCTGAGAGTGGTCACAGAGGGGCTTAGGGGCGCTTGTCAGGTGAGTCCGGGGAGCCACTGACAGCTGCAGAGGTGTAAGTCATACCTTGTATTAGGGTGGGATCGAAGTGGAGGATCAGGGAAGGCTTTTTTTTTTTTTTTTTTTTTTTTGAGACGGAGTCTTGCTCTGCTGCCAGGCTGGAGTGCAGTGGCACGATCTCGGCTCACTGCAACCTCCGCCTCTCTGGTTCAAGCGATTCTCCTGCCTCAGCCTCCCGAGTAGCTGGGATTACAGGCACGCGCCACCACGCCCAGTTAATTTTTGTATTTTTAGTAGAGATGGAGTTTCACCATGTTGGCCAGGATGGTCTCCATCTCCTGACCTCGTGGTCCGCCCTCCTCGGCCTCCCAAAGTGCTGGGATTACAGGCGTGAGCCACCGCGCCCGGCCCAGGGAAGGTTTCTTGAAGGCATTCGAGCCTTGTCAGGTCAAGTGGACAAGGATGAGTCAGGGCATTCCAAGAGGCCAGCATGGAGTGATTAGTGTGGTTAGTACTTGGGCAAAACCGGAGCGATCGACGCACTCTTTTCTCCTTCTCTCAGGTCTGAATTCCACTTGCTGCTCTTTCACTGATCAGCGTTGGATAAATCGAGCCTTAGCTTTTTTTTTTTTCTTTTTTTTTTTTGCTGGCTCCCCACCCACTAGGCAAGTTGTCCGGAAGAATAAGGGCGGGGCGGGGCGGGGCGGGGCAAGGCGGGGAGGGCTCGCCCATAATAACCCCGCATTGATTGGCTTTCAGGACCTCCCAGTCTCTCATTCTCGTCCTTGGATTGGCCGCGAGACATTTATCCACTCTCCTTAGGCCTGCGCGATGCAAGACGGGAGAAAAGGAGGGGCGTACGCGGGCAAGATGGAGGCAACTACGGCTGGTGTGGGCCGGCTAGAGGAAGAGGCGTTGCGGCGAAAGGAACGGCTGAAGGCCCTACGGGAGAAAACCGGGCGCAAGGTGAGAAGTGTGGAGTGAGGGTCGCAGTTGAGGCGTCCAGCGTTCGGGGTCCGGGTCGCGCTTGAGGAGAGCAAAGGGCTAATAAGGAAAGACAGCTGCCGAGGGCGCGCATGCGCGGGCGCTAACGCATGCGCGAGAAGACGGCGCCCTCCCACGATGTCTGGGGCTGCTTGGCGTGGGACTCCTCTGGCGCTGGTGCGGTCGTCGCGCATGCGCGGGGGTGGGCAAGGCAGTGGTCAGCGACCCGCAGTCCATCTGACTCCTGCTTCCCGGGTGTTGCTCGTGTAGGTATCTAGGGCTGCCTGTAGGTTCAGATGCTTGTTGGGTTAGGCGTGATTTGTTCCGTTCCTCTATGGCCTAGCTGGTCTTTAACCCCCGCCTTCGATTCTGAGTCAGACAGACTCCCCAGTCCGGCAGCACTCCTTGGACAGGGCAGCAAGTGACAGCAGTGGGTATACAGCCGGAGTCGTTTCGTGCAAAAATCAAAAAGAGGCCGGGCACGGTGGCTCACGCCTGTAATCCCAGTGCTTTGGGAGGCCGAGGCAGGCGGATCACTTGAGGTTAGTAGTTCGAGACCAGGCTGGGTAACATGGTGAAACCCCGCCTCTACTAAAAATACAAAAATTAGCCGGGCGTGGTGGTGCGCGCCTGTAATCCCAGCTTCTCGGGAGGCTATGGCAGGAGAACCGCTTGAGCCTGGGAGGCAGAGGTTGTAGTGAGCCGAGATCTCGCCACTGTACTCCAGCCTGGGCAACAGAGCGAGACTCCGTCTCAAAAAAAAAAAAAAAAAAAAAATCGAAAATAAAAGATTTAGCCGGGCGCGGTGGCTCACGCGCCCAGTACTTTGGGAGGCCGAGGTGGGCGGATCACGAGGTTAGGAGATCGAGACCATCCTGGCTAACACGGTGAAACTCTGTCTCTACTAAAAATACAAAAAAATTAGCCGGGCGTGGTGGCGGGTGCCTGTGGTCCCAGCTACTTGGGAAGCTGAGGCAGGAGAATGGCGTCAACCCAGGAGGCGGAGCTTGCAGTGAGCCGAGATCCTGCCACTGCACTCCAGCCTGGGCGACAGAGCGAGACTCCGTCTCAAAAAAAAAAAAAAAAAAAAAAGAAAAGATTTATTTCTAACTAAGGGTGGGCCTTAGAAATTGGGAACGAGGGCCGGGCACAATGGCTGGTGCCTGTAATCCCGCACTTTGGGAGGCCCAGGCGGGCAGATGGGTCAGGAGTTCGAGATCAGCCTGATCAACATGGTGAAACCCCATTTCTACTGAAAATACAAAAATTAGCCAGGTGTGGTGGCAGGCACCTGTAATCCCAGTTACTCGGGAGGCTGAGGCAGGAGGATTTCTTGAACTGGGAGGCAAAGG
The DNA here is from genome assembly GCF_000001405.40 of Homo sapiens. Taxonomy (NCBI): domain Eukaryota; kingdom Metazoa; phylum Chordata; class Mammalia; order Primates; family Hominidae; genus Homo; species Homo sapiens. Next base: position 46,975,266 of record NC_000003.12, on the reverse strand, counting down.
TTGCAGTGAGCCGAGATCGCGCCACTGCACTCCAGCCTAGGTTACAGAGTGAGACTGGTCTCAAAAAAAAAAAAAATTGGGAAAAAAGAAGAGGGCCTTAGTTCTTTCTTTGGGGATGGGCCTACTAGCCTATTAATTGCCATATTCGGAAGCATTTTTCTTTGCTGTCGTTTAACAGCAAATGAAAAGTTCCATTTCTACTTTGTTCATCTTTCCAACGTAATGGAGAGGAAGAAGAATTCTGAAGTTCACTACCTGTGTGCAAACCCTAGTTTGCTTTTTTACCTGGACTTGGGACACATTGCTTCATCTCTCTGAGCTGGGTTTCTTCATGTCTCCAGTGGGGAATGACAGTCCGTACACATTCATTCTCATTGGGTTATTGTGAGATCTAATGGGATAATCTGTGTGAAAGGGCTACAGAGACAGACCAATGAGGGCCGTAGTTTTAGATGGGTGAAAACTGTGTCCTTCAGTGTGTGAAGTAAAAGAATGTTAAATAGCTAGACCTGTCAGAGATGGGGGGCACTTCCCACTTTCCAACTGAAAAAACAGGCTGGACAGTCTGACCCCTATTTTCCTTACTGCATGGCAGTCTGGGGGTCCTGTGTGAAAGTGAAAAGGGAAGTAATAGGGTGTGAAAGCTGGCTAGAGTGGCTTCTGCTTTTGTTGGCTGCCTGTGGAACATATCAGACAGCCCCTAAATTGCCTGTCCCAGAGAAGCTCAAACCTCAGCCTTTCAAACAATGGCTAGTTCACCTGAGCTGTTCGCTTGGATTTAGGGCAGGTTATTGGGGCCGGGTTTGAGGTCGGAATGCAACGGACAAAATAGCATCCACAGAGCCCATTGCCAGGGAAGGACGTGCTAGATCATCAGGAGAACTGGCTTTTAAAGAGGGATCCTCTCAGTGGGCTGGAAGTATGGCCTGATTGTTATTTTTTCTATGTTTTAAAATTGTGGGAAAATACACATACAATTTACTATTTTAACCATTTTAAATGTATAATTCAATGTCCAGAACGTTTTCATCATCCCAAACTCTGTACCCGTTAAACAATAACTCTCCATTCCCCCTTTCCCCAGCCCCTGGCAATCACTGTTCTACTTCCTGTCTCTGAATTTGACTACTCTAGGTACCTCATGTAATCAAATCATACAGTATTTGTCCTTCTGTGACTGGCTTATTTTACTTAGCATGTCTTCACACTTCATCCATGTTGTAGCATATGTCAGAATCTCAGTCCTTTTTTAAAGGCTGAATAATATTCCGTTGTGTATACCATGTTTTGTTTAGTTGGGTTGCTTCTACGTTTTGCCTGTTGTGAATAACGCTGCTATAAACATGGGAGTACAAGGCCTGGTGCGGTGGCTCACGCCTGTAATCCCAGCACTTTGGGAAGCCGAGGTGGGCAGATCACGAAGTCAGGAGATCGAGACCATTCTGGCTAACACAGTGAAAACCTGTCTCTATTAAAAATACAAAAAATTAGCCGAGCGCGGTGGTGGGCGCCTGTAGTCCCAGCTACTTGGGAGGCTGAGGCAGGAGAATGACGTGAACCTGGGAGGCGGAGCTTGCAGTGAGCTGAGATGCGCCACTGCACTCCAGCCTGGGCGACAGAGTGAGACTCCATCTCAAAAAAAAAAAAAAAAAAGAAAAGAAGAAACATGGGAGTACAGATACCTGTTTGAGTATCTGCTTTAAATTCTTTTGGGTAGATAGCCAGAAGTGGAATTACTGGATCATATGGTAATTCTTGTTTTTTTTTTTTTGAGATGGAGTTTCGCTCTTGTTGCCCAGGCTGGAATGCAATGGTGCAATCTCAGCTCACTGCAGCCTCCGCCTCCTGGGTTCAAGCAATTTTCCTGTCTCAGCCTCTCGAGTAGCTGGGATTAATTTTTTTTTTTTTTTTTTGAGATGGAGCTTCGCTCTTGTTGCCCAGGCTGGAGTGCGATGGCACGATCTCAGCTCACTGCAACTTCCACCTCCTGGGTTCAAGCGATTCTCCTGCCTTAGCCTCCCCAGTAGCTGGGATTACAGGTGTATGCCACCACGCCCAGCTAATTTTTTATTTTAGTAGAGACAGGGTGTCACCATGTTGGTCAGGCTGGTCTCAAACTCCTGACCTCAGGTGATCCACCCACCTCGGCCTCCCAAAGTGCTGGGATTACAGGCGTGAGCCACCACACTGGGCCTTTTTTTTTTTTTTAAATTCGGGTGATGTCAGGTGAGGAGAAGGGAGATCAGTCTCAAATCTGTCTTTTCGACGAACTAAAATCAGGGGTTTATATAGCAGGGAGAGGAATGTAATTATGTGTAGGGAAAACAGCTGGATCATATGATAATTCTGTTTAGCTTTTTGAGGAAACACCATAGTGTTTTCAGTAGTGGCTGCACCATTTACATTCCCAGCAGCAGTGTGCAAGGCTTCCAGTTTCTCCACATCCTCCCCAGCACTTATTATTTTATTTTCTTTCTTTCTTTTTTTTTTTTTAAAGGAGTCAGGAGTCTCACTGTGTTGCCCCAGGCCGGTCTTGAACTCCTGGGTTCAAGTGATCCTCCTGCCTTGGCCTCCAAAAATGCTAGGATTACAAGTGTGAGCCACCAAGCCCAGCCATCTTCTTTTTTCGTTTTTTTAATTATAACCTTCCTAATGGGTGTGAAGTGGTGGTATCCCATTGTGGTTTTGATTTGCATTTCCCCAGTGATGAGTGATGTTGAACATCCTTTCATATGCTTGTTTGCCACTTGTATATATATTTTCTTTGAAGAAGTATCCAGATTCCTTTTGCCCATATTTTTAATTGGGCTCTTTTTCTTGTTATTGAGTTGTCATTGAATTGTTCATATATTCTGGATATTAAATCATTATTAGAGATGAGATTAGTGATATTTTTTCCCATTCTCTGGATTATCTTTTCATTCTCTTAGTAGTGTCATTTTTTTAAAAATTAATTTTTTGTAGAGATGGGGGTCTCACTGTGTTTCCCAAGCTGATCTCAAACACCTGGCCTCAGGCAGTCCTCCTGCTTTGGCCTCCCAAAGTGTTGGGATTACAGGTGTGAACCACCGCACCTGGTGGATAGTCTCATTTGCTGCGCAAAGAGTTTAAAATTTGATGAAGTTCAATTTATCTGTTTTTGATTTTGTTGCATGTATTTTTAGTGTCATATTTAATCCCTATAGTTCTTGAGTGATTTTTTTTATTAAGGTGAATGCCTGGGGACAGGACAGGTAAGGGTCTAACCTTTGAGTTGATTTTCCAGCCTGTGGCCCTTTCTGCTGGACCTTTTAAGTGGGGAGTCTGGTGAGGAAGTATGACTGCCTGCTGTGGCCAGATAAAACCCCTTGAGTCTCCTCCTTCAGAGAGGAAGCGGCTTCACATTTTTAGTTCAGGTTTCTGATGTGACAACAGACACCAGGATTGAGCACCTTCTCTGCCTGCACTTGGAGAGCACCTGTCTGCCCCATGAGGATGGCATCTTGCTGGTTTCCTAGCACTCAGTGGCAGGTCCTTCATTGAGTTCTTACTGTGGGCATGGTTTTGCTGGAGGCCTTAGGAATTTCAGGCATGGAGTTGGTTTTCCTCACAGTTTTATCTTTCTTCCTAACTCTCACCAGACTATAAACTCATAATTTAGTGATATTAAGACAATTCAGGGTCCTGAGGTTGTGGCAGATGGAAAGAGACAAGATTAGGGGTTGCAATGTTTCCGTGTATTATTCTGCGCAAAACTCTCTTGTAGTCATGCAGCTGTAGTTTTACAAAGACGTCCTGGTCAGCCCACCTGATGCCACTTATTAGTGAGAGGAGCAAGGCAAGAGGCTGAGGAGAGCTGGGATGTCCAAGGCTGAGGAGGGGAAGTAATGTCTCCTGGATTCCAGGATTCCAGCCCATGCAAGACCCCCTGGGGGAAGGGGATTCTGTAGAGGACACAGCACTGCCTGAAGCAGCATCTTGTAGGTCAGCCAGTTCCCGTTGACACGCAGAAAGACAGTACTGCTGGGGTTCATTTTCTGGGAAAGCCAGGCAGAGCCTGAGGAAGCTTCATGGGAAGGCAGCATGGAACTTGAGCTGAGCCACGGAGGATGGGGAAGTGGGAGAAGGTCATCGAGGTAGCTGGAAAGGAGAGTGTTCCCAGGGAGCATTTTAGAGGTGGGAACATTCAGGTGCATAGAGGTGAGAGTGGAGATGCTCCAGGGAGTTTGACAGCAAGCACTTGGCAGTGATACAGGGGCAGGGGTACAGTCTGAAAGTGCTGGACTGGGGTACTCTGGTAGCCAAGTTTTGCAAGAGCCAGGGTTTCCAGCAGGGATGGTAGCCAGCCTGGGCACACTTTTCTGTATTGTATTTGAACCTCATTTCCTGATGCTCATCCAGAAGTTCCTGGCTGGGTGAGTAGGTGAACAGTTCAAGGCTGTGTGGATGAAACTCTGGCATCTCTTTACAGTGCTGTCCGGCAGGGCAGTGTGAGGCCACTCTGTCCTCCTTTGACCTCTTTCTTCTTCAGCAGCCAAATGGAGGCTCTCTAAAGGTGATGATTAACTTGGCATAAACATGCCAAGCTTTCCTGAGCGATTGCCCTGAATTGGGCTGTCTCTTGCTGCTCTGAGACAGGGAGACTGGCTGTCTGGCTGACCAGCCCTTGGGGCTGAGGTCTGGCTGTCAAGTTGCAGGTTCCAGGCAACCAGCAATTCCTGGTTGTCACCTGGCTCTAGAGATTAGAGCAGCAGTGTTGCTCACTAGAACTTTGTGCAGTGATAGTGTTCTTTAATCTGCACTGTCTAGTACTGTAGCCATGGGCCACCTGTGACTTTCAAGCCCTTGAAATGTGGCTACCGGCCAGGCACAGTGGCTCATGCCTGTTATCCAGGGGTGTCCAATCTTCTGGCTTCCCTGGGCCACAATGGAAGAAGAATTGTCTTGGGCCACACATAATATGCAGTAACACTAATGATAGCTGATGAGCTTTAAAAAAAAAATCACAAAAAATATCTCATAATGTTTTAGGAAAGTTTACGAATTTGTGTTGGGCTGCATTTGAAGTGGTCCTGGGCCTTGGTCTGCGGGTTGGACAAGCTTGTTATAATCCCAGCATTTTGGGAGGTGGAGGCAGGAAGATCACTTGAGTCCAGGAGTTTGAGACCAGCCTGGGCAATATGACAAATCCCCATCTCCACAAAAAATACAAAAAATTAACCTGGAATGGTGTCGTGCACTTATAGTTCCAGCTACTTGGGAGACTGAGCAGGGAGAATTGCTTCAGCCTGGTAGGGGCAGAGGTTGCAATGAGCTGAGATCACGTCACTGCACCCCAGCCCGGGCAACAGTGTGAGACCCTGTCTCAAAAAAAAAAAAAAAAAAAGAAATATGGCTACTGCGACATTTAATTTTAGTTAGTTTACATTTAAACAGCCACACTTGACTCGTGATTGCCTTATTCGACGGTGCATCTCTGGAGGACTTGCTCCCTTCAGCCTGACTTACAAGAAACTGTGTCTCTACCTGAGCTCCAGTTGTTGAGCGCTAAGGGGCAAGTGGAAACCCAGATGACCATCACATCAGCCTTGGGAGCCCAAAGCTGGGCAGAGGGCTTGGAAGTTGGCCATATTCATGGCTGGTATCTCCATCAGATGCTGATTTGGGGCCATCTGTGTATGTACCCTGTGGAGTTAAGTGCTGGTGATTCAGAGTGGTATAGTTGTGATTTACACACTCAAGAAATGGGAGTGCGGGCCAGGTGTGGTGTCTCACGCCTGTAATCCCAGTACTTTGGGAGGCCAAAGTGGGCAGATCGCTTGAGCTCAGGAGTTCAAGACCAGCATGGGCAACATAACAAGACACCATCTCTACAAATATAAGTAAACAAAATTAGCCGGGCATGGTGGCCCGCTCCTGCAGTCCCAGCTATTCGGGAGGCTGAGGTGGGAGGATTAAAAAACAAACAGAAAGAAAAAAATGCACAGTGCAGAGAGTGGGAGCAATGCCAAGGTAGAAGGCATGCACTAGTACTCTCTGACTTGGGAGTACTAGGGAGGGTCCCTGGCCAGGTTGGGGGAGGGTAAAAGAGGGAACCAGAGGGAGGGGCTAGCAAGTCTTGCTGGAGGAACAGAGGCAGTGGGTGAGAGGCCTAGTATGCTGGGTGAGGAGTCAGACTTGTCCGTGTCCTGATCATGTCTCAAGAAGTTGCCTCTATCTACATCCCATGTGGCCACATCCCCAGGCCCAGCAGCCTGGTTGCAAAGTCAGCCAAGGCGATCACTGCCGCCTGTATTGACAGCTTTTGGCAGGTTGGCAGTCATAACATTTGCGTGGCAGTTGTGGCAGAATCGTGTTCCATCCCTGAAGCAGGACTTTGAAGCAGGGTGTATTGCTTCATCCCTGTCTGATAGACCAGGAAACCCTGGGCTGAAGGAACATCCCACAGTCGTGCTTTGAGTTGTTGCTGACCCTAGATTGTCCCTTAGGCTCTGGCCTTCTATCCCTCTACACCTCTCACCCCCAGGTGCTTGGGAATAAGTACCTCCCGGGAAGGAGCCTCCACCCATCACACATATAAACTGTAACCAGGCTGCCAGGTGGAGGCCTAGTGGTGGAGTGGAGAGAATGGACTTTGGAGACAGATCTGATTTAAACCTCTGCTCCATTAATCGCATCTATGGTACTCAGAGCAAGCCTTGAAAAATCTGAGCCTCTCTCTTGTCTATAAAATCGAGATACAGCTTCTGAACTCATCAGTAGCTAGGAGAACAGAGAAAGATGCTGTCTATGAAGTGTCTAGCTCGAGATCTTGCACACAGGCCTTTTATAAACGTGGATGCCTGTCCTTTCTTCTTTACCCTCTTGTAAGTGGGGACATCCAGGTGGTCCTGCAGCCTTCTCCGCTGGGTGACAGTGGGTGGAACTGGCCCGGTTCCAGTGGAAGCAAAGAGGTCCTTCTCCTGCACCCTGGCTTTACTCATCCTAGCCCTAATTTTTTGAAGATGGAGTGTTAGTGCAAAGTGTTAGATTAAGAAGAAAATGGATTTGCAGTCACAGCCGAGGTGGAGTGTGAGTGCCCGTTCTTCCTAAGGACTCAGCTTTTCTGCCCAAGCTCTCAGACTCCAAGGTTGTGGAGGCAGTGAGAGGGAGAATCTTCTGGGTGGGAGATTTGGGGTTCCCAACACATACCTATGGTGAGCCAGCATTTCCTTCTGAGGCCCTCAATATGTTCACGTATGAAATGATGGTGTTGGATTTATCTGAGTTTCTCAGACCTACCTGTTCGTTGGGTTGTCTTGAGAGACAATTTGCAGTCCTTTTTTCTGGCCCTACCTCAGACCTATTGTGGTCTTGGTATATAGCCTATAAATTCATGCATTCTTAAAGTTCCCCAGGTGATTCTGATGAATTTTTCTGGACATCTCTGATCAGTCCCTGGCATTCTCTCATTGGAAGAAGGATACTTTTTTTTCCCTTGGAACCTTAGCTGCCCATGCTCACTGCAGGAACTCTGCAGCTAGCCACTAATAAGTATTTATTGAGTACCAGCTGTATGACAGGCCCTGGGGATACAGCTATGAACAAGACTTCCTCCTTGCCTCAAGGGGCTTCTATGGAAGGAGTGGGAATACTTAGAAACAAGGAACATGGTGTCCCTGTTTATGTGTCCCAGGAACTTGGGAATGTGGTGTGTGTGTTGGGGAGAGGCTGTGCAGCTGCCCAGGCTGGGAAGACCACCACCTGGGAGTTCTGAGACGGGGATGGAGGAGTGAGATGCCAAGATCTAGGGAAGAGCATTCCAAGCTGAGCAAGACTAGCTTGGCATGTTTGAGGAGTAGGAGTAGAGTGAACAGTGGGAGGTATGGAAGGGGGATGAGGGTGGAGAGGGCCTGGGAGGCTGGGCTAGTTAGAAGGGGGCCTTGCAGACCACCAAGGCTGGACCTCAGGCTAAGGGGGTTGGGGAACCACTGGAGGTCTGAGCAAAGCTGACATGCCCTTGGATGACTGTGTGTGGAGGTAGGAGGCAGCTGCAGGAGCCCAGGTGTGAGGCAGTGCGCACAGACAGGGTTCCTGAGATGGCAAAGTACAGGGGAGAGGGGCTTTGAAGGGGAAGGCAAGAGTCTGGCTTTGGCCACATTAAGCCAGAGATGACTGTTAGACAGGTAAGCGAAGAGAGACATAAGCAGGCATCTGGACTAGAAACAGATACAGGATATCAAGCCCTGGGGCTAGACGAGGCCCTCTGGTGACAGAGCTTAGACCACAGAGACAGAGGACTGGGAGATCATTCTGTGCCCTGAGGCTCGCTCTGCAGGTATTTAGCAGGAGTTAGAAGAATCCAAGGAAACTTGGTGGGGTGGGGCGGCATGAGGACAGTGGGGCTGAGAGAAGCCAGGCGAAGACTGGGGATGGGTTTTGGCAAGACAAGGTGATAGGTGAGCTTGGTCCAGCTGTTTCAGGGAAGTGTGTGGTGCCAGTGGAATCCAGGCCAGCTGGGTTGAGGTGCAGCATGCTGGCCAAAGCCTTCCTGTAAATTAAGCCTCCTTTCCACTGCTTGAAGTCCTCACTGGACCCCAGCCGGGACATCCATCCCTCCTCTCAGGAGGGTAGCGCCAGTCTGAGGCAGTGCCCTTATAGCCTTGCTGTCTGAACTCACCTGGTGTTTGGATGCTGGCAGCCTTCTTGCTAGTGCTCAGGTCTTCATATTGCCACTCTAGCAACTCTAGCCCTTTTCTTTCGTTCTTTCTTTCTTTCTTTCTTTTTTTTTTTGAGACAGAGTCTCACTCTGTCGCCCAGGCTGGGGTGCAGTGGCGCAGTCTCAGCTCACTGCAGCCTCTGCCCCGCCCCGTGCTCAAGCCGTTCTCCTGCCTCAGCCACCTGAGTAGCTGGGATTATAGGTGTGTGTCACCGCGCCCGGCTAATTTTTGTATTTTTAGTAGAGATGGGGTTTCGCCATGTTGTCCAGGCTGGTCTCAAACTCCTGGTCTCAAGTCGTCTCCCTGCTTTGGCCTCCCAAAGTGTTGGGATTATAGGCGTGAGCCACCGTGCCCAGCCCGCTTTCTTTCTTTCTTTCTTTTTTCAACCTGGGAGCACAGATTCAAGTTGCCGTAAATGTACACTCCCCCCTCCCCTGTCCTTTCTGTCCCTGCACGTAGGTCCTGAGGGCTGCACTGCAGCTCCTACAATATGACCACTGCTTCTGGGTCAGGCTGGCCGTTTCTCTCATGATTCCCTGCTCTCTGGACAGGTTGCTTTGCCCACCTGGCTCCGCCACCCTGCTCACCTTGGGATGTGTAGATAGGTAAGTCTCTTCACATCCTTTTTAGCTGGAAGATGGCCACAGTACCTCCTCCCTCCCAGGATAAGGGTTAAGTGAGATGGTGTGTGCAGAAGGGAGCTGAGAGGTGGGAAGTGTGATGTGTGCATTTATTCTTTCTCCTATACTCTTATTTTACCTCTGGTTGAGGGCCCCTTTAACTTGTACCTGAGACACCACAGATGTGGAGAAGTAAGGGACCAAACACAATCACACAGGGCCAATCCCTTGTCCTCTGGAGATGGAGCCAGAGGGATGGGCCAGGGAGCCCACCGCCTCCTGGCCAAGTTTGGGGGTGCTCTTCCTCTGGGATAGAATTGGTGCTGCCCTCATCCCTTGGAGCTTTGCAAGGAGGGGCTCTGCAGTGAGCTACAGGGAAGAGAATGGGACCCCGTTCAGTTTGGTCTGATATGCTGGGGAGAAACACCTGGCCTGGGCGAAGGGTGAGCCTCTCTCTGGATTTCCCTCAGAGGGCACGGTTTCCATCGAGGCAGATGGGTGGCTATTCAGGATCCTTCACGGTTTAGCTCACCTGTGGTGGCTGAAGCACCCTCCATGTAGCAGAAGAGGCACTAGACAGCCACAAGACAAGGTTCCTCTTTCTTGCTGTGCCAGTGACACAGTTGTTCCGCCACAGTCTCCCGTTTGGTTGACTTCTGTGGTATTACAAGGTGTAAGTTGTGTTCCCCAGGCCTCACTGATAGGGGGCAGGGAATTGGAAAGCAAAGGAATGTTGAAATTCAAGCTGGTTTTTAATCTTTCTGTTAGCTTTTGCAACAAAAGAATTTGCATGGTCTTGATGGTGAATCCCTCAGTTTTTTTCTCCTGTCTCCTGGAGCCAGGAGGGTGTGAATGGGATGTGCTTCCCTCTCAGTGTCCAAGTAGCTGTCTTCTGGGTGTGCTTGGGAGTCCTTAATCTTCTCTTTGGAGGACTTTTTCCTTATGGTCCTCTTGACTGAGTTAGTTCTCTCTAGATTTTAATTATTTTATTTTATTTTATTTATTTTATTTTATTTTTTTATTGATCATTCTTGGGTGTTTCTCGCAGAGGGGGATATGGCAGGGTCATAGGACAATAGTGGAGGGAAGGTCAGCAGATAAACAAGTGAACAAAGGTCTCTGGTTTTCCTAGGCAGAGGACCCTGCGGCCTTCAGCAGTGTTTGTGTCCCTGGGTACTTGAGATTAGGGAGTGGTAATGACTCTTAACGAGCATGCTGCCTTCAAGCATCTGTTTAACAAAGCACATCTTGCACCGCCCTTAATCCATTTAACCCTGAGTGGACACAGCACACGTTTCAGAGAGCATGGGGTTGGGGGTAAGGTCATAGATCAACAGGATCCCAAGGCAGAAGAATTTTTCTTAGTACAGAACAAAATGAAAAGTCTCCCATGTCTACTTCTTTCTACACAGACACAGCAACCATCCGATTTCTCAATCTTTTCCCCACCTTTCCCCCTTTTCTGTTCCTCAAAACCGCCATTGTCATCATGGCCCGTTCTCAATGAGCTGTTGGGTACACCTCCCAGACGGGTGGTGGCCGGGTAGAGGGGCTCCTCACTTCCCAGAAGGGGCGGCCGGGCAGAAGCGCCCCCCACCTCCCAGACGGGGCGGCTGGCCGGGCGGGGGCTGACCCCCCACCTCCCTCCCGGATGGGGCGGCTGGCCGGGCGGGGGCTGACCCCCACCTCCCTCCCGGACGGGGTGGCTGCCGGGCGGAGGGGCTCCTCACTTCTCAGACGGGGCAGCTGCCGGGCAGAGGGGCTCCTAACTTCTCAGACGGGGCGGCTGCCAGGCGGAGGGGCTCCTCACTTCTCAGACGGGGCGGCCGGGCAGAGACGCTCCTCACCTCCCAGACGGGGTCGCAGCTAGGCAGAGGCGCTCCTCACATCCCAGACGGGGCGGCGGGGCAAAGGCGCTCCCCACATCTCAGACGATGGGTGGCCGGGCAGAGACGCTCCTCACTTCCTAGATGGGATGGCGGCCGGGAAGAGGCGCTCCTCACTTCCCAGACTGGGCAGCCAGGCAGAGGGGCTCCTCACATCCCAGACGATGGGCGGCCAGGCAGAGATGCTCCTCACTTCCCAGATGGGGTGGCGGCCGAGCAGAGGCTGCAATCTCGGCACTTTGGGAGGCCAAGGCAGGCGGCTGGGAGGTGGAGGTTGTAGCGAGCCGAGATCACGCCACTGCACTCCAGCCTGGGCACCATTGAGCACTGAGTGAACGAGACTCCATCTGCAATCCCGGCACCTCGGGAGGCCGAGGCTGGCGGATCACTCGCGGTTAGGAGCTGGAGACCAGCCCGGCCAACACAGCGAAACCCGGTCTCCACCAAAAAAATACGAAAACCAGTCAGGTGTGGCGGCGCGCGCCTGCGATCGCAGGCACTCGGCAGGCTGAGGCAGGAGAATCAGGCAGGGAGGTTGCAGTGAGCCGAGATGGCAGCAGTACAGTCCAGCTTCGGCTGGGCATCAGAGGGAGACCGTGGAAAGAGAGGGAGAGGGAAACCGTGGGAGAGGGAGAGGGAGACCGTGAGGAGAGGGAGAGGGAGACCGTGAGGAGAGGGAGAGGGAGAGGGAGAGGGCTAATTATTTTATTTTTGATTTCTAAGTGGGCTTAAGTTTTTCTTTTTAATGACTTTATAGTGGCATAAAAAATCTTTTTAATTAAGCATACAAACTATACAGAGAGAAAAGTACATAAATCAGCTCAGTAATTTTCCTAAGGTGAACATGCCCATGTCATCAGTCACTCAGATCAAGAAACATGATAACATCCCAGAATCACTTCTCAGGTGCTCACTCTTCAAGGGGAACCACTCTGGACTTGTAACACGAGAAGTTGCCTTCCTTCCTTTTGAACCTTATATAAATGGAATTAAACAGTATGTAGTTTTCTGTATCTGGCCTCTTTCATTCATCATATGTTTGTCAGTTGTTGGGTGTGGAATTAGTGCATTCTTATTTCTGTATAGTATTCCATTGTTTGAACAGACCAGATTTTATCCATTCTCCTCTGGATTTTCAGGCTGGAACTATTATGGATTGTGCTGCTCTTCCCAGTCTTGTACATGTCTTGGTGAACATATGTACCCATCTGTAGGATCTATGCCTAGGAGTGGAATTGCTAGGCCGTAGGGTGTATATAGGACAGATACTGTCAAACACTTTTGCAAAATGGCTCTACTATTTTGCACTCTGACCAGCACTGTATGGCGGTTCCTCTCTAATACTTGGTATAGTTAGTTTTTTTCATGTTAGCCAGGCTGGTGGAGGTATAGTGGCATCCTTTTGTGGTTTAAATTTGTATTTCCTACCTAATGAAGTTGGATTATCTTTTCATATGTTTATGTGAAGTGCCTGTTCATGTCTTTCACCTCTTCTCCTTTTTATTCAGTTGCCTGTTTTTCCTATTGATTTCTAGAAGTTCCTTATGTGTCCTTTGTTCTGTGTATGTGATGTGACTATCTCTTCTGCCTGCCTTGGCTTTGACTTTTCAGGCTCTTAAAATTAAATTTTTTTTTTTTTTTTTTTTTTGAGATAGAGTTTTGCTCTTGTTACCCAGGCTGGAGTGCAATGGCACAATCTTGGCTCACTGCAATCTCCGCCTCCTGGGTTCAAGCAATTCTTGTGCCTCAGCCTCCTGAATAGCTGGGATTACAGGTGCCCACCACCATGCCCAGCTAATTTTTGTGTTTTTAGTAGAGACAGGGTTTTACCATGTTGGCCAGGCTGGTCTTGAACTCCTGACCTCAGATGATCCACCCCCCTCAGCCTCCCAAAGTGCTGAGATTACAGACGAGAGCCGCCTCACCTGGCCCAAAATTGAATTCTTTGGCGAATAGTAGTTCTTAATTTTAATGTAGTTTATCATTTTTTTCTAATATCTTTTGTGGCCTGTTTAAGGAAATAGTTGCCTACATATAGGTCTAGATGATATTCTTTTATGTTATAATCTAGAAGTTTGCTTGTTTTACTTTAACCTTTAGACCTCTAACCCATCTCGAATTTACTTTTGTGTGGTGTGCGTAGGGATCAAGATTCTTTTTCTCCCCATATGGGTATCAGTGACTTGGCACTATTTGATATTTGACATTTGTGTTTTAGAAGAGTTTCCCGTGACTTAATTGGCATGCACTGTTTATGATCATGCTGTTAACCTTCCATAACATCCTGATAATTGTCATTGTACATATAGTAGTAGTAGTAGTAGCAGTGGTAGCTGCTAAAATATATTTGTTTTTTCATGCTTCTAAGTCCCAATTCATGCCACCCCTTCAGTGGACAGGCAGTTCCTTGTAGGCAGAGACAACTCTTAAACTTATTTTAACAAAACATTCAGACATTTCCTGGGTGCCCCATGGCACTGTAGTGGGTATGCTGCGTCCTGTGACTCTGAGCCCCTTAGGCTTTGTGCACTAGAGAAAAGACAACATGGACTCCCAGGGAAGACAAGGACCTGCTGAGCCAGGCCCTCCAGTGCTGGCCTCCTGACCTGCTAGCCAGACTCTGTCCATACTCTGGACCTACCGAGCCAGGGGTGTTCTGACTAGAAATATGTGTTACCTCCGATAGTTGCTTCAGGGTCAGTTGTTTCAAACTGGGGCTGTATGTTTTAAATGGTTTTTGGCTCTTCCATTGACCCTGCAGACATTGGGAGCAGCATGTGATTCTGTAGCACTAAGAATTGTAATACAGAAATGAAATGCAATTCATATTTTTGTTTCTGGAGAAGATGTCTCATATATCATCTTGGAATATTTTCTGTAACCTATCCCACATACCTCCAACCCACCTCCAGCGCATATACACATGCACATACAGCATGTACTCTCCACACCCAGCCCCCTGCCTACAGTGCATCCCACCTCCTTACACTCCCTTAACCTCACAACACCACCACACACCCCAGGCCCTACCCCACACACTTCCCCCCACAATAGTACCTCCCTTCTCCCCACACCCTCCCATTCCCTGCACACCTCCAACACTCCACAGCACCCCTCCACATGCCCCCAACCCACACCTACAAACCCCAACCCCTTTACACCAATACATATCTCATACACACCTCAAAACACACATAAGCAGCACCACCTTTATACCTCCATACCCACAATTTGCCTTTCCCTACACATACACCTTCAGCAGCTGAGACGGACTTGCTGTTTCTAAGCCAGTTGTTCGGAGATCTGGGAGACCCCATAGCGAGCTTGATAAGGCTCAGTCATGCCTGGCCCTCTTCCTTCCTTCGGAGCTTTCCCTTAAATTCTGGGGCCCTGGCTTCTCCCTGGTTTTGTTTTGGAGGGAAGCAACAGCTTGTATCCTTGAAAGAATTCCAAGAGGAAAAACAGTTGCTTCGGCAACGGTGCCCTGTGGCAGTAACATCCACACTCCTGGGCTGTTTTGATTCAGGGCTCTAAAGAGCTGCTCTGTCTAGAGAAAATGTGAGTGGCTGGAGCAGAAAACATTTGTCCTTTCAAGGACAGCCCCCCTCCCATTGTTTTCAGGGCAGGGCACCACTAGATTTCTTGCAGGGTAATTTGAATCCTGAAGAAAAAGCACCTGTGTTTGACATCATCTGGTTAAAGCAGGACTTTCCTGTCCTGGGCCCAGGAGTCCATGACTCAGGCAGCTTCCATCTATGTAGGAAGTGAGAGTGAATGCTGGGCTGTGTCTGGGGTGAGGAGTCAGTTTCCACATCTGGCTGTTACAAGTGTTATTGTTGAGGCCTCTCTGTGCACAGAGCCTGGGTGGGAAATGGGGTCAGTGAGGCTGGCCCTTGCCTCAAGCACGGTCAGGCTGGGGCCCTGTGGGAAGGCTGATCTGTGTACCCCCAGGTATAATACTGTATACTGCCATCCACGGAGGAGGGGCAGAGGAGAGCTGTCAGTGTCTTGGAGGGAGGGCATGGACAGGGGATGGGGGACAACACTTGCATGCATGTCGCGTGGAGGAGAGCGCTCAACCCAGTATCGATATACATACCCTGCTTTATCTCATTGGTTGGCTTATGAGTAGTGTCCCCATTTGGGCTTTGTCCCAGGCTGCATAACTCACAAGACAGAGCCTGAGCTGGTAGAGGTGCTGAGAAAACACTTGAGGGATTGAGTGGATGGCATGGAGAGTGATAGCTGTTTCCAGGTGTGAAAGAGGTGGAGGGATTTTAGGCAGAGGAGGGGCAGGAGCAGAACAGGCAGGCATGGAGGTGGTCTGAATTTGGGAAGATGATCTGTGGAAGGCCCTTCTTCCTTGCCACCTCCCTGTCCCCCCACACTGGCTAGCGTTTTCTGACTTGGATTCATATTCTCTGCACACGTGTAGGGTCTGCTCTTCTCAACTGTGGTAGCTCGAGGGCAAGGGCTGGGGCTTCCTCCGGGTGACACTGATGGCTGCTCTGGGTGAACTGAGGGAAGGAACAAGGCATGAATGTGGGGATCTGTTATGTGACCCCTTTGTCACGGGATGAGAGGGCCTCACCCCGAAGACACAGGTGAGAGTCTCAGGCTCCACCATCATCATCACTGTGGTTGGCGCCTACTGACTGAGGACGTACTCTGTGCCAGCCACAGTGTAGGGCTGTCACTCACATGCGTACCCTTAAGTCATGCCATCTAGCAGTTGAAGAAACTGCAGCTCTGAGAAGCTAAACTGGCCCAGAGTACCACAGTACACAGTTGTTAGTGCTGGGTATTGACTCCTCATGTGGTTCTGCTTTCTCAACCTTTCCATATGCTGAGCATGTGGATTTTTAAAAACGCTTTGTAGCTAAAGGAAGTGTGTGTAGGTGGGGATAAGACCTTGTGAAGCAGTATTTCCCCCCACAAAAAAATGTGCCAGTTCTGACTTGTTTAAATTTGGTTTAATTAGGATTTTTATCACTTGTAGATCACACCAGAGAGCAGACAGCTGTCTTACCTTTACTTCTCAGATTGTGACACTCCAAGAAGCAGCTGACCAGAGGTTAAAATAGCTTCTAGTCTAGGAGCTTCAGCACATTTTGTTGCTGTGTAAACCTCTGACTTGCCTGGAAATTGACTTGTAAAGAATTTTGCATTTCATACTGGGGTGCCTGATGCTGGGGTCTGGTATATTTCATGCTCAGCTGTGTGTTGGCATGGAGGGAATGGAGAGATGGCTCCTAGCTCAGGTAAGGGCCTTGGCTTACATCAGTGACTGGCCTTTGTGGTGGTCAGGAGAGTTGGGGAGGATGCTGGGACCAAGCTCATAGAACACTTAACAAACATCCCGAGTCTCAGCTCCTCCTTTCGCGGAGTGGGCATCACAACCTTTGCCCTGCCCTTATCTTGGGTTCTCGTTGGGGATTGGATGAACAATGGAATGTAACGCAACTTTGAGCTCTATAAAGTGCTGGATGCGTTTGTTCCAGAACCAAACCGAGGGTCGGGCTGCTTATTCCCTTGGCCCAATAACGAGATGCAGATGAACTGGGAGAGAAGGGAGTTTTTTTTATTTCTGCAGCTGGTTACAGGGAGAAGGCCTGGAAATTATCACCAGACCAATTCAAAATTACAAAGTTTTCCAGAGCTTGTATATCTTCTAAGCTATACATCTATGTGTAAATGTGCATTCATCTAAAGACTTAAATGATTAACTTCTTCTAGTCTATAACTAAGATCTGAGTCCTGAAGACCTTCCTCTGGACCCTCAGTAAGTTTACTTAATATAATGGGTCCAGGTGCTGGGGTGATTACCCTTATCTTGTCTCCTGCTAAATCATGGAGGTTTGGGGCGTTCCTTTTAGTCTCCCAATAAACTTGTTTGTGGAGGCCTGGGGAGTTTCTTCAGACCGCCAATAAAACTTATTTAATCCTAAACAGATCCTGTTAAGAATTCTTCGTTATCTTGTCGTGCTTCAAGGCTCAGGAAAGGCCTAGGCCAAACTCTTGGTGGGCTTTTGTTACATTCTAGCCTTTGTGTAAGGGCACTGGTTCTATTAGCTTTACATATATATGTGTGTGTGTGTGTGTGTGTGTGTGTGTGTGTGTGTATTTATTTTTTTATTTTTGAGATGGAGTCTCGCTCTGTTGGCCAGGCTGGAGTGCAGTGGCACGATCTCAGCTCACTGCAACCTCCTCCACCTGGGTTTAAGTGATTCTCCTGCCTCAGCCTCCCGAGAAGCTGGGATTACAGGCGCCTGCCACCATGCTCGGCTAATTTTTTGTATTTTTAGTAGAGACAGTGTTTCATCATGTTGGCCAGCCTGGTCTCGAACTCCTGACTTCAGGTGATCCACCCACCTTGGCCTCCTGAAGTGCTGGGATTACAGGCATGAGCCACCGCCGCCCTGGCTAGCTTTTAATATTTAACCTAGCTACTCAGTCAGTACTGAAACGTAACGGAGGCCTGCGTTAGTGAGACCTGGCCTGCCACACACTTCGTTGTTAGGTTATTGCTATAAATGGCCATGTGTAGCCAAGGCACTTATTTGCAAACAACAGAAATCCATTCTGGCTGATTGTAGAAGAATACAAAGTGCTTGTTGTTTTAGAAATCGAGCCACTTACAGCTTACCAGGAGTAAAAGAAAAAAAAAATAATTAAAAAGAAAGAGAGCCAGCCTTAGAGGTACACAGCCTGAAAGAAGCCCAACATTTCATAAGAAAAATGGAAAATGGCTCAATGAGGAAACTGCTACTGCCTTCGAGTACTAGATACTACAGTTAGCCCTGTTGCCCTGTGCCCTGGAATCAATCTTGAATCAAATCTTATTGCAGCTTCCCTAGAGAGAAGTCTGTGCCACCCCACCCCTACCTCTCTGCAGGTCACAACTCACCATTTGGAGTCTCTTATGGGTATATTGGATCAATAGGGCCACAGTTACCTTCCTGCTTCAAGGCAGGCTGGGAAAGTGAGTGGGGCACTTTTGGCTTCTGTAGTAAGGGGCAGGGTCTTCCTCCCCCAAGACTCAAGGTGGAGCTTTTGTAAGTGAAGGGAGGAGCTCGGGCTCTGGGCAGCCCATAGAATAACTTGGGAACATGGTGCATTGGACACACCAGTCTACTTGAGGTCGAGACCCGAGGTCTGGCCCTGGCTTCTCCCCTTCTCTTGCTGCACACTTCACCTGGATCTCCTGTGGCCCTCCGGATATTTACGTTGTATGAATGATTTTTATTTTGGGGGGGTGGGTGTGGTGGTGACAGGGACTCACTCTGTCAACCAGGCTGGAGTGCAGTGGTGCAATCTCACTGCAGCCTCAACCTCCTGGGCTCAGATGATTCCCCCACCTCAGCCCCCCAAGTAGCTGGGACTACAGGTGCACACTACCACTCCTGGCTTTGTGTTTTTTTGTGGTAGAGACAGGGTTTCACCATGTTTCCCAGACTGGTCTTGAACTCCTGGGCTCAAGGAATCTTCCTGTCTCAACCTCCCAAAGTGTTGGGATTACAGGCGTGAGCTACTGAGCCTAGCCCCTTATGAATGATTTCTTTGTGTTTCTTCCTATCCTGCCTGCCCTGTGTCCAGAGCCCACCTTGGTGACCACAGTAGCCCTCAGGCAGCTGAGTGTGGCCTCATGCAGTCCGCTTTCTCTTCTAGGTCAGCCTCTTGAAGAGGAGGCAGCATGTGGTCTCACTCAGAGGCTCCTCAACTGGGCCATGTATTAGAGATGTGACCCAGGAGTAGGTGGGCTCTTTGAACATTCAGATTCCCAGGTCTTACCGTGGAAGATTCTGATTTGGCAGGTGCTGTTTATAACCGTTCCCTGGGCTGCTGCTAGTTTATCCTCTATCAGCTCATATCTGAGGCCTCTGCAGCCCTACCAGTTTGGTGGTTTTCTTATTTTTCTCATTTGGTGTAAGAATAGATGTGATCACACTTCTCTGGCTGTTAGGCAGAAAGCAGACCTAAGCCTTAGGGCTGTTTATTTGAGAGAATTTTGAAAGCCTGATGCAATCAGAAAGCCCCTGTTTAAATGTGGGCCTATCTTTTATTAGCCCTGAGCCACTGGTTAAGTTTCTTAGTTGTTCTGAACCTGGTCATTTGTATGCAGTGATAATACCTGATTCCGGGGTATTGGTGGGGGCCAGAGGCCCTGGTGTGCACAAGAGTGAAGTGTGAGTAGATGAGCAAGTACCACATGGCAGCTTGCAGTTGGAAGGGACTGTTCCTCCCGACAGACTCAGAGACAGCTGCTCTTCTGCTGTCCTTGGGGTGAGAAGGTGGCTCTCCTAACTCACATCCAGCTTGTTTTTCGGGGGGCCCCTTTGCTTTCTGGGCTTTGCTAAATGCTCTTTATAAAATACTCGAATCATATTGTTGCCACCTCTCTACCTGTCCTCCAGGTTCTCAGTGCTTGTGAGATAAAGTCTGTAGCCCATCAGGCAGGCCCATCCCACTTCCCCAGTGCCCTTGGATATCACCACTCTCTGCCTGGACACACCCGCTCCTTCTAGTGACCCTGACATTCCCCTCTCTGACCGCTCAGTCTGCATCTTCCCTCTTCTCTCCCTGGACAGCCTGCCCACCTGGCTGGCCTTCCAGGTGTTCTCGGGTCCCACCTTCTCTCATTCCCAGTGGCATTCAGGCTTTGGATGCACTATAGGGTGGTTATCTGTTCACTGTCTGCTTCTCTCTTCCCTGCCCCTGACTTCCCTGAGGGCAGCCATCTTGCTTTAGTCACCTTTTTGTCTGCCCCATGACAAGACTCAGAGACTCCGTAAACATTCAAATGAAGAAGCAACTAGGCAGGCACATGGATTTGGGAGTTAGTTGGGCTGAGATTTTCCTCAGGAAAAACAGACTTGCCCACGAGGACAAGTCCAAGAGTTTATTTAAAAAGTGCAGGCTGTGGCGATGCTAACAGCAAGAAGAACTTCACTGGGTGATTGTGAAGTCAGTTAGGTTTCTTCGATCTGTAGTTTAGGCATGGACTAGGGGTGCTTTGACAGCCGTTAACATTGGAAAAGAACTGGGCATTTTAGTTGGTCACAGGCTTTGAATAAGCCAGTGGTGTGACGTGGATACCAGGAACACTGATGTCCCAGCTGTGGTGTTGGCTGTCGGTTGGTTGGGAAATAACTTTTTTTTTCAGACGGAGTTTCGCTCTTTTGCCCAGGTTGGAGTGCAGTGGTGCAGTCTTGGCTCACTGCAACCTCCTCCTTCTGGTTTCAAGCGATTCTCCTGCTCAGCCTCCTGAGTAGCTGGGACTACAGGTGCCCGCCACCATGCCCAGCTAATTTTTGTATTTTTAGTAGAGATGGGGTTTCACCATGTTGGCCAGGCTGGTCTTGAACTCCTAACCTTGTGATCTGCCCGCCTCGGCCTCCCAGAGTGCTGGGATTACCAGGCGTGAGCCACCGTGCCCGGTGGAAATACCTGTTCTTTTAATAAATGGTAGCTCTTATTCCCTTGACCCACCCCATTTTAAGAACAAATCTACCCACATGAAAGGTCACATAGATGCTATAGAGGTTGATGCATCTGGTGCCAGGTTTGAGTGAGGGCCGTTGGCAGCTATCAAGGAAACTGTTTTAGGGGATCCAGAATTGATGTAAACAGGGCCATGGGACTAGGGTGTGTGTGGGAGGCGAAAGGGTATCATTTACAGGGGCCACCCACTGAGGTTTTCAGGTCCTTGCTTGCTGTCTCTGTTGGATCCAGCGAAAGTGAACACATAGTGGTTGGGCTTTCTCCTCCTCTTCCCTCCTGGGCTCAGCCTAAGGATCCTATCTACCAGCCAGAGTTTGTGGAGAAAGGTCACCTTCTTTTGTTCTACAGGCCTTACAGATCTGGGGATGGTCAGGTAGCAGCCACATGTCCTCAGGACCAGAGAGTCTGGGTGGTTGTTCCAGTCCCTGGAACTGACCAGGTGGGCCCCCTGTGCCTGATTCCTCTGACTGTCCACTGTGAGGCAATGGGGAAGGGGTTTCTGGGTGCCACACGAAGCTGTCTCCCACCAGGGGAGGGGTCTTCCAATCTGCATGGACCTTATCATTTGCTTTTGTGATTTGCTCACTGCTGCTCCCCTCGTGAGCTTAGAATGGTGAGGAAGTCCTAGTGGTTGTGAATTCTGCTTTGTGGTGAAGGAGGCTTTTTTCCCCTCCAAGAAAAGGGAAATGGTGGGGTAGGGTGAGAGGGTGGGGAGGTGACTTCATTGCTCATCACCAGTTAGTTTCTTAACCGACATTTTTAGCCCCCCAGTAATGGAGATGTCTATCCTGATTTAAGAGGGCTTAGTCTACAATTGGCTGCTGCATTTGCTACTGTGGTTAGAGTCCCAGGCTGCAGAGGGACGCTGGTGTGTGCAGGCTCAACCTGTCCTCTTCTGCACCAGCAAAGCTGGACTTTTTTTTTTTTTTTTTTCCAAGCTTGAGAAAAGTCATTAGGCATTGACAAGGCTGTGTCAGGCCTGAGTGCCAGCCATGGTTTCCTGCTTCCCCATTTAGCCAGGTGAGGGTCAAGAGAATCTGTTTAGGGTATGAGTCAAGATAGTGAGCCATAGTCAGCTAGGTTCCTCTGGTTACTTTTATTATTAAGTCATTTTGACAGCAGAATTAAGGAAGATGGAAAAAATACTACCCACGGTTGAGTGCGAGTCTGTGAAGTCTTTGGCCATTTGTATGTATGGTATTGCCATGGTTGCAATCATGAGTATGTAATATAGGACTCTTACCCCTGGCGTTTGTGTGTTTGTCTGTTGCATAGTGCTGCCTCGCTATTTTAATGCCTCCCCTGGCCCATCATGTGAATGCTGGCCTGCATAACTGTGCCCTACGGTGTTGGGCTCACTGCATAGTTCCACTTCTCCCTACTGTGAGAAACACAGCTCTAAACACCTCTGCATGCATTGCTCTTTTATTTCCTTGTGATGTCTTTTGGGACTGGAGTTCTTGGCCAAGAAATGACAATATTTGGGGCTCTCGATGGGTTTGATTGTATCTCTCTGAAATGACACCAGAAAGAGCTGTCAACTCTCATGTGATGACAGATGGAGGCACCCTAGACACACTTGAAACCATTTGCATGTGAAAGGTAGGGACAGGAGTGGGACAAGAGCAAAGGGCAGGGGTTCTAGAGGGAATCAGCCTATGCTTGAAGCCTGCCCTGCCATTTGCGTCCTGGCAACCTCTAGCTGTGTGACTCTGGATGGGTTACTTAATTGTCCTGGGCTTCCATTTTTCTCATCTGTGGTAGGAGAAAGGAGTGCTGACCTTATTAGATTTTCATAGTGATTAATTATTGATTATTTTTGATAATATCAGTACTACTGTTTAATTAATGGAATAATCAGTTGCCTGGCATACTGTTATTACCAAAGAATTGACAGTGTTGTAAGACATGCAGAACAGAGAAGAGTGACATTTGGGTTCGGCACTGCCCAGGGCTCACCTTCTAATGGAAAATCTTCCAATTTTATGGAACCTAGTTAAAACCACACTCCCAAGAAGTGGGCAGGGTTGGGATTTTTGTCTTCATTTTGCAGGAGAGAAGCAGAGGTGCAGATAGTTGTTGGAAAAGAGGATAGAACAGACAACTAAAGGATAAACAAGCAGCATGTGTGGTAGAAAGAACTGAGGATGTGGCAGCGGGGAGCTGGGCTTCTGTTTATTTCCCAAAACTTGTGCTCTACCCAATGGAAAGAGTATTAGGTATGACATGCACAGACCTGGTCCAGCCTCAGTTCTTGCATCTGTGCAACAAGGCTAGTGATAACCGAATACGTGGGTGCTGTTGGAAGGCTCACACAACAGAAGTTCCTGTAACATGGGAAGTTAGCATGTGCCTTCTGCCTCCCCAGGTGGTTCCTTTACTATTGGTCCAGCTGCTCTTAGTGCCAGGTGCTGTGAGCAGTGATGGAGAGGCCTCTGAGAGCTTCCAGTCTAGGAAGGAAGACAGATGTCAAACAAAATCTCATGTGGGGAAATAAAGGTAGAATCATATGTCTGGGATGGTTATCATTAGAAGGCATGGGAAGAACACCTTTGTGCTAAAAGTGGTCATGACCTTTGGCCCACACAGGAGAATGTGCTGAAACCCACCCACCGAGTTTTGTGGTGGGGTCAGAATTAAGGATTCTGTGGGGAAACTTCACAGATGGGTGGTGCCTGTTCTTGTAGCCTGGGGCCTCTTGACAATCCTAAAGGAATCAGATAGCAGATAGATCATTGTTAATTTGATCCTCATTAAGTATATATATATATATATATATATATTTTTTTTTTTTTTTTTTTTGAGACGGAGTCTCGTTCTGTCGCCCAGGCTGGAGTGCAGTGGCACAATCTTGGCTCACTGCAAGCTCCGCCTCCCTAGTTCACGCCATTCTCCTGCCTCAGCCTCCCGAGTAGCTGGGACTGCAGGTGCCCGCCACCACGCCCGGCTAATTTTCTGTATTTTTAGTAGGGACGGGGTTTCACTGTGTTAGCCAGGATGGTCTTGATCTCCTGACCTCGTGATCCACCCGCCTCGGCTTCCCAAAGTGCTGGGATTACAGGCCTGAGCCACCGTGCCCAGCCCTAAAATGATTTTTTAAAAATTGTTAATTGATAAATAATAGCTGTATATTTATGGTGTACAACGTGATGTTTCTACAATATACGTTGTAGAAAGATTAAATCAAGCTGATTTAACATTTTTTGTGGTGAGACTTTAAAATCTAGGCTCAGCAATTTTGAATATACATTATTATTAACCGATCACCATGCTGTGCAGTAGCTCCCTTAAACACACTCCTCCTGCCTAACTGGAACTTTGTGTCCTTTGCCCAACATCTTCACTTTCTCCACCTCTCCTGCAACTCCAGCCTCTGTAACCACCCATCTAGTCTCTGTTTCGGTGAGTTCTACTTTTTATTTTTTTATTTTAATTTTTAATTTTTTTGAGATACGAGTCTCACTCTGTTGCCAAGGCTGGAGTGCAGTAGTTCAGTTACAGCTCACTGCAGCCTTGACCTCGTGGCCTTGTTTGATCCTCCCACCTCAGCCTCCTGGGTAGTTGGGACCCGCCTCGGCCTCCCGAAATGCTGGGATTACAGGTGTGAGCCACTGTGGCTGGCCAGTTCTACTGTTTTAGATTCCACATATAAGTGAGATCATGCAGTATTTGTCTTTCTGAGCCTGGCTTATTTCGCTTAGCATAATGTTCCCCAGATTTGTCCATGTTGTTGCAAATGACAGGATTTCCTCTTTTTTTTTTGAAGCCTGAATAGTATTTCATTGTGTGTATATACTAAATTTTCTTACTCATTCATCCATTTATGGACACAGGTTATTTCCATTTGAGCCTCACTTTTAAAAATTAAGTTTAGCATATACAGAGACTTAGCCAAAAAAATGTAGCACTTTCAGAAAAGGATAATGTGCTCCATTCACATGAATGTTGTTACATTTTAAAAAATGGGCTGGGCATGTGGCTCATGCCTATAATCCAGCACTTTGGGAGGCCAAGGCAGGAGGATTACTTGAGCCCAGGAGCTCGAAACCAACCTTGGCAATATAGTTAGACCCTGTCTCTACCCCAAAAAAAAAAAAAAAGCTGTGCATGGTGGCATGCCCCTGTAGTCCTAGCTACTCCTATGCAGGAGGCTGAGGTGGGAGGTTTACTTGAGCCTAGGAATTTCAGGCTGTGGTAAGCTATGATTGCACCATGCATTCCAGCCTGGACAGCTGGACAACAGAGCGAGACCCTATCTCAAAAAAATGCAAATGTAGATCAATTTCTCTTCTGGTTGGTCTAATACTAATAGGCCTTCTGTTTCCCAGCATGGATCTGGGCCCTGGGTGCTGGGTCCTGGGTTCTTGTTAAGTGCTTTCTTGGTTTTTGTGTCAGGGCAAGGGGTGGGTGAGAACAGAAGGAGCATCAGGTTCCCTAAGAGGGATGCAGCAAGAACCAGGGTTCGAATTAGGCCCATCGCTGAGGGACAGCAGGACTTGGGACACTGCAAGATGTCAGCAGGCAGTTTTTTTTTCTTTTCTTTTTTTTTTTTTTTTGAGATGGAGTCTCACTCTGTCACCCAGGCTGGAGTGTGGTAGCGCAATCTTGGCTCACTGCAACCACTACCTCTGGGTTCGAGCAGTTCTCCTGCCTCAGCCTCCCGAGTAGCTGGGACTACAGGCGCCCGCCACCATGCCCGGCTAATTTTTGTAGTTTTAGTAAAGATAGGTTTTCACCATATTGGCCAGGCTGGTCTCGAACTCCTGACCTTATGATCCACCTGCCTTGGCCTCCCAAAGTGCTGGGATTACAGGCGTGAGCCACTGTGCCCGGCCAGCAGGCAGTTTTTCATGGTGCAGGGTCATGCGGGACCCTGTACCACATGGTGGACCCAAGTTGCCTTGTATAATCCTCACATGCCCCTGTTAAAGTAGTGCCAGCCCCACTTTGACAGGGGAGGAGACAGAGCCTCAGGGAGGTCCCACCACTGGTAAGCAGTGTGTCCTGATGTTCCCACCACCTGCCCAGTCCAGGGCTGCAGGCTGGGCTTCCTGCATACCACAGTGCCCCTACAGGGAGGACCCTGGAGGGAGTTTGGAGCCAGGCCAGACTTCCCAGAGGAACTCGTCCAGTCTGGCTGCATATGAAGGAAGGGGAAGAGACTGGTCTTTGCCCTGCCCTCTGTGTGACCTTTCAAGAGGTTATTTCCTGCTGGGGCCAGTGTGGGTGAAGTCTCAGGGCAGTGGGAGGGGCCTTTTGCATACTAATGGTTCTGGTTGTTCCCTCTGCTCTCTTCCCCCTCCGTCCCTCTGTCCCCACTGTCACTCATCCTTTAAGGTGACACTTCCTTTGGAAAGCCTCTGTAGACACCTCTTAATGCCACCCAAAAAAACACTGCCTTCCCTGGCTGTTGACACCTTCCCTTTTCCCCTGTGGGTCACCACCCCCTTGAGAATCTGAAGAGCTCCAGATTTCTCATCCACTAAGATTCACCTTCTCACACTCGCCTGTGTTTCTGTCTGGTCATTGACCTCTGGAATCTGTGCACCGAGGATAAGAACCCCTGCCCTGCTCTGTGGGCACTAGGTGCCTACTCGTTCCTCTTCCTCCTCAGTACCCAGCATGGAGTATCTGAGTACAGCATGGAGTACCACAGGGGAGCCAGTCAGTATTTGTCGACTGATAAAGTCTGCTGGAGGAGCTCTGTAGTGCCTCCCTTGAGCACTTGCAGCAAGAATAGGATCAGAGTTGACTTGGGCTGGCTCCCCACACTCCTGACAGACACATGGAGGATATCTGGGCAGGGCCGTGTGACGGGCCTGGCGAGGAGCTGCACTAGGCATGCCGTGGCCTGGCCCTTGAGGTGCCATATGGATGGTGGGGCCCAGCGTGCCTCTCTTCTGAGTGGAGCGGGCCCTCCTTTCCACCGCTGAGGGCACCTTGACAGGTGCTATCCCTTGGCACCAACCTTCGTCAGGCCTTGGGTGTCAAGCCTCACCGTTAGAATGCCTGAAGGCTGCCACACCCTTTCTCTTTGTCCCCTAAGTGCCACCACCTTTTTGTCAAAGGCGCCTTCCTTCCCCCAGTGAGTCACCAGCAGAACCTCAGTTGTTTCTGCTCCTCCCTGTCTCCCCACAGCGTTGAGGCACCTCCTTGTTCTAGTCCACCGCTGTTGACCTAGTTCCCGTCCTTATCTCCAGTCCTTATCTCTAGCCTCGCTGTTCTCCCAGCCTCCCGCTCAGCGCTTTGTTCTTGCTCTGCTCAGAAGCCTTTAGGGAACACATGAACCCACAGGAGAGCAGTGGCTCTTAGCTAATCCCAGCCTCTTGGATGGTAGTCACCACCTGTTCCTGCTGACTCTTGGTGAAGCACTGAATGGGGAATCAGATCTGTCTACACTGCACAGATCATCTGACGTCATCTCCTAATGTCTTGGTGAAGCAGGTATTACAACACTGCCCTGTCTGCTTACAGGATTGCTGAGAACATCTGATAAGGATGATGGGCATGGGAGCTTCCCATGACCTCTGCAGAGGCACACCGTTCTGGGCCTGTGCCCCGCTGGCTTTTCTGCAGCCCTTTCCTTCCTGCCCTGGCCTGATTCTCCCTGTTCTTCAGGCTCCCTAAGCTGCAGGCTTTTCTCCTTCATCATTTCCTTGTAATGGTGATATGATGTCAGTATGATTATCCTCATTTTTGTAGATGAGGAAACTGAGGCCAGACAGGTCATATAACTTGCCCAAGGTCACACAGCCAAGATGAAATGGAGCTGGGATTTCCCCGCTCCTGTGCACTCCTCTACCACAGTGCTGTGCCTGCTGTAGTTGGTGTCAGGCCTGTGGGTGCAAACTGGTACAACAAACGTCTGCCCTCTAGGAACTCTTGGTCTGGTCAGCAGATAGAGTGGATACTCGGACCAAGTCATCCTAGCAGCACATTGAGTGCAGGGGACCCAGAGTGAGGAGCTCTGCAGCCTGACGAGATCTCAGCCTGCCCAGGAGAAGCAGAGTCTCTCCCCCTTTCCCCCTGCCAGTCTCTGGGCAGTAGAGATCTGTGCAGTTTCTGGTCCCAGGCATGGTGGTGTTCAGCTCACTTCTTATCACTCCATCTTCAGGGTGAGTCAGACTCCGGGTGACTGCCCTACCCGCTAAGTGCCCTTGGAACACAGCTCCCACCACGGCAGCACCCGACAGGAAGTCCCTCCACCCCGGCATGGGGCTGCAGTGGCCCTGAGGATGGGCACAAGGTGACACTGGGGAGCCTGCCAAGTTTGCCCCAGCATTGTCTGTCTCTTCCTGTCACCTTCAGGCACTATGTGCCCATCTCTTTTGCTTTTTTCCCCACCCTGGGCCCAAATCAGAACTGGAAAGGCTCAAAGTGGGGCCAGTTTGGCCTCTTCTTAGGGGGCTAGGATTTCGAGGTCTTATTTTCTCTTTAACTTTTGAACAGAGGGCAGTTTCCCATGGACATTATAGCAGGCGTACTCAGAGCTAATGGGGCATATCACCTGGGGATTGGAAAGTGTTTCTGTACCCATGAGTTCCTGGTGAGTCTCTAGCTTCTTCAGGAAGCTAAAGAAGGGTGGGAAGACCCTAGATGAGAAGTTGAATGTCTCT
Organism: Homo sapiens; assembly: GCF_000001405.40. Lineage (NCBI taxonomy): Eukaryota > Metazoa > Chordata > Mammalia > Primates > Hominidae > Homo > Homo sapiens. The sequence goes on along the minus strand of NC_000003.12, from coordinate 46,946,965 downwards.
CTCTTAACCCTTTCCTGCTTCTCTTATTTCCTTCTGGAAGGGAGAGCTCTAGTCAGCAGCTCCTAAAAGTTTGAGTCCTTGGGAAGTCTTAGGGAGAGGGAGGGGCTTATTCCTCATCCCCTGAACTCAAGTCCTCCTGCTTCGGCACACCCGCCCCCAGTGACAGTTCCCAGCCCTCATTTTAACTTTAACCCCCCTCCCAAACACAGACACACAGACAGCAGCAGGCTGGGGCAGGTCCAGGCTGGGAGTGGAGGATCTCACCTGACTTCTGGTCTTCCCCGTTCCTCCCATGACACATCTTGTAGGCTACCACAGTGCCCGTTCAGGGTGTCGGCCCTCATGCTGGGCTCAGCCCTCCCACGGTGCTGGAGGAATGCCCTGTGAGCCCTGCCCCTGACAGCATCAGGTGAGGCTGGGCCAGCCATGTGGGCCTGCTCTGCAGGCTGTGACAGTGCTCTTGCTCCGCTCTCATGTCTTTGTAGGCAGTTACCACTCCCAGGAATGCTCTGCCTTCTTTAGCTGCCTCATAATCCCCCAGTGGACATTTAGAATTGAGTTTAAGCATTACTTCCTTCCCCGACAACACCTATCCCTTGCTAATTCCCTAAGTGTACAAGATATTTAGTAAAGCTTTCCTTACTACTCATGGCACAGAGTTACATTTTCTAAGTCTGATCCTTTGAGTAGACTTGAGATTCTTGACGATAGGGTTCTTACTTTATCTTTGTGCCCAAGGTAGACCTGGCCCACAAAGGAGACTGAGGGGTGCAAGGAAAGAGATCTTCATCTTACTGTGGGTGGGAAGGGGCAAGAGGAGGACATAGAGCAGCCTCTCTTCTTCCTCCCTCCTCCTGTAGGCCTGGTTGTTGATTGACCTGCTTCTAGCAGTGGTACTACATTCAGACAGCAATGTGGATTGATTCTGCCCCCACGCTTCATGTGCCATCCAGAGGCAGGTGTACTCATCCATTGAGGGATCCTTCCAGAGAGAGGTGACTGAGGAGCAAAGCCATTGTTGAAACACCGAGTCTGAGGAGATGAGATGGAGGCACGTCCCAAAATTGATAAACCTCTAGCTGGTCTGATAAAGAAAAATGACACAAATTATCAATATCAGTGAACATCACTACAGATCTTACAGACATTAGGCTATTAAGAGAACAATATAAGTCACTTTGTGCCAGTAAATTCAATAACTTAGGTGAAACAGACATCTTGAAAGACATAAATTAATAACACTGGCTGGAGAAGAAATAGAAAATCTATACAGTCCTATAACAAATATTTTCCCAAATAAAACTTCAGGCCAAGATTGCTTCACTGAAGTCTTGTTGAACATTTAAGGAAGAAACAATACCAACTTTGCACAGCTCTAATTTTATTTGTAACAGTTTTGTCCCTGATAAAAAGGATTTCAAACATTAGGAAACAGGTCAGTCAGACTCTGTCCTGAGCAGGGCTGTATTTGAGACCCCCTGAAATCCTGCCTCAAAGGCTTCTTCCTGCTGAAGGCTCTGGGAGGAGGTGAGGGCAGGGGTGCAAGGTCTAGGTGTGGAGATGTGGGCAGGGGTGAGAAATGGGGGAGTACCTCCATTAATAGGCAGATAGGCTATGGGGAGGGCCCCAGCCCAGACCATGACTCTCCTGCCCTCCAGCCATCAGCGTTCCTGAGGTTTACTCTTCTGGAGTTGGTGGAGAGGGTAGCAGTTAAATTGGTAGCATTTCTGAAGGTTGTCTAGCCCAGGCTCTGGGCTAGGCCTTGAGGTGCTCTAGGAGATGCCCCGTGCTGAGAGGTTCTTGAAGGGAAGGGGTAGTAAAGCCTACATGTGAATAGGAATGGCCACAGGCCTGTGCCCTGGGCCTACGGTCAGACCCTGATATGCACTGGGTAGGCCCAGAGGATTCTTTTGCCTGGGAATCTTAGAAGGCTGCTTTGAGGAGGTGGCCTTTGGCCTGGCCTTTAGGACTGGCCAGATGGTGTGTTTTCTTGGGGGTTATCAGAGTAGATATTTCAGGATTTGAGACAAAATGTGGGGTGTAAGAGTGTTCTGGACAGAGCAGATGTGAGGTCGAGATGAATGGCTGTTGTCCTGGGGGTGTGGAGACCCAGTGAGAGCTTTGAGCGGAGGTGCAGTGTGGTCTGACCAGTATCTTTGAAGAGGAGGCCAGGAATGTGGATTGATAAGTTGAAGAGAGACTTAGGGGAGACAGGTTGGAGAAAGAGAGGGAAAAATGCAGGAGGCAGCTGTATTCTCCAGAGTAGAGGGGAAGGCTGGCTGGCAGGCAGGGGTGGAGGGGAATGGCTGGGGGCTTGGTTGTGGTGGGGAGCTAAGGAGGTGGTAGACGAGACTAGGGATTGGGAAGGAGGGAGAAGATGGCAAGATTTGGGAAGGGTATTGAGTGGGGAGTGGGGGTGGTGAGGCATTGAGTCTGATTTAAAGGTCTCAGGGTGAGCGAAGTGTCTCTAAATTCCTGGGGAGGCTGTGCACCTAGGGCCTTGCCTGCTTTCCTACTGAGTGTCCAGCAGGGCCTAGGCTTGGACTTGGGCTGGCTGTGGCCGCATCTGAGCACATGGGACCAGGTCTGAACTGTGTGGGGAGCGCAGGAGAGGCGGGTAGAATCAGAGCTCTTTAGAAACTCAGCGCCACTCTTCCACTCTTGATAGCCTCTCTCTCGTCTCCTTGGCAAGACTGAGGGCCAGGCATCAGGACGACCTGGATCCAGACTTGCAGCTACCGCTGATGGGTTCTGTGACTTTGGACAAATCTTTTCCTTTTCCCTGACTGCCATTTCCCAGGTTTTCCCATGGCTTAAACTGAGGACCTAGAATGGGTGATCCTGCGAGCCCTCCAGGTCTGAGGCTCTTTGAGTCTCTCAGGTAGGGGTGAGCTTCAAGTGGTCTGCGCTTCCCTCCACTATCCCGGGCAGCAAAGGGCCTTATCTTGTGATTCAGGCCAGTGTCACCAAAAGCGATTTTCCTTCCCGTGAATGCCCATTGTCCTATTTATGAATCACTCTTTGTCAGGAAGGCTGAGGTACACCTTATCTCCCCCACTTGTGTGGCCTGTTCATTTGTTCACCTGCTCCTGCCACAGATGTGGATCTTTATCTTTTTTGAGCCCCTGCTCTTTGCACAGCATCCCAGGCTGGGGTCATTTTTAACCTCATGCTGTCTGCAGAGCTAGTGCTGCCCCCCACCCACCAGATTGCTGGGCATTTTTAAAAGTCATTTAGATAGTTGGGTGTTTTCTCATTTATTAATGAATAACTTGGCCTTTGCTGAGGCACTTGAATGTCTCTGGGGCTCCAGGAGGGTGGTGACAGCTGTTTGACCTTGCTTGAGAGCCGAGAAAGGGCATGGTATTTGCAAAGCACTCCTCCCAAAGGCTGGACACTTTCCCGTAGTCCCCACCTACTTCTGCCAGGTGGTTCGGGTTAACAGAACCCCTGTGGAAAGGAGTCGTCTTTGTGGCTGGGGGTCTTGCCCCACTAGCCCAGTGTGGGGAAAGAAGAGCCCTTTCTGCTTTTCCTTCTCTGCCCTTACCCAGGGCAGGTGTCTGCCGCTCCTTCCCCTGAGGTAGGCACTGCAGGGAGTAGCCTTCAGGGTGTCCGCTGGTTGGGAGTTGGGAAGGAATTTTTTGCTAGAATTTGCAGGCTCTGGCTTGCTTCATCGGCTAGTCTTTAGTCAGGGAGGGCTGCATGTGTCAGCAGGGCCCTTGTGGAAGCCCCGTCCAGGTCCCAGCAGCCCTGGGAGCCATTTGGAGAATCCTGACTTGTTTCTCAGTGAAGCATTTATACTCTGTTCTCCCTTCCCTCTTTGGCCATCACCAAGCATCTGCCTGTCCACCCCAGGGCCTGCCTTCCCCAGCAGAGGTCAGTGAACTCTCTCCAGTCTCTCCTCGGTTTCTCCATTGCTTAAGAACACCGGCCAGAGCCCTCTGTGTTCGGCCATTGCCTGCCTTGACTGTCTTACCTGGCAATCATTGTCACCCCCTCCCCCAACCCCAGTCACCTGCATGCTCTTCAGACCACACCCTGCCTTTGTTCAAGCTCTGCTTCCCACCGGGAATGCCCTTCCCACTTCTCTCCCCCTATGCTGTATCACCCAATTCTGCCCAGCCCATCTCTCAGTAGGAAACCTCTCACCCATCGCCCAAGAACCACGTTCCATGTTGACCTCTCTCGTGTAGCTGCTGTCACTTGGTCAGTTATTTTGTTCTCGCTGCCTCGTTGCCATGAGATGAGCTGCCCTGAGTTGGGGTGGGGGGCATGTTGATCTGTTCTCATGACAGAAGCCTTTCTCTGGGCCAGGCCTCCGACCTGGTTTTGGTAGTCTGCTCCCCGGAGGTTGTGTGGCCAAGGAATGGCAGGGTCTGGTTGATGCCTGCAGTCTCCACATAAAGCAGATACCATTCTTAGGAAGGCAGTTGTCAATGGCATAAATAAATGTCTAGGAAAGGTAGTTCAAGTAGCTGTTTTACTTATAATTTATATGCAGGCTCCAGCGCATTCTGTGTCCACCAGAGCAGGCTCCCAATGGAAGGAGCTCACAGATCTCTCTTAGAACACTGCTCTGCGAGAGTCAAAGGCAGGACGCTGCCATAGTGAAGTGAGCATTGTCACCTTCTGGAGTGCCAACCCTGGCATGCAGGGAGACCCACGACAGCTCTGTCTTGGGGCCTCTCAGTCCATGCCCTGGGCCCCAGGTGTGGTCACACGAATTTGTGCATGTGCACACACGCCCTGCGTCAGTTTGTCCACAGGCAGGCTGACCTAACAGAGGTAATCACATAATAAAGGATAAAGTCCAGGAAGACATTTTCTGCTTCAGGTGGAAGCAGTATGGCAGTTTCCTTCTGTTGTGGCCCCCAGTGCACCTGAGAACAAGCATAACATGTCAAGGTTGAGATGAACATGACTCTGTAGACTTCAAAAAGAGGTGCAGTTGGTGGGAAGTCAAAAGAACCAGATTAAGAAAATTTTCATGGAAACTTCAGACTAATTCCCCTTGCCTCTGTCTCCCTGAATATAGCATAGGCCTAGGCAGTGAATCTTGTTGCAAGCCTGGTCCTAGTTCATGTTACTTCTAAAGCGAATCAAATAGGTATTTCTGGAGAGGACTCTGGCCTGAAAGGTGTCTCAGGAGGCCTGAGCTCTCATCCTGCCCTGGTTGCTGGTAACTTCTTTCCCCAGTCTTTCCTAGCTTAGCAGGTGGTTCTGTCTAGACCCATGAAGGTGACTGCTGGCCTGCCAGCATGGCCCCTCCATGGCACCAAGTGGCTGCATTTCTCACCACCTAAAGCCATCCAGCTCTTTCTGTGAGTGTTCTCTAAGGGCTACCAGGTACCTGGGACTGGGCTGGAGTTACGGACTTTTTTTGTTGCTTTTTTTTTTTTTTGAGATGGAGTCTCGCTCTGTCGCCCAGGCTGGAGTGCAGTGGCTTGATCTCGGCTCACTGCAAGCTCTGCCTCCCAGGTTCACGCCATTCTCCTGCCTCAGCCTCCCGAATAGCTGGGACTACAGGCGCCCACTACCACGCCCAGCTAATTTTTTTGTGTGTTTTTAGTAGAGATGGGGTTTCGCCGTGTTAGCCAGGATGGTTGCGATCTCCTGACCTCGAGATCCGCCCACCTCGGCCTCCTGAAGTGCTGGGATTACAGGCATGAGCCACCGCGCCCAGCCAAGAGTTATGGATTTTTAAATTCTGCACAGGCAATGAGGCTCCAGTTGTGCCTATGAGATGCAGCAGGCGTGTACCCTGTTGGAGTCTGGGACACCAAGCTGGGCCCTGCCAGGTGCCCCCCTTCTGAGATGTCCTGTTCTTTAGCTCCCTGGGCCACGTGGACTGGAAGTAGGAGCTTTCAACTGAGCTGGTGGTTTTCTCCCTTTCTTTGCAGGACAAGGAAGATGGGGAGCCAAAGACCAAGCATCTCAGAGAAGAGGAGGAAGAAGGCGAGAAGCACAGGTAATGCCCGTGTGCAGCTCCAGGGTCTGCTCTCTCCTCCAGCACTCATCGGTCTCCCAGTCTCTGGGTCCTCCCAACTCTGTTCAGTGTCTGCCCTGTTCCCTCCCCTCTTCTTTCTGCCCATGGCTGTCCTGTTCAGACCTTAAAATCTCAACATCTCAGAAGGCCCTTGTCGAGGCCTTCTCTGCCTCCTTTCCCTCATTTTCCATTTGGCTGTTACTCAGCCCCCAGCATTTTCTTTCTAGCCCTTACATTATGCCTTTTTACCCTTCTCATACACCTTTTGTGGCGTGGTTCTCCATTGCCTACTGAGTAAGTGCCCCTTCTGCACTTGGCATGTGAAGCTCTGCCTGGACCATCTAGCCTCATCCAACCTCCTCTGGTTTCCCTCTAGCCAGAGCCCTTTGTGGTCGGCCCTTGCCACCTCTGGCCACTCAGCATTTCCTGACCAGTCTTTTGTCCGTCCTCTCAGCCTGGAGGTCCTTCTCATCTCTCCTATACCTTTGATGTCTGGGTCTTCACATAGAGTTCAGCTCAAAGGGCGCCTTTCTCGTTGTCTGTGTCCCTCTGGCTTCATTTCCCTCTGTAGTATTTATCTTATTTTGTCGAATACTCTCATCTGGTTGGGTCCACTTAAGTTGCCTAAACACAGCACACGTGAGGGTCTTGGGTACACTTCCCTCGTGATTGCAGGCACAAGGTCTTCCCCCGCAGTCTTGAGGGCTGCAACCTCCACAGAGCCTCAGATGCTGCTTTGCCTCCCAAAAATCTGGAGCCTGGAAACTGTTGCCGGAACCAGTGTGTGGGGTGAGCGAGGCAAAGCTGTGCTGCTGATCTTTGTGAGCAGAGTGTCTGACTACCACTCCCGTGTCAGCAGTTCCAGAGGTCTCATGTCCTCCCTCCCATGCCTAGCCCTGAGATGGGGCTCTCTTCCTGGGGCCAGACTGTGTGTCTTTCTGGACAGGTTGCCTTGATTTCCTTTGCTCTGAGCAGCTTCCTTCAGGCACAGGGGGGTGTAGATCTTGATGGGCTTAGGCTCTGCTTTGCCCAGGGGGAGCGGGAGGGGAGGGAATGCTCTTTAGAGGAAGCTGGGCAGCCACACCAGAGCAGGCTTTCCTAATGCCACAGCCTTTTTTCACCTTCACCAGTATGAGTAGAACCTCCCCACATGCGGGCCTCATCTCTGCCTTTGTAATCAGGAGCAATCACAGACACGACTTACAGAGTGTTTTCACACCATCCTGAGAGCCCTGCAGAGTCCATGCCCCCTACTCGGGTTCAGACATGCTACCAGCTCTATGCTTAGAGGCTGGTGATGCTAAACAGTGAGTGGGTCTGCCGGCACTGGGCCTGGGGCTTTTTGTTGGGCCTCAGCCCCCAGCTCTTGAAGGTCCCTGGCTGGTGATGGGAAGATGAAGGCCAGTTAGTTGCTCCTTTGCCAGGTGACCCCAACATATGTGGCTTTATGGGTGGGTGCTGGCACAGTTTCCCCCATTCTGTGGTAACTACATATTAGAGGCCCTTTGGTCTTCTGGTTTATTCTTAGTTTCTCAAAAACTGGAACTCTGGCTGGAGCCTGAGTTCCAGTTTCTGGGCTTTGATTTGCTGGTGGTGTTTTCTCTGATCCCCACCCCTCCCCCTCCTCGATGAGAGAGAAGGGTCGCTGGTTTAGCAGGTGGGTGGGTGGGTCATACAGTAAGAGGCTTGAATGTTGAACCATATGGTTGTGAATCTCAAACATGGTGTTGAGTGAAGGAAAAAAGCAGGTTTCAGAATTGAGGCATACAGGGCAGGAACATTTATATCAAATTTAGGAACACAAAATGATATATGTGTGTTACTCAGTTGGCAAGTACTGACTTTATTGGTTGTCTGCTCTGTGCAGGGCACCATTGTGGGCCCCTGGAAGGCAACAGCAGACAAAGTACAGCCCCTACCCTCATGGAGCTGACATTTTCTGGAAGGAGACAGGCTGTTAACGAAGAAGCAGGCGTGTGATACAGTGTCAGGTGCTGCCAAGAAAGCGAAAGCAGAAGTGTAAACACATACATGAGGAGTGATGCCTCCGATTGCTGTCTGGGGAAGCAAGGAGGAAACAGGATTAGGGAAAGGCTCTATGATGTGTGATTTTTTTTTTCTTTTTTTTGAGATGGGGTCTCGCTCTGTCACCCAGGCTGGAGTGCAGTGGCGCTATCTCAGTTCACTGCAACCTCCACGTGGCTCCCAAGCTCAAGCGATCTTCCCACCTCAGCCTCCCAAGAAGCTGGGACCACAGGTGCGCACCACTATGCCCAGCTAATTTTTGGTACAAAAACAACATGGTTTCACCAGGTTGCCCAGGCTGGTCTCAAACTCCTGAGCTCAGGCAGTCCACCCACTTCAGCCTCCCAAAAGTGTTGGAATTACAGGTGTGAGCCAGTGGACCTGGCCAATGATGTGTGATTTTGTTGTACCAAAAAAAAAAAAAAAAAAAAAAAAACAGGAGGGGAACAAACCTGTCTGGAATATGGCAAAACATTACTTTTATTGACTCTGCAGGAGGTGAGTATATGTGTTAGGTTATTCTCCGGACTTTTCTGTGTGCCTGAGATATATCATAATGAAAACTGTGGGAAAAAAACCAAAGGGCATGTGTAGTTCCAGGCTCCTGTCAGTGAGTTCTAGATAAAAGAGGCCCTGCCATGTGAGGACCTGCTTCCTGTTAGGTCTTACAGGTCATTTGTAGTGGAGCACAAGACCTGCTCTGAGGCCCTGTCCTGAGCCCACTGAGCTGGGCAGGTGCAGGGCCCTGTTTTGTTTTTTCTCACCGCAGCCCAGGGACCAACCATGCTGGACATTGAATTGGGTTCTGCTTCAGCTCATCATATTCTTCTGCTTTGCTCTAATCTGGCCTCTTTTGAGGCAGTGGAGCATGGTGGAACAGGTTTGCCTCCCAGTCGTTGAGAGCTTGGCTTTTGGGGCTGTCCTTCTAGAGACTTTGGGCAGGTGGACTTCTAGCATCCTGTACCTGGCAGGGCCTGCTACTCGGTCACTCCCTTGGTTGCCAGGAAGCCTAGCCTTAGCAAGGAGTTGTGCCTGTATTTGTAGGCCCCAGAGAAAAGCAGACTCTTCTGACTTTAACAGATCCAGAGCAGAGGGCTTGCTCAGGTTATTTAGGAAGGCAGATTAGAACATTGGTTGCCTAACACAGGGCCAGACCTATGTGGACGTAACTTTAGACTGCAGGGTCCAGGGATTGGGGATGATGGACTTTCCAGGAAGAGCAGGATGCAGCAGAGGCCGTGTCCATCCCAGGGGATCTTGCTTTTTATTTGTACCCCAAGTCTGGAAAGGGGCTCTCATGCAGGATGCTTATGGATTGGGAGCTGATTCCAGAGAACCCCCTAGGCCATAGCCCCTGCTACAGCCTCCTTTGCCACTGGAGAGAAAGAAGTGACCTTCCAGTCCATTGGAGAGATGACCCCTGAGGCCATTCGCCAGTGAGCATCCTTCTTCCTCGGCTGCTGGGAGGCGAGAACAGCCTACTTCAGTCAGGGTCACTCTGGGTTGAGCCCAGGTGCCAGGTGTGAAGCCCCACCAGCACCCGCCATTCTGGAGTGTGCTGAGAGGAGTGTGGTGCCCACTCAGGGGTGCTTTCAACTAACACTGTCCTGCCTTCAGTGGGACAAGGCCTTATGGAGAACATACCTTTTAAGTCTGGAATCCAGATGGTAGGGTTTGGGTGGCAAAGGTCCAGAGGCATGAATCTGCAGTGTGAAAGGGTGGGTGGTATAGCCTCTTGTTGGGGAGGCATGAACAGACATCACCCCAACTCTCCTTTACACAGTGTCCCTGGGGGCCCCTTCCAGTCTGACCCCCTCACCATCTCAGGAGTGACGCCAAGGGAGTTACACAGATCTGCATCTGAGACCAAGGGCCCAACCTGGATGGGAAAGACTAAGTTGTCTCTGATGCGTCCCTGACCCAGGCCCTACAGAGAGATGGAGGGGGCGCCCTCCTCTTCCTCTTGTTCCCTAGTTTCTCCTCTTATGCCCTGACCAGGATTCCTCCCTGAGTCATTCCATCCCACACGGCCACTCAGCTCTGAACTCTAATGACTGGGTGACCCCAGGGCCTGCTGCCTGTGAGTGTCTCGGCTCCCTATGTCCCATTAGCTGGCAGAGAGCAGGGTCCATCTGCCTCAGTTACTCTCCAGGTCACTCAGTGTCCCCTGCCTGGTGGTCAGTTCCATATATTGATGTAGCTAGTTCATCATGCTTTAAATTTTTTTTTTCTGCTTTAATTTAGGGACTTAGGGGAAGAACACATGTTGAGAAGATTCTTGGTTCAGCAGCAGTCCCTGAAATGAAAGGACATAGACAGATGGAGTAAGGTCAAGCTTTGGAAGCAGTTCCCGGGTTTGAGGCCAAGCCCTGCCAGTTAATTTTCTAACCCTGGGCAAGTCACATTGCCTCAGTGAGCCGCAGAATCTTCAACCAAAGGTGGAAAAAAATGAAATAAAACTTGCTTCACCTGACGAACAGAGCAAATGCCATACCTGTTTGCCCAGCTAGTGCTGGGGCTCTGGGCAGAAGGAAGGCACCGTGAGGTCCTCCCGAGAGAGTGAAAGGACTCTGGACACACCTCGAAAAGGCAGAAGTAACTTTTACATAAAGCATGTGCCAGCTTTGCAAATAAGGCAACAGTTGGGGGAAATGTGAGGCAATGGATGGGAGTAGAAATAAGGAAATGTGACTTAGAAGTTTGTGATTAGGAACCACTTTGTAGAGCCTCGCTTATTTGCTGCATTAGATAGTCCTTGGAAATAAGCTGAGTGGTCTCATTTTGCAGATTCATTTGTCTAACCAGATACACTGTAGGGCCAGGGTTTGTGGCTAAGTAAATGAAAATCCAGCAGGATTGGAGGGAGCCACCCCAGGACCTTGCCCCTCACCAGCCATCTTGAAGAGCCACTCGCCTGCCTGCCTGTGTTCCTGCCCCACTGCCTGAGGAGACCTTTTCAGAATTATGTTAGCTATTCTAACAGTTCCTTTGCCTTTCCTTATGCATTTTATAGTTAGCTTGTTAATATCTATTAGAAAAAGCTTGCTGGGATTTTGATAGAATTGCATTGAATCTATAGATCCAGATTCCTTTTTAAAATTTGTATTATTCTCCTAGGATAAATCCTGTCCTATCCCCATACAACCAAATCCCCATTGGGTGGGAGTGAGCTCCAGCAGCTCCACCAGCCCAGGCTCTGTGGGAAGAAAGGATGCATTCCTACCCCTAGATGGGCCCTACTTCTCTGGGCTGACTCTTCCCTGTCTCTGCCAGCCCTCTTGTAGCTAACTCTGTAGAGGCATGGATGACTCATCCCTAAGGCAGCTCCCTTCCCCCAGCCCCCTGTGTACTGCCCAGATAAGATGTGCCCTGGAAAGCTGGCCCATGGAAGAGGGCATTCAGGGGCGTTCATGTCAGTGTCAGCTGCTTAGCTGCTTTTTTTTTTTTTAAAAAGCTCTCCGTCACTTCTTCCTGATGGGAGGTTGGCTGATATGTGCCATGGAGGCATGTCTAGGGCAGCGTTTGTGGCTGACAGCCATTGCCACCCTGCCTTGTGGGATGGATGGACTGTTGGGTTGGGGCTGACAGGTGGGAGGAGAAGGGAGGAGGCACTTAACCAGGAGCACTCGCCTCCTCCTATGCCAGAAAGTGCCTGAACAAGCAAGTCCCGACCTCCCAACCTCCACAGCCACCACCTCCCTGTGGCTTTGTATGGAGGTCTGCACACAGCTGGAAAAGTCGGTCACCATCAGAGATAGTTGTTTGACCGGTGCTGGGTGTCACATATTGCAAAAGCAATGAGGCCACTAGCCTTCCTTCTTCAGAGATGGAAAATCTGTTCCCCAGCTCAATGTGTGCATGACCCTCTTGTGGAGAGACTTCCCACCCCAGCTAAGGCCCAGCCCTGGCCCAGTGCCCAAACCCTTGAGTCCAGCCAATGCCAGGCCTCTCTGCTCTGTGTGCTGGGCCCCACTGATGGTTTCCACACACCAGGGTGTATCACAGATCATGGTTGTTTGATCCATGACATCAGCTTGATTTGGCATGCATTGTTCCACCGTAGTGGTACCGACCAGGGCGGCTCCCATCACGCCTCCTGAGTTCTTTCAGTCCCACTGTAGAGGATGTCTACATCTGGTGATGTCCCAGTCATGGGCAGTGGAGATCTCCTGCTGAAGCAGCAGCACAGGGACCCACGACTGCCTCGTTTTTCCTGACCCTGTTTCTTGGGAATAGGCCTGGGAATGTGGGAGAATGAATCAAGAGAGAACTGGTTTAAGGAAGATGGTGAAGCCGACTCACCATGTGCTGGCACCGGGCACCTCCCTTCTGGGTAGGGTGGGGTAGGAGCACAGCTGAATCCTTTCTGTGTGCATTAAGTCTTGATATCTTGTATGTCCTGATCTCAGCTTCCAAAGCCCCTCTTATGAAGTCTTCACCTCTGTTCTGGGACTAATGTGATCTGCATTTATAGGTGAAGAAACTACAGTCCAGGCAGGTGAAGTGACTTGGCTAAAATTTCCTTGGCTAAAATCCTCCAACTTTTGAAAGGGAGTGGAGCTGGCACTGAGACCCCTCCCTGTGTGGGGAAAAGAGTCTTTGGCAGAGTGCAGCAGCTGCTGGCAGTTTGCCACTCAGGGCAGCCTTATGGGGTTGAGCACCATCCACTTTCCCAGAGTGGTCTGTGGGCTAGATTGGGCCCTGGGAGGGTGAGGGGCAGTGGGCTATGCAGGCCCCTGTCCCCCAACATCTGGGTCCCACATGGCCAGTGTGACCAATCCAGTTCTCACCTTATGGGCCCTTTGGGGCTTAGCTCATCTGCCATAAACGTTTACTCCTCTCCTGTTTTAAAATTTAAATTGATATTTACAACCGGGTGCTGTGGCTCACGCCTGTAATCCCAGCACTTTGGGAGGCTGAGGCAGGAGAATGGAGTGAACCCGGGAGGCGGAGCTTGTAGTGAGCCGAGATTGCTCCACTGCACTCCAGTGGACGACAGAGCGAGACTCCATCTCAAAAAAAAAAAAATTTTCAATTGATATTTACATAAATTATAGATTTTTTTATTGTAGAAAACTTAGAAACTACAGATCAACATGTATCTGTGCATATCATGCTGTTTTGTAACATTTTTTCATGAGCCGTGTCATGACTATCTTTTGGTAAATACACTTTCATGAAATTATGGCAGCTTAATATTTCTTTGAGAGTACCATGATTTATTTTTCAGTCTTGGGGTTTTTTGTTTTGCTTTTGGCAGACCAGTTTTTTCTAACGCCTTAAGTACCCACTAGCTATGGGCTTTCAGGTGGGATGGGTGCAAAGTTCAAACTTGTCAGTGTAGAGCACCTTGGTTAGGTTCTGCAGCGTCTGGGATGAGAGTGGGTGCAGACCGCATGATGCAGATGCGATGGCAGCTCCAGCAGGGCAGGGGCCTCATTTAACTAACACTCAGCCCTGGTCATTGCCTGGAACAGCCGTTGGCTGCTTATAAGCCATCCCTCAGGGGCCTTTGGGTAGGCCTTGGTGCCAACACGTGGCCATAGCTGTTGATCTGTCTTGGTGGGGGCTCCCATACAGATCTCATCCCCAGCCAGCTCTGGCTTCTCCGGCCTCCTTGTTTTTAAGGCAAGGGCTTGACTGTACTACTTCTGAAGCTCCTTCTGCCTCTAAGACCTGTGACCTAAAATTGTAATTTTTAGGGCTGAGGAAGGCTTCTCCTGGCAGTGGGGAGAGCTGAGAGGCTGGGCTCCCGTTGAGGGAGGGAGTTTCCAGGATAATGCTGTAGGCTGAACTCCACTGTGGGGTAGGCTGCAGGAGTTTTTCCTTTGAGGAACACTTGAGCACTCAGAGCCCTGGCACAGCCACCTGCAGCCCTGGCCAGGCCCCAGTCACTGTGTCAGGTAGCTTCTCTACTGCAGTTGCTGGTCCCTGAGGAGCCAGATGCAGGAAGCTGGTGTGGGGTCCACCCCTAGGCCAGAGAGCAGGGTGTGGATTCTGCCTCCGGCTCTTCCTTCAACTCTGGCACCTTGGATAGTCTTTCTGGACTGTTTTCCACATTGAGAAAATGTCAGTGACACCCTCTTCCTCTGTGGAAGGGTGGTCTCGAGAGGTGGCCTCTGAGAGGCCATGTGTGGAGGCTGCCCCTACTGGGGAGGGTGCATTATCTCATGCTTTCTGGCCTGTGGTTTCAGGTGGGGGCACAAAGGCGCTCCCACTCCTTTTTCTGAAACCCGCTGAGGACGCATTTGCCAGGACTTGCTTGGAGGCCTGTCCACCCCCTGAGGCTGTGATGTGGCCCTGTCCTGCCCATGGTCACTTCTTGTGTCATGTGCTCCAATAGACCTTGTCCTCTTTGTGTGGCCAGAAGGACAGGAGGCTTGGGGTGGGCTGGATAAGAGAAGGGAAGGGAGGTTTTATTGCCTTACACTGTACCCGTTCTTCAGGCTGGGGCCACAGTTGCCTTGCTGGGTGACAGCTGGAGGACAGTCTCCTCTGCCCACGAGTGGGGAAGCCACTGGGCTCTTTAAAAGTCTCATTTGCTGCAAAGCCAGCCATTGAGTGTTCTAAAGAAAAATATCAACCACCAAACAAAAACATCCCTGTACTAAATTGTCCTTTGCCCTCATAGCCTGGTGGTACTTTAGGCCACTCTAGGGCACTCTGCCAGAAGAGATCCCAGAGGTGTTGTAGCTATTATGAATTATGCTGCCAGGATCGTGCGTATATAGAATGCTTTGTTTTGCTTGCTCCTGTCTTGTTACTATTTCTATGGAATAATTTCCCCAGAGCAGGGTTACCGGGTCAGGGAGTTTGAACATTTTAATGGCCCTTGAAAGAAAGACCAGATCAGCCTCTAGAGCAGTTGTGTACCTCATTTGGGGTAGTTGCCTCTCCCCTCATTTTCATGCTTCTGTCGAGTCTGGCCTCTGGCAGCAGCAACTGAAGCCTTGTTATTTATATTGGGGACAAGGGGTAGGTCTCTATGTGCAGAGCCTAAAGCAAACAGAGGATTATTAGGGGCATGTCTGAGTGTCATGAGTGTGTTTTCCTGGCAGAGCTCCAGTGTCTCTGTACTCTGAATATTAAAAATGAAAGTGTTCTTTGATCAAAGTTGCCAGTCTCTCTGGTCAGTGGTGGCCTCTGCAAGGCCTGCAGGCGCATCCTGGGCGTGGCCTTCCCTGTGGTCTGTTACTAGGAGGAGTGCCTCACAGCAGTTCTCTCTCTGGCCCTTGATGGGGCCTGTATGGCCAGGAGGGACCAGGGTGGCCAGGTGGAGGACCTTGTTCTCAGGGAACAGGCCATGTGGGACTGTCCTGTCCTTATCCTCTCTGCCTCCCTCCAGGGGCCCAGGGCAGCAGGTGAATGTGGAGTAGCCTCAAGATATAAGGGATGAGAAGGGAGGCTAGCGCCCCAAAGGATAAGCCTGGTAGCATGAGTGAGTGAAGTGGACCAGGGGCCATGAAACCCCCATGAGCAGTGTAGGCTTTGAGGCCAGTTTGCCAGTGATGGGGTTGGATCAGATTCATAATCTCAAAGCTTCCTTTCATTTCGCCATTCTAGAACTCTACTCTGGTTCTATACTTGACAGAGAACATCAACTTTCTCCACCTGCTTCCTCTCATTGGCACATGTGAAAAAGCACCCTAGGGGTGATTTCCCCTGAACCTCCCTGGCCAGCCCATGTCCCGGGCTCCTGCAGCTGGCCTGAAGCAGAGTAAAGTAAATAGAAAAGGTCAGCTACCCATTTTAGAAGGAAACTCTATGGAATGCAAACTTGGCATTCCCTGTTGCTTTGCCACAAAGAAGTTGCTTAGGGGTTGGCTGCCCCGGCCCAGCCACATTCCTGCCCTCTCTGCTGGGCACAACTTCTTTGCTTCCAAATGTCTTCTCAAGTCATTGAAAGGCTCAGAGAGCCCCAGGCTACCCATAAAGCTCTTTCTTGAGTGCCTTCTGAATTCCTTTATCCAGCTTGAGGCAATGTATGCTGAGCCCCTCCTGGAGCTGCCTGGTGCATTTAGGGCAGGCTGTGAAAGACAGACATGCAGCCGACACAGGGCCACGTGCATGGAGTGGGGCCTGCTGTGGAGAGGGTAGAGAGGCAAGTGGGGCAAAGGGGGCCCAGGAGAAGGGCGGTTACTGTGCCTCAGGGTGAGTAGGGACACTGGGAGGGGCCCACAGGGCCACCTCCTGGAGCTGGCTCTTTAAGCGTGATGGACGGGGAAGTGTGTAGCTGAGGGGGTGAGCAGGCTGTGGGGCCAGGACCACGTGAAGAAGCTTAGACTTGTTTTGGGGACACTGGGGTCCCTGAGTCAGAGGGAGGGCCAGTGGAGGCACTGAGGTGGCTGATGTGTCTGCTCCTGTGGAGAGACAGCAAAGCTCCACCCAGACACTGGCTGCCGGTATAGGGTGGACTTTGGGTGGCCTAGGGCATTTGGTGCAAAGGATAGTGTCTTAGAAGCCATTGGGCTTTCTGGGCTGCCCTCCTTCCCATAGACTCTGGGGGCAGAAAGCCCCAAAAAAGCATGGCTTGGTCTCTGCTTCCCTTTGGCTAGGGGACAGCCTGGCCCTAAGCCACAGAGACTGGCCACCAGCAGAGCTGAGGTGCTGGTGCTGCCTGACTCAGAACCCTGCCACAGTCTTCTGCTGCCTTATGGCCCCTCTGCCTGTTTCCTCTTTATGTTTTTGAGTACTTCGTTGGTTGTTTCTGTGTAGGAAGAATACTGATTAGAAATTCCGGAAACTACAGAAAATCAGAGAAGCAAGTAAAAATCACTCAGAGCTGGACATGGTGGCTCATGCCTGTAGTCCCAGCTATTCAGGAGGCTGAGACAGGAGGATTGCTTAAGCCCAGGAGATCAAGTCCAGCCTGAGCAACATAGGGAGACCCCCATCTCTTTTTTTTTTTTTTTTTTTTTTTTTTGAGATGGGGTCTTGCTGTTCTCGCCCAGGCTGGAGTGCAGTGGCACCATCTCGGCTCACTGCAACCTCTGCCTCCCAGGTTCAAGTGATTCTCCTGCCTCAGCCTCCTGAGTAGCTGGGATTACAGGCACCCGCCACCACATCTGGCTAATTTTTGTTTTTTTAGTAGAGATGGGGTTTCACCATGTTGGTTGGCCAGACTGTTCTTGAACTCCTGACCTCAGGTGATCCACCCGCCTCGGCCTCCCAAAGTGTTGGAATTACAGGTGTGAGCCACCATGCCCAGCCAAGACCCCCATCTCTTGAAAAAAAGTCAGTCCTAGAGATAACCACTGTCAACATTTTTGTTGTTTTTATTTCTTTTCTTTTAGCTAGAGCTAGTACCTTCTCCCCTTAGCAACTTCCTCATTCTAAAATGGGGGTGGCAGAACCATTGTTTGGCTCCAGTTGTCCTCAGAAAGGTGGCTTCCAGATGCCAGTGACTGCTGGTGAGTGCAGGCTGCTTCAGTATTTCCTGGCCAGCTGACAAGGTGTTAGGTGTTGGCCTGCCCTACTGCTCTGGCTGGCACCATCTCGTCACACCCTGCCCAGTCTCCAAGAGCTGTGGTGGCCCCGGACACTGTAAGGCTATGGGAGCTCCTAGGATAGCAGCCTGGACCTGCTTTGTGTGTGAACCTGTTGTCCTACTATTTGTTTCTTGACTTTCCTTTTTTATCTCCATTCTTGTCTCCTTT
Source organism: Homo sapiens (assembly GCF_000001405.40). Classification (NCBI taxonomy): domain Eukaryota; kingdom Metazoa; phylum Chordata; class Mammalia; order Primates; family Hominidae; genus Homo; species Homo sapiens. The sequence goes on along the minus strand of NC_000003.12, from coordinate 46,929,298 downwards.
TGGATTTTTTTGTTTTTAATTATTCCACTTTCTTCCTCTGTTAACTTGTTAATTGTATGCTGTTTTCCCTTTCTTTTAGTGATTTCCACAGGCATAACAACATACATCCTTAACTTATCAAAGTCTAATAGAAAATAGTAGTATTTTTACCATTTCCTCTACAGTGCTTAGGACCTTAGAACACTTTAAGGCTATTTGCCACTCTGCCTTTTACACTATTGTTGCTATATTTTAAATACTATAAGTTGTTATTACTCTTTTATACAGTCAATATTCATTTAAATTCTCTTTTCCCCCTGCTTTTTTTTTGAGACAGGGTCTTGCTTTGTCACCTAGGCTGGAGTGCAGAGTGTGATCATAGCTCTCTGCAGCCTTGAACGCCTGGCTCAAGCAATCCTCTTGCCTTAGCCTCCGAAGTAGCTGGGATTACAGACACAAGCCATTGTATTTACCCTTTCTGAGGCATTTTATTTTTTCCCTGCAATTCCATGTTTCCGTCTGAGATCATTTTCCTCTAGCCTAAAGTATTCCTTTTAGTATTTCTTGAATAACGGATTCACTGATAACTGATTCTCCTAACCTTTCTTTGTCTGAAAAAGTCTTTCTCTTGAAGGCTTCTTAACTAGATTTAGAATTTTGTGTGACATTTATTTTGTCCACACTTCTGAGATACCATTTCATGGTCTTATGGTTTCCATAGTTGCAGTTGAGAAGTCAGTAGTCTGTTTTAGTTTCTGCTTAAACACACTTTTTTTTTTCTCTCCAGGCCCATGAGATTATATGAGGTTGGTGCAAAAGTAATTGTGGTTTCTGCCACTATGTTCAATGGCAAAAACCACAGTTATTTTTGCATCAACCTAATGGGAAGCTCTGCTCAGTCTCTCAGCTTTTCAGCTGCTGCATGTAAATAGACATGCTTTAAGGGGAAAGAGGGACGTGATGTCAGGCTCACTTTGTTGTACTTCCCTTATCTCCATGATTGCAGCCCCTGAAATCCTTGCTGTCTTGGTACTTCTCTAAAGCCATTTAAAATACATATATATACATTTTTTTTTTTTGAGACAGTCTGCAGCCTAGGCTGGAGTGCAGTGGTGCGATCTCAGCTCACTGCAACCTCTGCCTCCTCAGTTCAAGCGATTCTCCTGCTTCAGCCTCCTGAATAGCTGAGATTACAGGCATGTGGCACCATACCCACCTAATTTTTGTATTTTTAGTAGAGACCGGGTTTCGCCCTGTTGGCCAGGCTGGGCTCAAACTCCTGACCTAAAGTGATCCACCTGCTTTTATAAGGGAGGTTAAATCTTGGGCCTGTGTTGGAAAGGCCAGGTCCCCAAGCTGAACCCCCCCATGCTCCTTGACCTCTCCCAGAGACTCCTGTCCTTTGGTAGTGGTGGAATTCCGGGGGTGGGCAGTTAAGTGGGCATTAGGGAGGGGAAGTCTCTTAGCTCTCCACGCTAAGGGGACTGGAGGTCAGAGACTGCACCATTTTCACGCGATCACACAACAGTGGCTGCACATCAGATTAACCCTCCAAGAGTGAGTCTGGGGAGGGCGTGGACCCAGCTTGATAGAGCTGGATGCACCCAGCACAGCCGTAATGTTTCTAAATGTGGAAACTGAGGCCCAGAATGAGACCTTCCCATGGTGGTCGGGATCTAGATGTTCTTGGCTGCTTGGCCAGTGCTCCGCTCTGGGGGTGGCAGGGCACAGTGGGCGCAAGGCTCTGCTCCCGCCTCTTGCTTCTGGTTCACTCCTCCAGTTGGCCTTCTGAAGCCTCGGGCAGTGGGTGGGTCTGGAGGCATGGGTGCGTGTTGCTGCTGTGAGTTCTGGGTACAGTTCCCTGTGGCCTCTCCTCTCTCCTTCTGATTTCTCACAGAACCCTGGAGACCGTTTCTGAAAGCGACAGTTTTTTTTCTTACTAATCCCTGCAGTTTTCTTCCCACACCCAGTTTCTCTTCCTCATTTCTCCCCACCCTGTTGTGAACGAAAGCCTTTGCACCCAGTCATGCCCCACTTTGTCTCCCTGTACCTCTGTGACCTGACATGTACCTCCAGGCCCGAGGCAGGTGTTCAAGGATGGGGGACGGGGTGGGGTATCTCTGGGCCTTCTGGGAGTGCAGGTGGGCTTCCTCCACACAGGCTATGCTGGTACTGCCCCATCGCCCGCAGTGGTTCAGCCCAGCCCCAAGGCTCCAGGCTCAGGGGCCCTGGCAGGAAGGAAGGAGATGGTAAGTAAGCTGGGGGCAGGAAGCAGGTGGAGCCCTTAAATAGGAGAGTGAATAGCATCTGAAAGCCCCTGAGTCCAAAGCACTGCCGCTTGCTAGCTGTGTAGCCACAGACACCCCTGCCTCTGGGAAAGCTTGCTTTTGCAGGGCCTGAGGAAGTCAGCAGCACTTTTACCTGGTCCAGACAGAGGGCTTGGGAGATGGCAGACTGTGGGAGGCCTGTTGGGAAATTGTTTCCTGCCTTAGAGGCCCAGGACTTTTCTGAGGGACCACTGGTCAAGAACCGAAAGAGGTACTGGGGAAGGAGGAGGACCTGCGGCCTAGTCTCACCTGGCCAGCATCTGAGGGGCCACTCCTGCATCCCCTGGGGCTAGGGGTCTGTCCCACTGCCTCTGCCTTGCCTTTCTTAGACCCTGCAGCCCCCAGGACCTCTCGCCCTGCCGCCCTGTGGAGTTACCAGGGACACATTTTCCTGGGAGCCTGCTTCTGTGTGTGTGGGGCTAGGATTTGATGAGCCCCTGAGCCAGAGAGGACCCCAGTGAGTTCTTGGTTCAGCCACCCCTGCCTGAAAAGACTGAGGCAGGAAGAACATAAAAACATAGTAGCTAGCCGCAGCTCCTGCCGGGAGATTCTGGCCCCTTGTGGCTCCTCTCTCTTCATGGAGGCCTTTGGGGCTGTTCAGTTCTCACTGCTGTCCTGGTGGACTGTGGCCTTCCCAGCCTTGCACATGGTCATGCCTATTTTCACAGCCCTCACTGGCCACTCTCAACAGTCTTGGAGCTGAGTCAGCCTCTCGTGTGCTTTGTGCCTTGACCCTGTCCGCGTCATTGCAGGCCCAGGCGCCACCTCCTCCTGGAGTGTCTCCCCTCCACATTCCCACAGCTGTAGGCAGCCACGCCCCTCTGGAGCCCTCCAGCACCTGCTTCTCTGTCCACATGTCACTCCTCACTGCCACATGCCCCTGGCCCAGCACACCCAGATGCTTTTCTCTAAGTAGTTGAGGCGTATTCCATGGCATGAGCCCCAGGGCAGGAAGGCTCTGAAGAGGGGCCAGACTTGGGGAATTTGTGGGTGACCACTGGCCTTCTCTTTTGGGAATCACTCAGCCTAGGAGCTTTAGCCCTGGCTGGGAGTTATACATTGCCTTGAGCTAAGATGTGCAGCCACTGCTGTGTGATCCTATGAAAAGGGTACAGTCTCTCTGACCTCCAGTCCCCTTATCTGTCAAATGGGATGATCCAGGAGAGACACCCTGTGAATGCTCCCTAGGCGTCCTTGGCCCAGCTCTGGAAGAGAACCGTACTCCAACAGAGTAGACAGGGCCTCTGGAGGGCAGCCAGTCCCGCTAAGTGGCAGGGGACGGTGCCAAGGGGCCTGCCTGATGACACTCCATTCTGTGCTTCTCCTCCTTACCAGGCTATCTCCAGAGAGTGCAGAGGAAATTCAGGAATTCACGGGCTATGCAAATTGTATGAATGAATGAATGAGACCATGTCACACACTGACTTCATCTCTGCTTGTTCCCTCTATTCTTGCAGGGAACTTAGGCTGCGGAACTATGTCCCGGAGGATGAGGACCTGAAGAAGAGGAGGGTGCCCCAGGCCAAACCGGTTGCAGGTAAGCAAGCTGTCCCTCTCCACCTCTGCTTCCTGGCACTGTCAGCCACCCTCCACCTCAGCAGGCTTTGCTCTCTGAGAATAACCAGCAGTACCAGGACAGGAGTTGGGCCTGCAGGCAGGACCCTTTGTTACCATCTCATGGCAGATGCACACAGTCGGCCTTCGGCAGCAGCAGAGGCTGTCGGGGCACTGAAGAGTCCTCTTGTGCCTTCTCAGTCCTGCTCACACCCTGAGACCGAGGCCTCCCAGGGATCTGAGTGGGGTTTGAAAAAGGCCACATCCTCTCAGAGGACTCCTGGCTGAGAAGTGGATGTGGTCATGGGGCCCTTGGGCAGCAGGGCAGGGTGATGGGTCCTGTGGGCCCTGGGTGGGTCAGAGACAGGGGCCAGTCATTCAGCCACACACAGCAGTGGACGGGCAGTGTGGAGCACTGAGGCAGGGGAGAGGGCCTGGCCCAGGGCTTGCCTAGACTCTTGCCATGGCGTGGGAACAGCACAGCCACCAGGAGCTTCTGGCCGTCCACACCACTCATGCCAGGAAGTTTCTTAGTCCTGCGGATCCCTGGGCCCTTGCCCTGGAGGGTCCCCATTTTAATTCTTTATGTTTGTTATTTATTTTATTTTATTTTATTTTATTTTGAGATGGAGTCTCGCTCTGTCGCCTAGGCTGGAGTGCAGTGGCATAATCTCAGCTCACTGTAACCTCAGCCTCCTGAGTAGCTGGGATTACAGGTGTGTGCCACTGCGCCTGGCTAATTTTTGTGTTTTTAGTAGAGACAGGGTTTCACCATGTCGGCCAGGCTGGTCTTGAACTCCTCCTGACCTCAAGTGATCCACCCGCCTTGGCGTCCCAAAGTGCTGGGATTCCAGGTGTGAGCCACTGTGCCTTGCCTTGTTATCAACTTTTTTTGAATTGCATAAGTAACAAGTGAATAAATACATTTATCTTGGGAAAAAGTAAAGTGTTGCCCATTTGGCCACATCCCGGTCTGCTTCCCCACTTCCTTCATCCCTGAAATCCAGACACTTCCCCGTGATTTGCTTTGTAGTTTGGGCCCCACCTGGTAGGGTAATGGTGCACTGGGGGATAGTAGGCAGGACAGAGAGGTGAGGAACTGCCCAGGTCAGGGGAAGCCCTCAACTCTCATCTGTATCTGGAGGGAGGTGAGGCAGAGCAGGAGGGCACTCATGGGCCCACTGAATGCCAGGGGTTGGAGGAAGCCCACAGAGCCCAGAGTTGTTAGTGCTTCTGCCATTTGTCCCCAAGGGGCAGGACCCTCCTAGTCAGATTGCTCAGAGGCCCACTATGCTGGCAGTAGCTTGGAGGAGCTGGGAGGTGCCTGTGCCCTGGTCTTGGGAGCATACACCTGAGGTGGGATGGAGGAAAAGCCACCTGTGGCTCTGGCTAGGCCGGGACCCAGAGGACATCCTCAGAGCCCAGGAGCCCTGGGATTATGTGAGAAGCCAGTCCTCACTTTGTATGTATCCAGGCAGCTCTCTGGTCTTGTAGTTATTGTCAGCATCCATGCTTCCTGACTGACTGTGGCTGGCTGCCTCCTGCTGTCCCATTCTTGGCCTGTGGGGAATGCTTCATCCTGGGAAACCCAGGCCCCTCCTCCAGAGCTGCCTTTGCAGGGTCTTCACCTCTGGCTGGTTGCGGGCCACACAGAGGTGGGAGCAAGGAAGCCTGGGGTCCCGTCTCTCCCTGGGGGCCACGGTAGGCAGTGTCCCTGCAGAGTGGCAGCGCGTTTTCCACAGGCCTTCTCTGTTTAATTGCACCCTCTAGTGGAGGAGAAGGTGAAGGAGCAGCTGGAGGCCGCCAAGCCCGAGCCCGTCATCGAGGAGGTGGTGAGTGCCTGGACCACCCTGGCATCCTCGCTGCTTCTGTGTGTCCTGTTTCTCTTCGCCACTTGCTCTCCCTCTGCCCCCCATTCCTTCTCGTCACTTCTTTATTCCCTTCCCACCAGCCCCTTTGCTCTCGTCCCTCTCCTTCCTCCTCCTCTTTCTCCCATTTCCCTCCTTCTCGAGCCTGCCCTCCCCCTTGTCCTGGGGTGGCCCCTCCACCCTGATGTGTGTCTCCTCCCTTCCCAGGACCTGGCCAACCTCGCTCCTCGGAAGCCTGACTGGTGAGTGTTGCCCGTGCGTGGCGGGTGCAGGCTGACTCGGGGACTCTTGGTGCCAGCATGGGCCTGGGGCTTGGCCCTTCCTGCCGTCACAGTGCAGAGACTGGCAGTACAGACATAGAGTTACACGAGATAGCTACTGTTGGAAACCAGTGCTGAGGAGGACATAAGTGGTGGGATGAGAGGGGAGTGATGGAGTGGGGCTCAGGCGCGGGGAGCAGCAGGCCCCTCATGAAGGCCCTCCTGAGAGGTTGAGAGCCCATCTGCTCCAGAGCTCCCATTTGAGCAAGGCCAACCGCTGTCTTTGGGGGCCAGGAGTGGAGGGAAGGGCAGACACAGTTTTCTGTTCCTGTTCTACCACCATAGCTTGTTCCCTCTGGCCCTGGTTTCCTCCTCTGTGAAATGGAGGTCGTCATCCTTCTTGCTAGGCTGAGAGAGAGTGGGAGAGAGGGTGCTGTGGGCCGGGAGGCTTGTGTCTGTCTTCACCTTGAGCCGGAGGTAGAGCTATATCCCTCTCGCCTGATTCTTGGTCGAGTTAACACCAGCTGTTTTAATTTGATGAAACAAAAGCATGGGGCATATGTCCTGGGAAACCCAGAGCCAGAGAGAATGGGCTGAGTGCTTGTGCACTTCTGGGTGCCCACAGTGGAGGGGCTGGGCCGGTGGCTGGAGGAGGAGCAGGGCCCACAGTGGGCAGGAGCAAGTCACTCCCTGATGGTGACCAGAGGACCAGAGCAAGAGAGGGTCTCTGAGAAACCATCCACCTTTGCCTTAGCTCAGTCCCTTGTGTTGGGTGGGTTTGTGATGCTAGTCCCCCTGCCTCAGTGGGACAGGGAATGATGGTTTATGCTGGGTTTCGGAGGGTACAGAAGGGGAATGTCCTGGCCTCTTCCCCAGGGCAGCCCCCTCCAGCAACCGAGCATGACTCCTAATGCCAGAGGGCTGCAAGAGGGGAGGGGACCCAATGCCACATCAGGCCAGCCTTCACCTTCCTGCTTCTCCCTGCCTCCCTGCTCCAGGGACCTCAAGAGAGATGTGGCCAAGAAGCTGGAGAAACTAAAAAAGCGGACTCAGAGGGCCATTGCCGAGCTGATCCGTAAGTGCAGTGCCTGGGAAGGTGGGGTCCTGCCCACTGGGTGGTGGCCCAAGCACCGGGCCCCTCCCCACCCCTTCTGTCTGCCATCCATCCCAGGTGAAAGGCTGAAAGGCCAGGAAGACAGCCTAGCCTCTGCAGTGGATGCTGCCACCGAACAAAAGACCTGTGACTCCGACTGAGGCATGCCCTGCCCCACCACTCGCCCATCAGGCCTGTCCTGCAGAGGATGGTCTTGGGCAGGGATGGGGGCTAGGCTTGCCATCACCTCCAGTTTGGCTTCTGAGCAGAGACTCCCTGCCCATCAAGTCTGAAACCCCCATGGATGAGGTCAGCTCCTTGTCTGCTGGGTGGCCCCTGCCATTCTGAATGGAGGCAGAACCAGCAACAACTCTGGGCGTGCCTGTGTCTGCACATGTGGATGTACATATGTCTGTATATATGTATATATTTTGAACTTTCTAAAAAAAAATCTGGAAATAGAAACAAGTAAACCCCTGTGTGTGGCAGAAATGTGTCAGATATTTCCTAGGTCTGAGGGTGCAGTGGATTTGGGCTCCACAGGATGGAGACAGGGTGACTGCAGAGCTGGTACTTAATATGTATGAATAACCCCTGTGTTGGGCTGGGCATGTTGAGGCCGGAGGGGTGGGAAACACTCAGGGCTGCCTTCTGCGGCCAAGTCCTGGCCCAGTCCATGGTCAGTGCTGGTCATCTCAAGATCCTTGGGTGATAGAGACAGGGTCTGAGAAAGTCCTTTTAAGACCTCCCCCAGACCTAGGCCTTGTAGTAGTCTATGGAGTAGCTGGAGAGGCTCCCACCCTGGTCCTCTGGGGATCCTCAGTGTGAGAGAGACTGGGCCTTGGCAAGCCCCAACTCAGGGCCACTCCAGATTTGATGCCGCTGGCACTGCTTTCCCCACTCTCCCCAGCCCCAGGCGGCCTCTCTCCCTACTCCACCAGTCAGAGCTAGACTGTGGCTCCCCTAGGACAGAGACCCTGCATGGGAGGGGTGGCCCATTCTGCTAGAGATGGGGACGTTGTAGGCTGGGTTTCAGGTGTGGTTGTGGACCCTAGATCTCCAAGGTTCTGGCTTTAGGACATGAGCCTTCTCTGTGGAACTGACTCTCCAGAGTACCTGGCTGGCTGCATCATCTCTGACTGCAGTACCGGTGGCCAGCTGGACTTGCATCTCCTCCAGGATGCTTACACCCTTGAGTTTCCTTTGGGATTTCTCCTTGAGCCTTCTGCCTCTGCCCTAAGCCATCTAGTGTGTTCTTCCTCTCCGCAGTATTCCAGAAACACAATGGCCCATCTCTGGCGGACAGTGCCAAGCACTCTGGTCATAGAGGCAGAGTGGGTTTGTGCACACAGAGACCAGCACGCTCACAACCAATGAAAAACCCTTTAAGTTAAAATTATGCAACTATTCTTGGAAGGTAATTCCTGTGTGGAAAAGAAACAGAAACTTCTAGCTGTGGGTGAGGGCTAAAGTGGTAGCTGGCCACCTTCTGCATTGAGTAGTAAGACAAGACCAAGACCCTGACTCCCACATGGGGCAGAAACCCTTCCAGTATTTCCTAGGTCCAGGGGTACATGCAGGACTGGAGCCAGGCTCCGTCTGTCCAGTTGGTAAAACTGGAGCTGGGCTTTTTTTCCTATGAACAAAAGGGTGAAAAGACTCCCTGCGTCTCCTGGGATTGCAGCTGGAAACAGGATCCGTGTCTGTAGCAGTTGAAGGACTTGGATACCTGGTGACTGGCAACTAAGCTGCCACTCAGCATCAGCTCTGGGACTAGAGTAGGGTTATCCCCCAGTACGACAGTCCCAGAGCTAATGAAAGATGTGCTTCTGGTTTCATGACCCTGGGTGTTGTCCTAGAAGGAAAAACAAAGTACCATGCATCATGAGTACTCAAACAAAATTTACAAAATACACGAGAAAATCCAATGCCTTAAAGAATGACCAGTAACCCAGGTGGGAGGATTTATACCCAAGGAAACTGAAATAGTAACAGCCTACAAGGTTTTAAAAATGAGCATTTGTTTTTACATCAGAGAGATAAAAGAGCGTGTGGTATCCTTAAGAACAGAGATTAGACATAAGAAAGAACTGATTAGAAATTTTGGAAAGAAAGAATACAGCTCTTAAAATAAACTCACCAGAGAGCTAAGTATTAACTTACAGTCCAAGAAAGGATTAGTAAATTGGAAGTTAAAGCTGAGACGGTCATGAGAAGGTGGCAGTGAGAGATAAAGAGGGCGAGATGGAGGGTAGCTTGAGAACCTTGTTATACTGATACCTGTCCTATAGATGACAGGAGTTCCAAGAAAAGGAAACCAGAGAAAGAAGGTACCTGAAGAAAGAATGGCCAACCACTTCTTTTTTTTTCCGAGACAAAGTCTCACTCTGTCGCCCAGGCTGGAGTGCAGTGGCACCATCTAGACTCACTGCAACCTCTGTCTCCCGGGTTCAAGTGATTCTCCTGCCTCAGCCACCCAGGTCGCTGGGATTATAGATGCGTGCCACCACGCCCAGCTAATTTTTGTATTTTTACTAGAGATGGGGTTTCACCATGTTGGCCAAGCTGGTCTCAAACTCCTGACTTCAGGCGATCCGTCTGCCTCAGCCTCCCAGAGTGCTGGGATTACAGGCATGAGCCACTGCACCCAGCCGGCCAGCCACTTCTGTTTCTAGTTTCATGGTGGAATAGTTACCTGATCTGATCCTCTCTATGCAAACAGCTAAAAATACTAGGTAAATAAAGAATAGCAACAAATATTTTAAAAATACAGCAATGAGCTGGCAAGAAAATAAGGAATACTTTGGCAGAATGTAAAAGAGGTAGCAGAATGCCAAAGTCTGACCTTTGCCTTGAGGGTATTTGACAAACCAGGTGAAACTGAACATTGTTTTTTGGGGTTCTCGATGCGTGGGCTCAAGACAAACCAAAACCTTTGCAAAATGAGGGCCCTAATAGAACTCTCTGTAAAGCTGGGGCCCCAAAGGGTGACACCCTCTGTGAACTAATAGCAAATCTGCCCTCCTGGCATCCCATACAAAAGTTAAACCTTGCCACTTACTGGACTGAAAAAAAGGTCTTCCTTGAGAACTGAGCCAACCTTCATGTGGGTTTTTGTACATGAGAATCCAAGAATTTAAGTGGTCCCACTGGTCCCAGAATGTTGGAAGTCTCAAACACTTGATAGAAGAAAATGTAGATCCTACCTGGACAAAGCTTTATTCATATCAGCTCTCAAAGAATTCTCCCTGATAAAGTTTCAAGACATATGAGAATCTTAGGGCCTACTCAGTGACCCTGGATGGACAATGACCCTCAAGGATCATCCCCAAACATGACCTGGGCCACTTCATGATGTACTGCCTCACCGCTGCTGAGTATGATGGGCACAGCACCTGTCCCTCCCCACAGTGCGACTAGGAGTCTGGCCCCATGTAGGACGATAGCTTGCTGGGAAATGAGCATCAAAGGAAGGGAGCAATACATTTTGAGCCAAGAGCTTTAAGTTATTTTTAAAATAGAAAAGAGAAACGAACAGGTTGCAGAAAAGCTCATCAGACACACAAGGTAACAGAGCCTCAGGTGCAAAATAACCAACATCGAAAATCACATGGTAGAACCAGACTTATGAAGACTTCAGACATCAGAATTATCAGCCATGGAATTTAGGTATGTTTAAAAATTACTTAAGAACTAAAAGATGTGAACATAGGAGCAGATTTGCAAAAGAACCAAACCAGTATTCTGGAAATAAAAAATACAGTAGTCTGGCCCCCACCCCTGGCATCTCCAATTTCCCTTTCTGTGGTTTCAGCTACCTGTGGTCAACCATGTCCGAAACTATCACATGCAATAAGATACTTTGAGAGAGACCACATTCACATAACTTTTATTACTGTGTATTGTTATAATTGTTTTCTCATTAGTTATTGTTAATTTGTTACTGTGCCTAATTTATAAATTAAACTTTATCATAGGTATGTATGTAAAGGGGAAACACAGCATATATAGGGTTCAGTACTCGCCACCATTTCGGGCATCCACTGGGGTTGGAGGTCTTGGAACATCCCCCCATAGATAAGGAGTGACTATATAGCACTATAGTGTATTATGGCAATTAAAAACCTTGTATCTGTGAATTAGACAAAGGTGAAGAGACAATTAGTGAATGGGAAGCTAGATCTGAAGTTTTCCAAAATGCAGCCCAGCAAGATAAACAGTGATAATGTAAAGCAAGTGGCTGAGAGACATGGAGAGTAGAATGAAGAGATCCAACGTAAAGTGACGGAGTTCCAGGTGGGAAAAAAAAAAAATGAAAATGAGGCAGAAGCAATATTTAAAAACTGGCTGAGAACTTTCCAGAAAAAATCACCAATTCACAGATTCAAGAAGACCAGTAAGTCTCAGGCAGGTTAATAGGAAGAACTATACATCCAAATGTTCTGTTTCTTCATCTGGGTGATGATTAGGTATTTTTACTTTATGAATATTCATTGAACTGTATACATGTTTTATGCCCTTTTTGTATGTTTATTCTAAGTAAGCAAATTTACTTAAAAAAATTCTACACTTTTTATTAATCATCAGTTGCTACACATAAATTACCCAAAACTCGGGGGCTTAAAATAACAAACACTTATTACCTCAGTTTCTGTGGGCCAGGAATCAGGAGTGGCTTAGCTGGGTAAGTCTAGCTTGGGGTCAGTTGTGAAGCTGCACTCATCTGAAGGCTGGACTGGGGCTGGAGGATCTGTTTCCAAGATGACTCATGGGGCTGTTGATTGGTGGCCCCTGTGTCTTGCCACATGGACCTCTCCATCGGCCTGTGTGTTCTCAAGACATGGCAGGTGGCTTTCCCAGAGTGGCAGTCTAAGAAAGAAGGCAGGAGGGAGCGTTGTGGGGCTTTCTTATGATCTGGGCTTGGAAGTGATATTCTGCTACATTCTGTTTGTTAGAAGCAAGTCACTACGCCCAGTCGACACTTAGAAGAATTAGCTTCCACTTCCTGAAGGGAGGACTGTGTAAGAATTTGTGGACTTATTTAAAAACTACCACATACCTAATCACATTGTAATAACATTAAAGAGCACAAAGACCAAGAAAATACCTTAAAATCAGAGAGAAAGGACATACTACCTTTTGAGGAGCAACATAGCAGCAGATATCTCAGCTATAACCAGTGTAAACAGGAATGAAAGAAAGTTGTCATCCTAGAATTGCATACTCAGGGAAAATATGAGACGTGTTTTTTGTTTTTTTGCAGAGATGGGGTCTCACTATTTTGCCCAGGCTGATCTTGAACTCCTGAACTCAAGTGATCTGCCCACCTTGGCCTCCCAAAGTGCTGGGATTACAGGCCTGAGCCACCGCACCTGGCCTAAGATGTTTTTAGACCAACGAAGTCAGGGATTCTGTCACCAGCAGACTCTCACTAAATGAAAATCTATTTTGGGGTAATGAAAATGTTCTAAAAGTGATTGTGGTTGCACAAATCTGTGAATATGCTGAATATGCCAAGAGCCATTGAATTGTACACTTTAATGGGTGGGCTGTATATGTATAAAGTTGTTTTTTAAAAATGAAATAAGCATTCTCCTTTTAAAAAAATCATAAAGGATATTTTCAGACTGAGGGGCACAATCCCAGATGGAAAGTCCAGAGAAAGGAAGTATAAATGTAAATAAGCACTGACCTTGTAAAACAAAAATGTGTTGTGGGGTAAAGCAGGGGCTATTTAGAATACATAACAACAATGGTATGTAAGTTCAGAGGTAGGAGGTGGTTGGGGTTACAGTCCTTGAAGACGCTCACTTAGGAAGAGGGATAAGACTAGGAAACAGGCCTCTTGACATTTCTGGGGTAACCTGAAAAGAGTAGAAACAGAGTGTACCACTTTCAGAGGAGATGAGAGAGGAAAAAAAAAAAAAAAAACCAGAATGGGAAAAAAGTAACTATCCAAAAGAAAGCAGAGAGAAAAGGTGGATTGAGTAGTTGAATCCAGATATATCAGTAATAGCAAGGTATTAGACTGCTTTTCTTTCTTTTTTTTTTTCCTTTAAACTCAGTTTGCTGAGTTTAAAAAAACCTGAAGCCGACTGGGTGCAGTGGCTCATGCCTGTAATCCCAGCACTTGAGAAGGCTGAATTTGCTCGAGTCTCAGGCAGATTGCTTGAGCCCAGGAGTTCAAGACCAGTCTGGGCAAAATGGTGAAACTCCGTCTTCTACAAAAATAAAAAATAAAAAAATTAGCCAGGCGGGGTGGTGCCTGCCTGTAGTCGCAGCTACTTGGGAGGCTGAGGTGGGAGATCATGTGAGCCTGGGAGTTCTGAGCGACAGAGTGAGACCCTGCCTCATAAATTAATAGAAACAAAGATTAATGGGACTAGAAAAGCTCTATCAAGCACAGGATCAACAAAAGAAAGTGGAGGTGGCAGGAGTGAGGCCAGGCAAGGGAGACTTTCAGAAGTGTCATTAGCTACACCACTGTACTGTGGAGCAGTGGGACCTCTCACCCACAGCCATAAGAGTGTGAAATGTGTAACCACGTTGGGAAAGTTGAACATGTGCACGCTGGGACCCATCAGTTGCGCTCTTAGTGCACTAGAAAACTTGCACATGTACACCAGGAGACAGGGACAGAAATGCTTGTAGAAGCATTGTTTGTAATAGCACGGGCACATGTGTGCACACACACACTAAATCAAAGCCAGAATGTGGTAATAATAAGTTGTCATTCTGAAAGTGTGATGTTCCATAGCTGTGAGAAGAGCTACAGTCATGTGCAACAAATGGATAGATGTTGAAAGAAGCAAGTCACGGAAGAAATAGAGTATGAGCCATTTGTGTGACGTTCCAAACAGGCGGAGTGAGACAATGTAAGGACACACGCAGGTGGTAAGGCCAGGGCAGAAGAGCAAGGTGGTGATCGTCAACTTCAGGCTTGTAGTTAGCTCTGGAGTGGGGCCCTTTGAGATAATGGCAAAGTGTTTTTCTTGGCTTGAGTGATGGGAATTTATTCTCTATATGTATTTATTTTTATACAACTTGCTGTATATGCTGTATTTCAACACACAGGCTTATTTTTTTTTCTATCTATCTATCTATCTATCTATCTATCTATCTATCTATCTATCTATCATCTATCTATCTTTATTTAGAGATGGATTCTCTGTCACCCAGGCTGGAGTGCAGTGGCACGATCTCAGCTCACTGCAACCTTCGCCTCCCGGGCTCAAGCAGCTCTCCAACCTCAGCCTCTCAAGTAGCTGGGACTGTGGCTGTGTGCTACCGTGCCTAATTTTTTTTTTTTTTTTGTGATGAAGTCTTGCTCTGTCGGCACGCTGGAGTGCAGTGGTGCGGTCTTGGCTCACTGCAACCTCCGCCTCCTGGGTTCAAGAGATTCTCCTGCCTCAGACTCCTGAGTAGCTGGGACTATGGGCACACGCCACCATGCCCAGCTAATTTTTGTATTTTTAGTAGAGAGGGGGTTTCATCATGTTGCCCAGGATGGTCTGTATCTCTTGACCTCGTGATCCGCCCGCCTCGGCCTCCCAAAGTGCTGGGATTACAGGCGTGAGCCCGCGCCATTTTTTAAATATTTTTAGTAGAGACAGGGTTTCACCATTTTGGCCAGGCTGGTCTCAAACTGACCTCAAGCGATCCTCCCGCCTCACCCTCCCAAAGTGCTCAGATTATAGGCATGAGCCACCGTGCCCAGCCTATTTTTTCTTTTTTTTTAAGAGCAGTTTTACTACATCTGCAGTTTGACTCCAGTGTTCTAGATGAGAACATCGAAGCTAAAGGGAAAAAATAACAACAGGCTACATGTAAAAATTTTAAGAGATTACCTACAAAGGAATTAGTTTCGCTTTTCATCAACAATAGATACCAGAAGACAGTTTTCCTAAGTGCTCAGGAAACAAATGTCAAGTCTGCTCAGTTACCATAAGTAGGGGCATGACAGACGTTTCCAAGCTTATGACACTAAGTGTTTACCATGTACTGATCTTTGCTGAAAGAACTAAAGGATGGGATGCTGAGCAAAAACCAGTCCGGGAGCGGGGAGTGGATATGGGAATCGGGACTGTTTGGCAGTCACCCACGACTGGGCTTAAGCAAGAAGGGGTTTTATTGTCTTGTGTTAAGTCCAAGGTGGTACCATGGCTCCCTGAGGCCACCAGGGATGTGAGTCCCTTCTGTCTCCCCAGTTGCCATCCTCATCTCCTCATGGGAGCTTCTGCCCCATCACAGATTCGAGGTACCGTTAGGAGGAGAAGGGCGAAGGGCAGGCCAGCTGAGGAAACCCTGGCTCCAACCCTGTCCACAGACCTGTCTTCACTTCGCATTGGCCATGACTGTGTCAGCAGCCGTGAAGGCACCGGATATGGGTGTTTTAAGCTGGGCACTTTGCCAATGAATTGAGACTGTCTGAGGAAGGTAGAAGATCCTGGGAATGCAGCCAGCAGTGAGCTACAGGGTGCAGGGAAGAGTGGTGTGCAAAGAGACTGGCAAACGCTGGAAAGACGGATACCATTGATGAGCCTCTAGGAAGACTGACAGAAAAGAGAAGTCAAATTACGAATATCAGCAATGAAATAAGGGCATCATACTCCACAGACATCAGAAGGACAGGAAGAGGACACTGTCAATAACTGTACCCACATCAATTCCACAGGTTGTTCAAAGGGGCCAGTTTTTTGAAAAGCACAAATACCACACCTCAGCCAAGATGAAATAGATAATTTAAATAGCTCTATAACTATTAAGGAAATTGAATTTATTATTTTAAAGCCTTGAAAAACCTCCAAGCCCAGGTGTTTCAATGGAGTATTGATAGGTTTAATGTAACTATTACCAAAAGCCCAGTTATTTTTTTTCTGGATATAAAGATTATTCTAAAATGTATATGGAAAGGCAAAGGAACTGGAATAGCTGAACAATTTTTAACTAGAAGAAAAAAGCGTAAGGAATACTACTCATTTCACTACCTATTGTGGGCTTACTTTACAGTAATAGCAGTCAAGATTGTGGTGTTGGTGGAAAAAGAGGCAGATCAACAAGACAATACACAAGCACAGCCAACTTTTTTTTTTTTGTTTGTTTGTTTGTTTGAGACACAGGGCACAGGGTCTTGCTCTACTCTACCCAGGTTGGAGTGCAGTGGGGAGATCTCAGCTCTCTGCAGCCTCAACCTCCCGGACTCAAGCGATCCTCCCACCTCAGCCTCCTGAGTAGCTGGGACTACAGGTGTGTACCATCACACCTGGCTACTTTTTGTATTTTCGGTAGAGATGGGGTTTCGCCTTGTTGCCCAGGCTGACCAACTGATTTTTGACAAAGGTGCAAAACAAATTGATTGGAGGAAGGACAGTCTTCAACAAATGGTGCTGGAGCAAAGGGAAATTCATAGGCAAAAAAGCAAACAAAAAAACCCAAGCCTGAACCTCAGATCTTATACAAAATTAACTCAAACTGTACTGTGGACTTAAATGTAAAATGTAAAACTATGCAATTTTAGAAGTAAACGAGAAAACCTTCAGGACCTACAGCTCAGTCAAGAGTTCTTGGACCTGAGATCAAAAGCACAATCCATAAAGAAAAAAATTGATAAATTTGACTTAAAAGTTTTTGCTCCAACGAAGACCCTGTTAAGAGAATGAAAAGCTACAAACAAAATATTTGCAAATCAAATAAAGAAGGACTTATATCAAGAATACATAAAGAACTCCCAAACTCAACGGTAAGACAAAACAAAACAAACAAAAAAACAATTAGAAAGTGGGCAAAAGACATAAAGAAATATTTCACTGAAGAGGATATACAGATGGTAAAGATGTTCAACATTACGAGCCATTACGGATATACCAGTAAAGATCACAATATCTTTTTTTTTTTGAGACGGAGTCTCGCTCTGTCGCCCAGGCTGGAGTGCAATGGCGCGATCTCGGCTCACTGCAAGCTCCGCCTCCTGGTTCACGCCATTCTCCTGGTTCACGCCATTCTCCTGCCTCAGCCTCCTGAGTAGCTGGGACTACAGCCGCCTGCCACCACGCCCGGCTAATTTTTTGTATTTTTAGTAGAGATGGGGTTTCACCGTTAGCCAGGATGGTCTCGATCTCCTGACCTCGTGATCCACCTGCCTTGGTCTCCCAAAGTGCTGGGATTACAGGCGTAAGCCACCGCGCCTGGCCCACAATATCTTTACACACGTATTCGAACAAATAAAAATAGTGATAAACGCTGACAAGAAAGTGGAAAAATTGAATCTCATACATTGTAGGTGGGAATGTATAATGGAACACCCACTCTGGAAAATAGTTTGTCCATTTCTTTAAAAACTTTACGTACACTTATCATATAGCCCAGTAGTCATGCTCCTGGGCATTTATCCCAGAGAAATAAAAACGAATGTTTACACAAAAATGCATATACAGATGTTCATAGCAGCTTTATTTGTAGGTTGCCAAAGGCTAGGGAAAAGGTCTTGTCAATAGGGGACAGGTTAAGCTCGGGTTCATCCGTACCATGGAATGCAACTCAGCAATAAAACAGGACCAAGGACTGACACCTGCCACAGCTTGGATGGATCTCAAGGGCATTATGGTGAGTGAAAACAGTAGGTATCAAATGGTCACATACTGTATGGTTCCACTTCTGTAACATTCTGACAGTGACAGAATTATAGAGATGGGGAACAGATTAGTGGTTGCCAGGGGTTAGCGATGGTGGGGACAGGTGACTCTAAAGGGGGTGGCTCCAAGGAGATCTCTGGAATGGTTGTGATGGAATACCTCTGTGTATCTTGATTGTGGTGGTGGTTACCTGTATCTATGCACCCGATGAAATGGAATAGAACTATACACACTGCACCAATGTCAGATTCCTGGTTTCGATATTGTACTGCAGCTATGGAAAATGTAACCAGGTGGAAACTGGGTGAATGTTACACAGGACTTCTCTGTACTTTTAAACTTCCTATCGGCTGGGTGCAGTGGCTCATGCCTGTAATCCCAGCAATTTACGAGGCTGAGGTGGGCGGATCACCTGAGGTCGGAAGTTCAAGACCAGCCCGGCCCACATGGTGAAACCCCATCTCTACTAAAAAAAACAAAAATTAGCTGGACATGGTGGCGCACGCCTGTAATCCCAGCTAGTTGGGAGGCTGAGGCCCGAGAATCACTTTAATCCTGATGGCAGAGGTTGCAGTGAGCCGAGATCGTGCCCCTGCACTCCAGCCTGGGCAACAGAGTAAGACTCTGTATAAAAACAAAAACAAAAACAAAAACAAAAACAAAACTTCCTATGAATCCGTATTTCAAAATAAAAAGGTTTAAAAAATACAGGTGGTGAGCAAAGAAACTGGTAAAACATGTTACTAAAATGTGTGTTTCTTTAAAGTATGCTTTCTCCATTTAAAACAAACATTCTGGGGTGTGGACTACAGTCTTCATCCAGGTGAGGATAGTTCAGAGTTAGTCTCAGTGATTCATAGTCCCCTGAAAATTTGGTAAAGAAAAAAAAAGTCTCAGCCCTAGCCTTGGTTGGAGGGCTAGGTGGGGAGGGTGCCCTGAGGCCCTGGCAGCCCCTTTGTCGTAAGCCCTTCAGGCTTAAGATGGGCCAGCGAGGGCCAGGGGCCAGTGTCCAGCACTGTGGATGGAGCCCTGGTGTGCCTGCCACTGCCTGGTCCATCACTGCCCAGGCACTTCTCCAGGACAGCCCTGACCAACCTCGCAGTGTTCAGGTCCCTTCATCTTGGGGTTCTCTAGGACACCCAGCCTCTTCATCTTGGGAGAGGTGTCAGGCCTGGGATATTTTCCACAGCAGCACGGATGCTCCTTCCCTAGAAGAGGACAGGAGACCAGAGACCCAGGCGCAGGGCCTCTCGGTTCTGACTCTTGCTGGGGAGGCAGCAAGAGGGCTGGGAGGAAGTCCCACCTGGGCTTGCAGAGTCAGGGACCAGGCAGGTCACCAGCCAGGACAGGGCCTTGTAACCACAGTGAGGAACTATGGGCTTGGGATCAGAGATAGGCACAACCCCTGAAGTCACAAGGGAAAACTACTGTCCAGCCTCAAGCCCAAGCCCCTCACTGCCTTGGAGGCTTCAACATGTGAGATGCCCGCTCACCTTCAGGCGGCCTCTCCATGGGGCTCTGAGCTGGGCCCAGGGCTTGCTACAGCGCTGCCCACCCCCAGGAGCCTGGGGAGTGGGCCATTAGTGTAGCATGCTTCCCGAGGACCCATGTCATGCTGGGCACTGTATCCGGGGATGCAGCTGTGACTGACGATGGTTCTGCCTTCGAGGAGCTGACCTTCCAGGTGGTCTCCAGATCTGTGCTGGGATCCAAGCCCCTTCCCTCAGACCAGTTGAAAGGCCTTGCTTCCCCATAACTGTCTGGCTGGGAACCACGTGGGGCCCTCAGAGTCCACTCAGACGCGGATGAGCAACTCCATGCAGCTGTTGACTTTTATTTCCCCATGTCCTCCCATGGCCACTGGGGGGCAGCAGGAGATCCCCGATGGGGTCCCTGACAGGGCGCGTTGGTCCAAACAGCTCCTGCCAGCAGCGGGTCTTCTGTAAAGCAGGTCACCCCACCGCATGACGCACGCCTATCCTTTCCTGTGGGGTTTATGTCATTTGTAAGTGACTGCTCATCAGAGACGATCCAGAGAGTGGGGTCCAGTCAGCCTGAGACCCAGAACAGCAGGGGCCGTGTCCTGGCAGATGAGGTTCCAAGGCACTGCCGGGTGTGTGAGGTCCGGGTGGGGTATCGAGTGCCCGCCCAGCCCTGCCAGGTCAGCACAGCCTCTCCCCTCCTTGAACTGTGGGTGCGTCTGCATGTGCAGAGGGTGTGTGTGGGCAGAATGCCTGTAGCCTGGCTGGGAAAGGGCACCCCTGGAGGGTCAGGTCCTCTTGGCCCCTGGGCCAGGCCTGAGCTGGCATCCCCTGAATCTCCTGAACATCTGCTGCTCGGAGCCAAGGAAGCTCTCAAGATGCCCAGTGTTGACCCAGGGACCATCCATCCAGGTGGTGGGGGCATGCATGGGTAGCAGTGGGCACCCCACAGAGTGAGGGGGTGCTGTCGCATGCTGGAGCTCCTTTCTCCCTGGGCTCAGGCCTGCCCCCAGGGGCTCTGGCAGCTGTGGGCTGGGCAGGGGTGTCTGGGCTGAGTTTCCCAGCCAGCCTGCCCCTTCTGTATCTATTTACTGGTTTTCTTTAAATGTTCCCATTACTCAGGACTCCAGTGGGCACTGAGACAGAAATAAATCCCGCAAGGCGGCCCAGCCAGAAGCCGGGAATCCAATTCCCCCTCAAAGACCGGAAGAGGCCCCTGGGCAGAGCATGCCAGTCCGCTGTGGCCCACACACTCCACACAGCCACAAATATGGCCACTCCCCTGCACACACACGTGCACATCCATGCCTTTACACACGTGTTCCCCCACGCAGACTCTTCACACACGCACGCGCACATGCAGGCATTCACACGCACCGCACACACTCAGGTTTGCCTCATACACAGAGTTGCTTTGCACATGCACACACACATTCACACACATGCACACACACCCCACTCATGCACGTATTCCCTGACAGCCAGGCTCACACGTAGTTGTGACCACACACTGGGTTCACAAACTCAGCCATCCTCAAGACACTGCTGGGCGAGACAAGTGGGCGAGGCTATGGAGGGTGCACGGAGGAGGGCAGCCCTGCACAGTTCGGGAGGAGCGTGGCCTCAGGGGAACGCAGGCCCAGGGCTGCCAGGGCTTCTGAATTTTTAAGAGAAGTTGGAAAGCTGAATTTTTATGTGAAATATCCTGATTTTTAAATGTTGGCTCAGGATGTTGAAAATACTGTAGGTGCCAAACCAAACATGTCTATGAGCCAAATTCCACCCACAGGCGGCGTTCTTAGACCACGAGTCCACACACACACAAATAGACACACACACACAGAGACATACACACATAAACACACAGACACATACAAATAGACACACATACACACGTAGAGACATACACAAATAGACACACACAGAGAGACATACACAAATACACAGACACACACAAATAGACACACACAGAGACATACACACAAATAGACACATACAAATAGACACACACAAATACACATAGACAACAAATACACATGCAAATAGACATACACACACATAAATACACACACAGACATACACAAATAGACATATACAGACACACATATTTACACAAATACACAAATACACATACACAGACATACACAATACATATAAATACACACAGATAGACATACGTACACCAGCACAGAAACATAGACACATACACACACACACATACACATAACAGACAGATATACAAATAGACACAGATACACACACACAAATAGACACACATACAGAAATACACAAATAGACATACAAATGCACACACACACACAAATACACACATAGACACACTGGTACACAAACCTACAACCACACACGCATAGACATGCCAGAAGACACAGACACATACAAATGGACATACAGGCATATCCAGACACACACACATAGAAACACACATGGCCACACACACACACACACACACACAGGTACACAAGCACAGACACACATAGATAGGCACATGGACACTCGTGTACACAAACACAAAGAAATACACAAGCAGCACGCGCATACAAACGCTCGCACATGGAGAATGACACCCAACACGCCCCACTGTCTTGCTGATGTATGGATATGAGTTTGTTGTGGACAGGTTGTCTGACTGTGGCCTCCGGGCAAGCGCCAGTGTCCGGGCCATGCCAAGGCTGCTCCTGCCCTGCCTGTTAAAAACGCTGGAGCAAGAAGAATCCACCCTCACCTGGCCTCCATTGCCTGCATGCCCGTGGCACTGAAGAGGGAAGGAGCCGGTCATACACACAAGTACACAGACACATACAAATAGACACACACAAATACACATAGACAACAAATACACATGCAAATAGACATACACACAGACACACACATATAAATACACACACAGACATACACAAATAGACATATTTGAGGCTAAGGGGGAGGTCCTTAGGCTGTCACGCCTGCCTGAGGGAAGGATAGGGGTCCTGTCCCTATCCTTGTTGAGGAGCGAGGTAGGATCCTGAGTCCACTCAGGTCATGAAGCCTGAGCAGGGGCTTGACCTGTGAAGAGAAGTTGAGGCTCAGAGAGGGAAGGTGGCTTGCCCAGAGCCACACAGCACACACCTGGAGCCAGCCAGGGCTCAGGCCCCTGCCTAGCTCTGGAGTAACTTCCTCCTCTGTCCCTCCCAGCCAGTGGGACCAGTCCCTCAGGCAAGGTTTGTTTCAGTTGGCCATGGCAGCCTTGGGCTGGGATCATTCTCCTGGAGTTGGCTGAGGAGGAACCAGGGACAGAGAGTTGTACCCCCTCACCCCAGCCCCCCGCAACGGGTCCCTGCAGCCAGACAGCTCTTCCAGGAATCCACGCAGAGACAATGCACTCTCAGATCCCCAGGATGGGTCCATGTCCCCTCAGACCCCCAGAGCAGGGCTGTGTCCTCCCAGATCCCAGGGAGGGAGGGGCAGGGTCATGTCCCTCTTGAACCTCCAGAGAACTCAGCCCCCTTTCCTGTCTGTCCACACCCCCTCTGGCCACCTCCCAGGGTGAGGGCTGAAGATTGTGGCCCCTCAGAGCCTGCCCACTCCAGGCACTTGGGGCCCAGCTCAGTCCTTGCTCTCGACAGGGACTGGCAGGTGGTGGGTGGCAGAGCTCGACCCTATTCTGAGCTGGGAGCTTTGCATCCACTCAGCTTCCCCTTGAGGCTAGGCCTGTGTTCCAGGGCTGGACGAGCACCCCCGGGAGGTCCATTCCTTCCAAGGGCCTTCAGCGATTCTTCTCGCAGCCTGGGCTGAGGGAGACAGGCCAGCGAGGGATGGGGCCGTCCACGTGCTCAAGACAGGTGGGAGCAGAAACTGGCCACTGTACTGGCCTGCCTTGGAGTCTGGGGCAGCCTGCAAGGTGCCGGATCCCATAGCCAAGTGGGCTGAGGATTTGGGGTCTCTAGGTGCCCTCCACCCTGCTGACCACCCCGCCCAGCTCTGCTAATGTTTACGTGTTCCCTGTGGCTTGGCTTTGCTGTGGGGCCTTGAAGGGAGAAGTGACCACCTGGATCCAGCCCCTGCTCAAGGCAAACAGGGTCCTGCCTGCCTGCCAGGCCTGCTGAGGGCTCCACTTCCACTGCCAATACCTGGATGGCCCAGGTGGGGCTCTGAGGCCTCTCTGAGTGGAGGCCAGCCCTGGCCTGGGGGCTCCTAGTCTAAGGGAAGAGAACTGGTCCTAGCCTAGGGGACTTGGACTGAGGTGAGAGGTCCAGTTCTGTCTTGGACATCCAGACTGAGGGGAAAAATGGTGCCTAGTCTAAAGGGGGAGGCCTGGCACTGCCCTGGGTGCAGATATCCTCAGGGCAGGGCAGTCCTCCTCTTAGAGGCATCCAGCTGGTGTGGGATGCCCGGCCCTGGCCTGGGGACACCAAACCTGAGATGGGGGTACCCAGTATGTCCTGGGGGCATTAGTTCAAAGGGGAAGGACAGCCCTATCTGGAGGGGAGTTCCATCTAAAGGGAAGATGGAGACAAGTCTAATGGGGGTGACAGCCCTGTCTTGGGGTGACCCAGTAGGGCAGAGGAGAGGCGCACCTCTGCCCTGGGGGGCACCCTGCCTGAGACAGAGGCTCAGCCCTGACCTTGGGGTACTCAGACTGAGTGGGGAGACACAGCCCTGTCCTGGGGTGTGGGTGGGGATTGGGGCTCCCTGGTTGTAGGAAGAGACCAAACCCTGTCCTAGAGGGAATCCAATCTGAGAGGAGAGGCCCACCTCCACCTGGGGGGGCACCCAGTCTGAGGGGGAAGCCACAGCCCTGTTGCGGGGTGCCCAGTCTGAATGCTTCTAGGTGAGTGGGCCTCATTGGCTTATTACTTCAGAAACCTCAGTTCAGACCCTAGAGAGTGGCATCGGACATCCCTGGGGAGGAGGATGAGGGTCTGCCCTGCTGAGGTCTCCTTCCCCCAGCTAACTCTTGCTGCCCTCCCTGTCACCATCTCCCTGCGAGGCCACCCGCCTCCTGCCAGGCCACCTCTTCTCCAACCCCTGTGCAGCCTCCTCTCGTCTCCACATTGCTGTGGGGACTTTTTAAACATTCAGACCTTGTTGCTCTCCCTCTTGAACTTCCAGTGGCTCCCAGCCTGGCTCTGCAGCCCTTCAAGACTGGCCTATGCCTCCCTCAACCATTGCATGGAGCTCCACGGGTGCACCAGGCCCTTGGACAGCCTTTGGTCCTGTCCGTCATCTGGAAGGGCAGGCAGGGCTGGGTGTGGGGCTGCTCAGCAGGCACCCACACCTCCTAACGCCCACCTGAGTTTTTTGTCTTGGGCCTCCTGACCCCTCCCCTATGCCCTATGGGGTGTGTGTGGGCTGCTGGAGATGAGGTGCACTCCTGGATGCCGAGTCCGTGGAGAAGAGTAAGACGGGCTGAGCGGGAGATGGGAAGGCAGGGCAGGGCTCGTGCGGGGCTGTCTTTAGGCTGGAGCAAGAGCAAGAAGCTCGTTCAGGCCAGAGCCCGGGGTGGGCATGCTGTAGGGTCAGTCCTCAGGGTGTCGGGCTGAGGGGCTCTGTGCCACTCTGGGGCCCACGAATGGCCCAAGGTGGGAGAGGGCACGGTCCGGGGGGGTGAGTAAGGTGGTAGGTGGGTGTCAGGTGAGGACACTTAGTGACTGTCCCAGATGCATAGTGAATGGATGTGTCCCACCTTGCAGGCCCCTGCCCAGCCAGCCCTCTGGGCTCAGACTCCTGGCTCCCCACAAGTCCTGAGCCAGAGCAGGGACCCAGCCCACCCTTCACCTGCTGGCCTGGTGCTCCTACTGCAACCTCAGTCACAGAGGCATGTCAGGTCACGGGTGGATGCTAAGGCTCCTGCGTGGAGGGCTCCCTGAGTGGCCACTGGACAGCCAGGAAAGGTCCATTCTGTGGCAGGGCCGTAGGCTTGGGGGTGTGGCCAGGGACCCGAGGGATCTGCCAGCAGCCCTGGGTGGCAGTGATGGGGGCAGCAGTCAGAAGAGTTGGCCCAGAGGAGCCTGGGTCCCCCATGGGGTCTAGGTACAAGTGTGGAGAGCAGCTCCACAGCTGGCAGCAACGGAGGCTGAGGCTGGATTTCCACATGGGTCCACTTGGCTGCTGTGTGACCCCTGCAGACTTGAGCCACTCTGGGCCCTTTCTGCTGGATACCACAGGCCCCAGATCCCTCCCCATTCTGAAGTGAGACCTGAGGATTCCTCCATGACTCATGGCCCTCCCGCCACAGCTTTCCCTGGCTCCCAGCCCCACCCTCTCGGAGTGAGTCCCCAGTTTGGGCCACAGGAAGCCACACACCGCTTCCTTTTCCTTTTTCTTTTTTTTTTCTTTTTTTCCCTGTTTTTCCTCTTGGCCCCAGCCCTGAGTGGGAAATCATTCAACCACCCATCTTTTGGTCCATCTGTCCATCCACTATGTCAGCAGGTCCAGCCCCCAGCGCCTGGTCACATGACTGTCTCCCACTCTTCCTGTAGCAGGGCAGGTGGCCGCTCAGGCCCAGAGGCCTCCTCGTCCAGGCCTGAGCAGGAGCCGTTGAGGAACCCATCGTCCTTGGGAGCAGCCATGGCAGGTGGTGTGGTCTCGAGGGTCTCCAGGGCTGGGGTCCCTGGCTTGGCATGGCCAGGCAGCTGAGGGTGGCCGTTGGTGGTGGCAGTGGGCAGTAGGCGGGGGCTGAGGGGCAGGCCGAGTCCCACACGGGGGCCGACATTGGTCACACTTGTGTGGGACACCATGGGGCCGTAGCTATAGCTGCTGCTCCCGCTGCGTGCCTTTCGCTTGAAGTCCAGTGCCAGTGTCCAGCGGCTCCAAGATTTCTTGATCTCAGCTTGTACCTTGGGGCAGTAAGGGTGCGGCAGTCAGGTGTGTCTCCCAACCCCAGCGATGCCCCATCCCGGCCCCTGGACACCCAGCACGGAATGAAAATGGGAATAGGGGACTCCTGGGAAACTCCAAGGCCAAGTGAAATCCCATCCTCACAACAGGGTGTTTGGCTACAGGCAGCCGACACACCCAGAATCTACAAGGCTCAAATTGCCCCAAAGGTGGCTGAGTCCTCCAATCTGGGTCACAGATAATTGAACCATGGGGCTGGGAAGACACTTGGCTATGCCAGTGACTGAAGAGTCCCCACATCCTAGCACATCCTGAACCTGCATCATCTGGAAAGACTTCTCTGCTTTCAGAATGTCCTCAGGGGTGTTCTTGGAGGAACAAAGAAATAACAGGGTGGAAGAATGGAGAAATGAGCCTTGAGGAAGCCTCTGGGGTATCTGCCCCACCCTGCCCTATGCCAACACTGTCTCCTGCTTACCTCGCCATTGCAGAAACAGTATATGATTGCGACAAAAAATCCCTGTGAAGAGGGGTGTCTCGAATCAGGCCTGCCCCCGGAACCCCTCCCACCCTCAGCCAGGCCCGGGCCAGCACTGCGCACCTGGAAGGAGTTGAAGAGCATCTCATAGTGCATCTGGACTTGCCAGAGCGTCCCTGAGACCTCGGTGTATGGTGTGGCCATGAAGACAATGTAGTGGACGCCAAAGAGGGGCATGAGCACCAGCGTGGATTTGAGCAGCTTCCTGGGCCAGCGGGGCAGGTAGGTCAGGGCCAAGCCACTTCCCCTTCAACAAGCATTGTGCCACCCCCCACCCTGCGAGCCCCAGGCTCCGGAAGCTCAAAGGGGCCCAGGGCTCCAGTCACCATGGGAGGACAACCCAGTTCACCTGCATGGCTGCTGTCCTGGCTAAGTGCTAATAGGGCCCGTTGGTTCTCAGCGGTGTCCCGGAGCGGACTTCAAATGACAGTCCCCCTGTCCCTGGGCCCTTCGCACCTGTGGAGCCCTCAGCTGGCAAGCACTCCCCTCCACGGTCGAACCTCACTATCCCACAGTCCGCTCCTCAGGTTTCAGCTGAGCTGCAGCCTTCCCGGGGCCACTCACCGCCTACCTGTTCCTCAGACCCCCTGCAACCAACTCTTTGAGGAGAGGTTCAAGTTCGTTGCACACTCACAGACTCCAGCTCTAGTGCAGGGCCTGGTACAAGTGGGCAGGCTGGCTTTGGGGTGCCCTAGGGCCTCCCATCACTGCTGGGCAGGCCAGGTGGGTGAGGACAGCCAGGGAGTCAGACGCTGGGTCCTTTCCCTTGCCCCAGGATCATTCATGGGGCCACTGTCTTTCCTGGGGTACATGGTACCAGGACTCAGGGACCCCTGAGGAGCCAGGGCATGGCAGGCATGGTGGGCTCACCGGTACTGCTGCCGTGTGTCACACCGGCCGGCGTTGGTCTCCCGCAGCTTGGTGGCGAGCACCCGGACGATATTGATGAAGAGGATGAAGTTGAGCTGTGGGAGTGAGGGGGCTGCGTCTGGAGGCTGCACCCTAGTGGGGCGGGGCAAGGCCTGGCAGCCACGGCCATAGGCTCTGCTCTGTCACTGCATCTCTGGGTGGCTCCTTGAGCCCTTGGTTTTCCTTTCTGGGCTGGAGTGTGGATCAGCTGGTCCTCCGGCCTCTGTAGCTCTGACACTGGGGTCCAGGGAAGCCTCCTAGGTCCCTGTCAGGGGCTGGTTCCAGGGGACGCAGGCGCACATCCCACCCACCCCTGTGGCCAGCAGCCCACCCCTGCTCACCACAATGGAGGCCAGGATGGGCACCTGGATGATCCACTTTTTGTTCCCGGAGCTCAAGTCCCAGCACCTGGGGGAGGTTGAGGCATTAGCTCCCATCCCTCCTGTTCCCATCCTAAGACTGCCCACAGAGACCCAGATTTGGTCTGGTCTGACATTAGCTGTTGAGGACACAGGGCAGGGGTGCTGGGTGTGGCCAGGCCTGAGGCCTCCCTCACAGGCCTCTTTGGAAGTAGCCTCCTGTGACCCTGAGGGTGCTCCTGGCTTGAGGCTGGACTGAGAACTCCTGAGGCTGGGCCGTTTGAGGCCAGGGTACAGGAGGCCCTCTCACATGCTTCCTGGAAGAAAAGGGACCCAGGGGTGCTTCTTGCCTGGGCCCCTTCTCCACCTGGACCTACCCGGTGTTGGCCAGGGTAGCTCTGACACTGACCCACACAGCCACGAAGACAGCGGGCAGACCTGTGGGCACAGAGGGGGACAGTGTGCAGGACTGTGGCTGCTGTCCACAAGGTCATTCCCCCCTCATCCTCGATGACCCCCAGCTTACCCCACCATTGCCCTGAACCCCTGACACTGGGCACTTGGTCCACTTGGTGACAGAGCCACACTCTGCCATGTGGTGCCCTAACAGCTTCCCCTTGGGGCTCCAGCCCTCAAAACCCAGCTCAGCCTCTGCCCTCATCTTGGCTCCATGTCATATGCACATATATGGGGTACAAGGCATAATATAATAATAAGGTATCACTAACTGATCCATGCCCTGTCCACTCCCTCTGCAGAGGGCACTGCTTTGGACTTGCAGCTCCCATGGGGAGACAGCCTATTTTCCGCATTTTTTTTTGCCCCAGCACAGCACCCCCCACAACCTGGTTTGAAAGGTCCTAGCCCTCGTGGATGAGACTGGATGGGGTGAGAGGTTTTGTCCCAAGCAGAGGCCACAGGGAGACCTCGGTGTGTCAGTATGTCCTGGCCTGCGCCAGCTCAAGGGGCACATGGTATATTTGGGTGAGCTGTGCCTCTGGGAAGGGAGCCCCAGGTCCTCCCCGACCACATACCACCAACTTGACTCTAGGCCTGGTACACCCTTGGAGGGATAGGGTATGACCTGGCTTTACGGTAAGAAAAAGAGCTGTGACATTCCTGTGCCCCAGGATTCTATGCACTCCCAATCTGCATGTCGCCAGTCCACTAGGACACCTCCTAGCCCCAGAGCCTGCATCTGTTCCTGGGACTGGGCCCAGGTCTCCCCAACTCTGGGGCTTGTCATGGTGAGGTCAGGGTCAGGATGTATGTCGAGGGGCAGGGAGGCGGTGGCTGTTGACCTGTGGGCCTCTGGGTGCTGAGTGCAGAGAGGGCTCCAGCCACCCGGCCCACCCCTCTGCAGTCTGGCCAGTTGTCCCGGAGCCCAGCCAAGCTCTGCAGCTGCCAACAATAATGGACAATTATCGGTAACTGGATCCCAGAGCCTGTGGGGGGCTGGGAGGAGTGCGCAGCTCCAGCAACCCATTCTGCAGAGGTGCTGTGAAGCTCAGGTGATGCTGAGGTGCTGGGCCCACGGCTCTGGGCCATGGACCCCGCAGGCCTGCTGAGGCTGGCAATGGTGTGGGCAGCCCCGCGCCCCATCCCAGCAAGGGGACTGGTGGGGTAATAGATGCTGGCCTAGTCCATGGGGCTCAGGGTAGAGGGAGGGTCCCGGATCCCAATTCCAGCCCCAGGCTGACCTCTGACCCAGTATCCTACTCTGATCCTGAGCTGAATCTTGGCCTGATGGTTCCTCCTTTCCCTCTCCTGGGCCGAGCCTCAATTCAGGTGAATCTAACCTCAGGTGAACCTGATCCCTGGCCAAGCCCTGCTGTTTCCTGAGCCTGGAATAGGGTCAGGATCACAGAAGGGCGGCAGGCCTCTCTCCTGCTGTTCCACTTGGGGCGGGATGTGCTGTGTGGGCGCCTCCCCCCAGGGGCTGCCCTCTCCCTGTCACCCACGGTCCCACCCCTGCCGGCACCTCGCTACCCGCTGTGCCCGCGTACCCCAGCCGAAGACTGTGAAGCCCCACAGGTACTTCTTCTCTGAGAAGAAGGCCATGAAGATGAGGCTGTGCAGGTACAGCCCCTCCACCAGAATCCAGTAGTAGTTGGTGGCCAGGAAGTAAAGGAAGAAGGTCACAGCCACCCTGCAGCCCGCCTAAGAGACCAGCTGGTGTTAGTCAGAGGGCAGGGCCTGCCTCCGGGAAGTCAGGGCTGGGCTGGGGGGCTGGGGCGGCAGGAGAGGACAAGTGGTGCCGGCCAAACAGGCCAGGAAGGGGCAGGCTTCGTTTGGGGGGCTCTCTCAGGGGGATGCGGTGTCAGGGGCAGGAGGCAAAGTGAAGAGGTAGAGTGGCTAGAGGGTACTGGGTTGAGGTAGGAGCCTTGATGGCAGCGCGGGGCGTGTGGGACACTCGGAGCCCTTGGCAGCAGGGTCGGCGGCAGAGCTGAGGGTTGCGAGGGACCCTATAAGACGGGTTTGAGTGGCTGAAGCCAGTGGCGCTGGCAGGAGGCGGGCAGGGCGAGGGCCGGGCTGGAGCGGGGCGGGGCGGGGCCCCACGAGGCCAGTGGCGGCACCGGGAGCGGGCGGGCAGAGGGGTACTCACGTAGCCGGCAGCGGCGGTGGCAGGCGGCGGGGGCGCCTGGGCGATGGCGCGCAGCTCCTCCTCGGTGAGGCGCTCAGCCTCATCAAGCGTGGCGCCAGAGTAGAGCACAGCGTCCTTGACGAAGATGCTCACGGCGCGCAGCATGAAGGACAGGAACAGGTGCATGTGGATGTAGTTGCGCGTGCAGTGCAGCCGCCTGCGGGGCGCGCGACATGACCGTGGGTGGGGGCACGGGGACGCGCGGTGGGTGGACAGGAAGCTGGGTTGTGCGCCGTAGGTAGGGACACCCGCCGGGGGTGATGGGTGCAGGGAGGGGGTCGCATCAGACCTCGGCCACCGCCCCCCCTCCACCATGTCCCGCCGCCTCTCGCCCCGCCCCGCCCACCTAAAGTAGGCCAGGATGAGCACAGCTACGGTGAGGGACGCCAGGGACACGGAGTAGCCCACGGTGTAAATCATGCCCAGGCGGTCAAACACCTCCTGTGCGGGGCGGGGGGAGACACAGTCAGAGCCCTGGGACCCAGGGAGAGCATCAGGGTAAGAGCAAGAGGCCAGGGTAAGGTTGCTGGAGGAGTCAAGGTCAGGGGTCAGGGCTGGGTCAGGGGTCACCCGTGGGGTGGGAGTGAATTTATCCTGGTCAGGTTGGGGAGGAGAAAGGCTCGCACCCGTTCACGAGTCTCATTGGTGAGAAATTTGACACACTCGCTGTAGTTGGCCCACGTCCTGTTGTGCCCAGGCACCAGCTCCCAGCTGCCATTGCGGTCACAGCGTCGGTAGGCATGGCCTGCAGGTCCATGGGAGGTCAGGGCCGGCAGGGAGGTCTCGAGGCACTGAACCCCTAGCTCCAAGTCTCAGCCTCCTTGTAATCCCCACCCCTTCCAGCAGGCCTCACCTTTGTGATTGAAGTCATAAATGTAGTCCGGACAGGGCACAGCCACCACCTCACCTGGTGCCCCCAGCGGCCAGCACAGGATGTGGTCCCATTCCGGCAGACAGGGGCGCCCTGTGCCCAGAGACAGACAGGGTAGGGGATACCAAGGGAGAGTCAAGGCCATGATTAGTGACCCAGAAGGATGAATACATCTGTGGTTTGTTTGTTTTTGTTTTTGTTTTGTTTTGTTTTTTTGAGACGGAGTTTCGCTTTTGTTGCTCAGGCTGGAGGGCAATGGCGTGATCTCAGCTCACTGCAACCTCCGCCTCCCAGGTTCAAGCGATTCTCCTGCCTCAGCCTCCCGAGTAGCTGGGATTACAGGCATGCGCCACCATGCCTGGCTAATTTTGTATTTTTAGTAGAGATGGGGTTTCTCCATGTTGGTCAGGCTGGTCTCAAACTCCTGACCTCAGGTGATCTGCCTGCCTCGGCCTCCCAAAGTGCTGGGATTACAGGCATGAGCCACTGCACCCGGCCCATCAGTGGTTGTTGGTTCCTGCAGGGACAGGTGTGCCCCAAGCAGGAAAATTCAGGCTTTGGAGCACTCTGGAGAAAATGTATTTCTGTGGGCTGTACCCACCTCATAGAATTTACTATGGCCTCTGCGATACAGGTACTGGCACTGGCCCCATTTTCCAGATGGGCTGACAGAGGCCAAGAGAGGTAGGCAACTTGCTGAGGTCATACAACACAGGGCCCTGTCCTCTTCAAGTGCTCAGCCCCAGGCCAGGCCTCTCGCCTTTCTCTCTGCTCTTGGAACCACCTTCCAGGTGTCTCTGAAGAAGGGCAAGTACCCAGACTAACTCTCCCTCAGCTGGGAGGCTCCCTGTGTGCCCCTTCCCCTGGGATCATGGACAGGAGGCAGGAGGTCTGGTTTCTAGTGCCAGCTGGACTCCAAGGAGCTGCTGACCTCACGCAGGTGTCCCAAGTCTTTCTATTTCCATTTCCTCATTGGGAAGTTGGGATTAACCACATTGGCCCATGCTTCTACCACCACTCAATGCCTGCCCTGAGTACCTGCTGTGAGACTCCCACGGCCACTGCTGGGGGAGATCGATTCCCCAAATCTAAGTGCTAATGGTGGGATTCAAAGTAGGGTGACATCCCACTTTGGAGCCCCAGCCTCACTGCAGGGAGGCTAAGTGACCTTGGAGGGTCCCCAGCCTCTGTATCTTCCACATTCCACTCCCAGCTTGCAGCCCCCTTCTCTCCCTCTGTAGGGCTCCAACCACAGGACTCTCCAGCCACCCTGGAAGGCTGCCTTGATGGCTGGACCCGCCCTGGCTTGGTGAAAGGCTCTCTGTCCTGGGCGCCATATTCCCAGCCCCACCCAGCCAGGCCCACAATTCCCTCTGGTCCCCAGGGAGCCACAGGGTGACCACAGCCTCCCAGATGTGGCCCATCTGGAATCTGCTGCCCACCCGGCCGGCTGAAACCGGCCCTGTGGCCAAAGCCTGGGCTCTGTCTGCCTTTCCTCATCTGCTTCCCTCCCTTCTCTTCTCCCCTCCTTGTCCCACTGCCTCTGGCCCCACCCTCTGCCACTGCCCTCCTCTCCTTCTCTATTTCTGTGGCCCTATCCACTATGTGTCCCCATGTACCTCCTCTGACACACTGAGCCCAGACTTCAGTGTGTGCCTCCTGGTCCCCTCTATCTCTGTGACTGTCTCTCCCTGCCTCTGTTGATCTCTGTCTCCATGCCTCTCCCCGTCTTTCTCTGTCACTATCTGTCTGTCTTTGTGTATCTCTCCCTGCCTCTCTGTCCCCCAGGGTTCTCTGTCATCTCTCTTTCTCTCCATGGGTGGGACCGTAGCCCTGGGTCCACTCTTGGTGTGGTGCTGGAGAGTTCTCTGTTCATCTCTTTCTGAGGCCTGAGCCATCTAGCTCCCCTTCCTTCCCACTACACTCTGTCTTCTCCCAGCCCCTTGCCTGGGGATGTGGCTGCAGCCTTTTACTTTCTATAAGAGCCAAGAAGCATGAGCTCACATCAGAGGGACAGTGCAATGGGGGTGGGTGGATCCAAGCCCATGCCAGCTGGATGCATGGAAGCAGAGACGTACCTCGGTACCTGCTGCCAGTGGGTGCCTCCTTGTCCTCCTCAGACTCAGGGTAGAGCTTCCCAGATGCCTTATCTTTCCTGGGCTTCCCTGATGTGGACGCAGATGTCCATCCCTTGTCTGATTCCATTATGCTGGCTGGAGAAACCAGGGTGGTAATGATGGCTGTCAGCTGTGCTACAACAGGAGACCCAGGGTACTCTTTGGCCTCAGACTCCCCCTTTGTACAATGGGGGGGTTGTCTCCTGCCCTGGTGACACCTAGGCTGTTGGGAGATCTGAGACGATGGGTGAGGAGGTGTTTAACAAAGTGTAAAGTGCTTGCCAGGTGAAGTAATAAGAGGAGGTGGAGATTGTCCCCCAGGGTTGGAATGGGAGTGCAGGATCAGCTAGTGGGGTGAGCACTAAACTGGGCAAGACAGAGCAGAGGTGGTATCCTCCCACCCAGGAGTCAGGAGTGGGTGGGGGCCAAGGCCACGCAGCAGTGAAGGCCCCACCAGGGGGCGCACGGTGAAAGCAGACAGAGTGGGTGATGTCAATGGACAGGTTACATAGCGAAAATTAAGTCTGGCCTGAGTGCTGTGCAGGTAAAGAAGCTGGTGGTGAGAAGACAAGAGCAAGGTGGTACAGTCAAGAGTGGACAGAGAAGACCACCCCATCCCCTGCCCTGGATCCTCAAGTATGTGGTTCACAGCTTCCACAGTGGCCGTTGAGATGCCTAATCTGAGATGGAGCCTGGCCTCTCTTCTCATTGGAGAGATGCTGGACGTTTTTTTTTTTTGTTTGTTTGTTTTTTTTGTTTTTTTTTTTGAGACAAGGTCTCCCTCTATCGCCCAGCCTGGAGTGCAGTGACATGATCACAAATTACTGCAGCCTCAAATTCCTGTGCTCAAGTGATCCTCCCACCTTAGCCTCCCCTATAGCTGGGACTACAGGTGTGCACCACCATACCTCGCTAATTTTTAAATTTTTTTTTTAGAGATGGGGTCTCACTATGTTGCCCAGGCTGGAGAGGTCTTTCTTCCTAGCCACAAAGTCTTCCTCATTTTCTGACTTGTATTCCTTCAGCCACCGCCCAAGCTAGGCCCCCCTGGTCCTTACATGTCGGGTCTGTGGCAATGATGGGAAGCTGAGTCCAAGCAGCCTGGACTGGGATGAGAATGACTGTGCTCATTTTCCTGCCTCCACCCTCGGGCCTCAGTGTGGGGATGTGGGTAGCAGGGTGGGGTACAGTAGGAAGCGAGAGGCTCCATGGTGGATGATGAGGGGCAAAGAGAGGCTCCTCCAGGCTTTCACAATTAAGAAGAGGGGCTGGGTTCAGGACCCAGAATGAGGGGGCCCATCTGACCCCCCAGATCTCGATGTGACTGGGAGCCACTGTTGGGGCTGGCATCGGTGGGGCTGTGACTGCAGAGACCATGTGAGTCTCTGTGAGTGTGAGCAAAATCTGTGTGCCACAGAGTGTGTTTGTCATTGTGTGCTTGTGTTCTGGGCGATCACCAGCCTCAACCCCTGCAGAACCCTAAGGGCTTGTCAGGGGAGGAAGCGGCTCCTCTCCTTCAGTCAGTTGGGGTCTGGGCCTCTTCAGTTGATGAGATTAACCCGACAGCTATCAGTCTGAGTGCTGGTTGTGGGCAACACAGGGACCTGAGCTCGAGACTTAGGACAAGCCATGGATGCCCGAGCCTGCTGACTCCACTCTTGCACCACGCACCCCACTTTGGTTCTCACTTTGGCCTGGCCCCCTTTACCTAAGTCCGCCCCCACAGAGAGCCTTCACCTGGCTCTGTATCCTGGGTCCCGCCCTTGACTGGCCCCTCCCTCACCTGACCTCATCCCCAGACCCTCTTCCTTTGACCCCCACCTGGCCTCTGCAGGACCTCCTTGAGCCGTTTTTCGCACTGGGCCTGAGCACGGTGCAGCAGGAAGATCTGTTCCTCTTTAGTCATGACGTCATCTGCATCCACCTGCCAAGCCGAAGGTCAGACCACAGGCAGGACTTTCCGGCGCAGCAGCAGGTCCCAGAGACATCCCAATTTCCCAGAGGGACTACCCCCTTTCAAAAGGCCCTGACTCTAGAGGGAAGGTGGGATTTCCCCTGCATGTGGGGAATCTGCTCTATGGAGCTCACACCTTACAGATGGGAAGCTGTGGCTCTGAGGGGTAGGGCCTGCCTGATCGAAGGGAAAAAGCAGGGGCTCTCTCCTGCCTGCCCGCCAGTAACCCTGTAGGCTGCAGTCACTGATATTCTCTGTCCAGTCCTTTCCCCAGGGGTACATGGGACTGGAATGGAATGTCCCAGGATGGATCCACACAGGATCCTGGCTGCCTGCTGGGGACATGAGTCGGGGGCAGGGGGTGGATAAGGAGTGGTGAACTGTGGGGAGACAAACCCAGCCTGGAGTCCTTCAAGTCCTGGCACCCTGGGGGGTCTTGGGAGTCACCAGTTTCCATCTTGGCCCAGCTCCCCAGTCAATGCTGTCCCCAGTGAACGGTGAGTGCCTCAATGCCTCCCCTCCTTACAATCCCAAGAGAGAGAAAGAGAGGATGGAGGAACTGTTGGCATGCGGCCTGGGTTGGGCTGGGCACTCTGGTGCTGGCTGGGGGTGGGAGTCCCTCTCATTCCACTGCTTATCTGGGAGCTCCCTCCATCCAGACTCGGAGTTCTGATGACACTCAGGCCCTCACTCCTGCTGTTCTCTGCCTGGAATGTCCTTTCCCTTCCCTCCAACCTGCACACCCTGGGCCCTGGCTGCCACCCACCGGGACTCACTGGCCTCATTATAAGAAAGGAAATGAAATATCATGCGGGTGGAGGCTCACCCAGAGCAGGTGGCTGCTGAGGGGTCTCAGCCTCTGTCCTCTGACTTGGGAGCAGCCTGGTGTGCCTAGCCCAGCCATTCCCGTGAATGTGACCCGCAGAGGTTAAGGCGGTCTCTGAAACCTCCCCAGGGCGGGGCTGTGAAGCCCTCAGCCCCATCCCTCTTAATTCAGGGTCGTGTTTCCTCAGACCCCTGGGCAGGGGTATGTCCCCTGAGACGACCCCCTCCATCCCTACCCCAGAAGGCTACGTCTCCTCAGCTCCGCGGCAGAGCTGCATCCTTCAGACGCGCCAAGGCGGGGCCGGGGCCCTGCAGTCCGAGCATGGCTGTGAAGGGCGGGAGGACCCAGAGGAGGCAGGGGAGGAAGAAGGCGGGTCGGGCATGGGGCGGGCACCGGCGAGAGGGGCGGGCAGGCCGGGTCAGAGAGCCTGGCTGCAGGGAGAAGTTAATTGACCGCGTCTCTTGGCGGCAGCAGCGAGGGCTTCCAGGGCCAAGGAGTCTCCAATTGGCTCGGCCGGCCTTGGGTTCTGCTGGTTCCACTTAGCGGAGCCGCGTGCGCGTCCCTGTGCGTGCGCGCGCGAGTGGCAGCGCATTCTCGAGTGGCCGGCGCGTGCACTTGTGTGTGCCCGTCCGTGCGCGTTCTCACATGGAGACTGTCCAGCCTGTCAGTATGGGACGCGAGCCGGACGTGTTTGTGAGCATGCACGTGCACATGTATTTCTGGGCATAGGGCGGCGTGTGTGCGTCTGTGAGTGAGGCGGCAGCTCCTTAGCCTTTGCGTCTGTGGGTGGCCCGTGCTTCTGGTGTCTCTGGGGGCTGAGGTGGACCCTGAGATCTCCGCTGGTACTATGGACCCCAGGAAGGGCTGGAGCAGATCCTCACGTGCTGGCGGCTGGCCTAAGCTCCTCTATCCTAGTCTCTTTGCTTCCCCAGCTATGGCTGAGCTGGCTGGGGCAGAGGTAGACACAGAATGATGGGATGGCTTAAGGGAGGACAAGTTGGACTTGCCAGGATCCAGGGGCCTCCAAGACTAACCTGAAGCTCTCCCTGTGCCTCTGACATGGGGGATCCATGCTGGTGAGGGGGCTGATCCCTGTCCACCTCACTCCATTTACAGCACCCATTAACTACCATTTCCATCGTTGCTGCTAGTACCTCCATCAATAACCATCATTACTGTCACTAACACCAACACCAGCATCACCAGTCCCTCCCAGTACTACCACCACCACCACTGGCATCACCGTTACCACCATGAGCACTACTGTAACCATCCATATAACCACCATCACCACCATCTGCACCATCACAACTGGTACATCACCAGCACCAGCACCACTGCCACCACCTCCAGCATCACCAAGGCAACATTAGCACCATCAGCAATACTGCCACCTGCCCAACAACTACCATCTACACTGCCTTTGCCATCTTGTTGTCTTACCCCCTCCCCACTATCCTTCTTCTTCTGCCACCTCCACCCCTCTCAAGACAAACCCATTGTGCTGTATTTTCTCCAGCTGATGGAGAGCTCTGGAGTGACTGACGGAGGCTCCCACACATCCTTAGAGACTTGCTGACTCCCTGGGCCTCCCAACAGACAGACCAGCCTACTGATATGACTGGGGGTCACCCCTGATGGCCTAGACTGCAGGCAGGCAGTCATGGGTTGAAAACTGAGTGGCCATTGGGCAGCCTGACCACCGAAAGCTGACCAACACACCCCTCACTGGCTCAAGGAATTGGCTCAGCCTCTACCTCCAGCTGTTGGCTTCACCTTCTCCATGGCCAGGAGGAGGCACACCCCTTTTTCTGGAGTTGGGATGTTCAGGAGAGGGAAAGATATGTGCTTCCAGCACGCATGACTCCCACACTCCTTCATTCATCCATAGGGGTGGTGGCCCCACCTCTGGCCTCCCTGAACTTTAGGACCTATTTATCTGTTAGCACAGCCATTGCAACAAGAATAACTCATGTTAAAGTTAAGGAAGCACTTTCCCAAGAAGAGGAGGACAACCCCACACCAAGTGCGCTACCCCTCCAAACGTTAGCTCACAGCTCCGTGCCTGGAATGCCCCCACTCCTGTTCACTCCTCCCTCCAGCTGTGCCCTCCTCTTCAAGGAGATTCTGCCACCAGCCCCACAATGTGAATCCCACCTCCACCCTTGACTAGCTTCGTGTCTGAGAAAGTTGCTTAACCCGTGTGCCTCAGTTTTCCTGTAAAATCAGGGTAATAATAGGGCTGTTGTTGGCCCGGCACGGTGGCTAACACCAGTAATCCCAGCACTTTGGGAGGCCAAACCAGGTGGATCACCTGAGGTCAGGAGTTCGAGACCAGCCTGACCAACATGGAGAAACCTTGTCTCTACTGAAAAATACAAAATTAGCTGGGTGTGGTGGTGCGCCTGTAATCCCAGCTACTCGGGAGGCCGAGGCAGCAGAATCGCTCAAACCTGGGAGCGGAGGTTCCAGTGAGCCGAGATCGCGCCATTGCACTCTAGCCTGGGCAACAAGAGCGAAACTCCATCTCAAAAAAAAAAAAAAAAAAAAAAAAGCTGCTGTGAAGATTAAATGAAGTACTTCACAACAAGCCTGTGCAGGGGTGAAGCTCAGGAAAAGCTGGTTGCTATTGTTGATACTGTGAGCAGCAGCAGCAGCAGCAAGTCACATCCCCGCCATGTGCACCCCTGCTGCCTGGTGACATGGGTGCTCCCAGCCAGGCCAGGGACCCAAGGTGGCTGGGGGAGATTATCTGGGTAGATGGCTGAGTCCAGCAGGTGACAGTGAGGGGCAGATGGGAGATGGGGCCCCAGGGTGGACTGGGGGCAGGGACTACAGGAGGACCTGCTAGATAAGGTGTTCCTGGCAAGCTTTTGGGATGGAAGAGTATCCCAATGGCTCCTTGCATTTCTGGATCCACTCTGGACTTACATTAGGATTCAAGGTTACTGCCAGAGGCCCCAAGCTTGAGCTTAGGAGGAAAAAGGACCCCCTCCTCTGCCTCTGCCCTGACTGAGGAGGCCTTATCTCCTGGGGATGAAGGGGAAATGCTGACAGCTGTATCTCTTCTCAGCCTGGCATGCCCCCTGTCTGCTACTCCCTTCTCCCCGCCCCTCCAACCCTCTCTCCCTTGAGGAGTTCCTGTCTTCTTGGCTCAGCGCCAGGGTGCAGAGGACTCAGGCTTGCGTCCCCTTAGATCCAGCGGATCTGCAGATCTTGGGTCTCAGGGGTGAGGACTGAGGGACTGGGGCTGGGCTGTGGCCAGGGGTCACTTAGTCCATACCCACCACTTACAGGCCACCCAGCCCTGCACCAGCTGTCCCATATCCCCCCAACACTCCTCCTATGGTCCTGATTAGGGCTGACTTGACTCCCCCAACCCAGCCATCATGGTGCTTGGCTTCAATACCCTCCACT
The DNA here is from genome assembly GCF_000001405.40 of Homo sapiens. Lineage (NCBI taxonomy): Eukaryota > Metazoa > Chordata > Mammalia > Primates > Hominidae > Homo > Homo sapiens. The sequence goes on along the minus strand of NC_000003.12, from coordinate 46,889,633 downwards.
GTAGCACATCCTCCCCATGGTCAGCAAGGAGCTTTAAAACCCATGCCTCCTGCACCTTCTACCACATCCCCATTTTACAGACAGGGACACTGAGGCCAAGAGTCACAGAAAGAGGAGGGCCAGGGATGGAGCTAAGATCTGCTTGACACTGAAGCAGCAGCCTTGGAAGAAGGGAAAGAGAGGAGGAAGTGCCCAGCCACACGGGTACCCTGGCACCAGCCACGGTATCATCTTTCCATAATCCTGGATTTTAGCTGCTACATTAAGCAAGTCTCCCTTTGCAGATCCCCTAAGGCAGCCTCCCCGAAGCCGATTTAGGAGCAGAGGTGTGTAGACATAAAGGTGCCGGTGATGCCAGTGATGGCGGCTTGTCCCCAGCTGTAACTGGGTAGAGGACAGTTGGGCTCTGGTGTTGGGAACCAGGCCGTTGATGCCTCCAGCACAGCCAGAAGGAGAAAACCCTGGCTAACAGGAGACCCCTTCATGACCTCCTGGCCTTCCTACAGCCCTCCTCCAGGTTCTACTACTGGGACCCATGCTGGCACCCCTGGATGTCTCCCGTGCCAGCTGGCTGGGACTGCTCCCCCACCCCTGCTGCCCTCTCTCTGTCCGGCTGGCCTGAGCAGGCTCCTCGTCCTGCCCCGCCACCGCTGACAAGTGCTGACTTTTCCTCCCCTTCGCCAGGCTTTCCTGAACAGGCTGCCTGTGTTTGGGGCTGGGAGGGGCTGGGGGGGAAGAGGCACTGTGACGCCTCTCATCCTGGCCAGCCAGCGTGGCCGCCTTCGGGGCAGGCAGTGGGATGCAGCCTGGGATAGCGGAGTTGGCTGCTACGACCTGGTGGATCTTCATAAGCAGGCCCTACTTGGGTTGAGGAATCAAGGCCCAGAAGAACAGTATGGCCTAATCTAAGCCATCGCCTGCTCAGCAGAATGGGATCCCACTAGGTCTCACCTCGGGCATAAGACTGGCCCCAGAGTTGGGGCTTTTAAGGGTTTGAAGGTCTCTGATGTTTCTGCAAACCTGAGCAAAAGTTTGCGCCCTTCTCCCAATCACACCGTATTTTGCAGACAATTTCAGAGGTCTGCAAAACCCTCGCCCCACCTTTTCTTTTTCCTGAGGACTCTCCTTCTGAAATAGCTGCCTTCCTGATGTGGTGGCTGGACCAGGGAGTGTCCCCAGAAGGCCCACAACAGGAATCTGAGGGAGGCTACTTGACGCCTCATTAAAACATTCCGAAGAAAACCCCAGTTCCTCGGAGGGCTCGGCACCCTCCTGCTGCTCTGTCCATAAGCCGTTTCAAGAGCTGAGGTGAATGTGTTTAAGAGCAGGTGATATAAAAAGCTTCAACAAATCAATACGAAAAAGACAAATAACCCATAGAATGATGGTTAATGGCCCCGAGCAAGCTCTCACTGTAAAGCCCAGAAGTCACTGGTAATCAGCAAATTAAAATGACAAGAGACACCATTTTCACCTATCCAAGCAAAGGTGAAACACAAAGAATCCTCTTAACATCCTATGAGACAGTGGGTGTGGGCAGAGAGGCCCTCCTGGTTGGTCTTGGTGTTGTATAAGTACAAAGCAGCACAAGCTTTTTAGAGGGCAATTTGGCCATGCTATTAAAATAAAAAATATGTATATTCTCAGGCCCAGCAATGACAAAATCTAGAAATATCCTACTAGGAAATAGTCACATGGGGACACTAGAGGGCATTTCAAGGAGCTTCCCTGCCACCATCTGGAATCACGCACATATAGACACACACACAAATTATGCAGAAATGATCTAAATGTACATTCCTATGGACTACTTAATGAGTCCCAGGTTTTGGAATACTATGCAGCATTTAAAAATATAGATTCATATTTACTGAAATGAAGATCTCTAAGACACACATTTACGTCAAAATATGTATGTGGCAGAGCCCTATCTAGAAACCGATGCCATTTATTTAAAAACAACCAGACAAATAGAAAATGACAAAATTATCTACTTGATATGTACACAAAGAGGTACCATTTGGAAACACACAGAAAGAGGAAGGAGAACGCCCCTCTACCCAAACTGCTAAAAATGGTTTTCCCTAGAAGGGAACTGGGGCTTGGGAGTGATCAAGGAGGGCTTCTGTTTAATTTTTATTGATTGACTCTCTCTCTTTTTTTTTTTTTTTTTTTTTCAGAGACAGGGGCTCACTCTGTCACCCAGGCTGGAGTGAAGTGGCATGATCGTAGCTCATTGCAGCCTTGAACTTCTGGGCTCAAGCAATTCTCCCTCCTCAGCCTCTCAAGTATCTGGGATTACAGACTTGTTTGACTCTTTTATAAGAACATATTCATATATCAGTTGTGAAGTTAAAAATTAACAAAATAACAGAAGGATTTAATTTTTTTTTTCTTTTTTACAGAGCCTCTGTCGCCCAGGGTGGAGTGCAGCAGCGTGATCTCGGTTCACTGCAACCTCTGCCTCCTGGGTTCAAGCGATTCTCCTGCCTCAGCCTTCCAATAAGCTGGGATTACAGGCACGTACCACCACGCGTGGCTAATTTTTGTATTCTTAGTAGAGATGGGGGTTTCACCATGTTGGCCAGGCTGGTCTCGAACTCCTGGCCTCAGGTGATCTGCCCGGCCTCCCAAAGTGTTAGGATTACAGGTGTGAGCCACTGCACTCGGCCATGATTTAATTTTTAAAAAAGAAAAAAGAAAGAGAAAACCCAGAGTGAGACATGAGGATCTCCTGCCAGCAGCAAATCTCGTGCTGCTTTTGAGGAAGGAATTCAGTGCAAAGGTCTAAAGATCTGGGTTCAAATCCTGCTGTGCCACAGACTCACTGTGTGACTCTCAGGGCCCTTTAGCGTAGAAATCACTGGGTGAATGGATGAAATAAGAAAACAATCTGTGACAGTTTCTAGCTCAGAATCTGGGGACAGCCACTGTTCTGTACATGTTGGCTTCTTCCTGTCTTTAAAAGCAAGCAACCGGCCGGGCGTGGTGGCTCACGCCTGTAATCCCAGCACTTTGGGAGGCCGAGGCGGGCGGATCACGAGGTCAGGAGATCGAGACCATCCTGGCTAACACGGTGAAACTCCATCTCTACTAAAAATACAAAAAATTAGCTGGGCATGGTGGCGGGCGCCTGTAATCCCAGCTACTGAGGAGGCTGAGGCAGGAGAACGGCGTGAACCCGGGAGGCAGAGCTTGCAGTGAGCCGAGATCGCACTACTGCACTCCAGCCTGGGCGACAGAGTGAGACTCTGTCTCAAGAAAAAAAGCAAGCAAGCAACATGGCCAAGCTGCCCCTGGAGCAGGCTGGAAAAGGTCCCACACACTCCCAGCCTGTGAGTCCACACCACAGTCTCTTGTGAGTCCTACCCAGTGGTCACATCTTCACACTCAAGGCCTGCCCCATGCTGAGCTCCAGCTTCTCTTGTTGCAGTTTCTCCTCCACATGTGTACATGCTGGGGGGGTCCTTAGGAGGACGCATCCTCAAGGACAAGAGTGCCCCTTTGCCTCCTACTCACAATCTGTGGGTCTATCACTTCCTCCAAACTCCACCCCGCCCCAGACTCCAGGCTCCCAGGTAACTGTTTCCTGTACAGCAGAAGATGGACCAGCTGAGTCTGGCCACAACCAGTGTCCTCCAGATGGAATGCTCTTTGGCCCCCCAAATGTGAGGTCACTGGAGATGTGAGCCTGGTCTTGGGACCAGCTGGGCAGGTAGCATACAGGTTTGGTGACCGGCCATGAGATAAGGTTGGTGGGCTTGAGGGGCATAGGTGCAGATCTAAAGGGGGGCAGTAGCCCTCTGGGCTCAGGAGAGGGAGCTGGCAGGCTGCCAGCTTCTTGCTGGCCCCAGATGAGTCCAGGGGGCCCATAGGATATTGGATGGGTGAGTAGGCTGCCCCCGCCCTTCAGTCCCAATCTTCTGGCCCCGAAGCCAGGGAGTGTCCAGTGAACTCACATGCCCCAACAAGGTCCTGGGCAGACTGAACACTGGCATCTGTCCTTCTACTCTCAGACATGGGCCAGGGCAAAGCCAGGAAGATTCTCTGCATATATCTCAGCTTCCCTGGAGAGCAGTGGGGCTCTGGGTACCCATACTCCACACACACATAGAGGCACAGGGCTTGGCATGAGATAAATAATGGTCATTGTGGTTGTGTGATTCGGGCCAGTTAAAAATGGGGACAATAACCTTCCTCTGAGGGTGGTTGGGAGGATTAGACTAGCTAATGTACGTGAATTGCTTAGAACAATGGCAAGTAGAAAGCCCTACAGAAGCATTTATGAAATACACATAAGAAAACAACAGGCCCGGGTGCACAGGCGCTCACAAAGGCACACACAAACACACACAACTGCGCCTCCAAGTCATGCACCACAACTTCAGACACGTGAACTCACACAGGGACTCAGACACTCACAATCACACAGACCCAGATGAACACCATGCCCAGAGTCCCACAGAACCCTGCTCTGACACATAGACTTACTCTCAGGACACCCACACCCATCACCCTGTCTACCCCTCAGGCCGTCACACACCAAACTCCGGGGGTGGGGTTGGTGGTAGTTCTATCCCCTGGCATTCGTCAGTACTTGGAGTGTCTCTGCAGAGGGTGTTGAGCTCCTCTGAACCTCAGTTTCCCCATCCACAAGGCCTTGTATGGGGCTGTCTTTGGTGGGGAGCCTTTGCTGGGGCCAGAATTGTGAGGGTGTAGGCACAGGTAAGTGGGAAGTGCTGAGGACCTCAGAGGAAGGGAGAGCCTCTGATGATGGGATTCTCAGGCAGATGTTTCTTCCAGGCCCTCTCTTTTACAGATGGGGCAACTGAGGCACGGAGAAGGACAGCCCAGGCTTACACAGGCATCATGCAAAGGTGGAGGAATCCCAGGCTCATTGGAACTGCCTGGAGCTCTGCCCCGTGTAGGGAGCTGCTGCTGGTCAGGAGGAGGAGGCTGCCTGACTGCCCTGCTCTCTAGCAGGCAGATACCCCCACTGGGGAGCAGGGAGAAGAGGCTTTGAAGTTAGGCGCACAGGCAGACAGCCTCCCCAGGAACGGGCTCGTCCCAGGGGATGGGGTTGCTGTGGAATAGGACTGAGGGGCTGGGACAGCCCCCTTCCCAGCAAGTGGGCCCCAGACCCTGGCCCAGGAGGAGGAGGTGCTGCCCACTCTGTGTCTCCAGCTTTCTGCCTTTGCCTGTCTCCCTATTTTTTTTGCTGTTCTTAGTCTGTCCACCCCTCCAGCTGGGGGGATCTCTCCTCCCCACCCGGCTTTGTCTCTGTCTCTCCTCTCCCTCTAGCCTTCCCTACCATTCTGCTTTTAGGTCACTCTCAGGGAGTGACAGTCTTTCCAGGGGTCTCCTCACTTCCCCACAGGATATGCTGTGCTTCTCCTACAGGGGTGCACTGTGAGGTCAGTCTCCTTCAGGGAACTCCATCCCTTCTCCATGCCACACCACACCCACCTCCTTGGGGAAACAGCTTCTACCCTGGGTGAAGCCAGACGTGTGCATGTGTGTGTGTGAGGGCTGGAGGGGGCCCCTAAATCCTACCCCCTGCCTGGATGATTCTGACCTCAGACCTACATTCCCTGTGTCCGGGACTGCAACAAAACTTGCAGAAAACAGAGGTCCCCAAAGCAAAGTCTGTGGGAGTACGCAGCAGGGCCAAAGCCCAGCCTTCTGTTGGGTCACACTGTCATCTTCCAGGGAGAAACAGCCATGGTGCTCACAGAAGCAGAGGATGGTGAAAACTCAACCACAAATTGCCAGATTTGGGACCCCAAACGAGGCTTCAGAAATAGGGAGGCTTCAGGCAGCTGGAACCCACAGTCCAGACATCCCAGAGACAGCAGGCACCCAGGATCCTGGATCAGAGGGGACTCTCACCCAAAGTTCGAACTACTGGGGGAACTCAAGACTGCGTGCCTTAGACCTATCCCGCGGACCCTAGGGTAAGCCCGCAGCCTGTCCCGGAGTGTTGGCGGCGGGGGACTCACCAGCGCGTACGCGGAGCTGAGCACGGGGCAGCAGAGCAGGAGCGCCAGGCCGGGTGCGATCCGGGCGGTCCCCATCGCCACCGCCTAGGGCCGCGTCCCTCGGGGCAGCCGCCGCCGCCGGCCCTGGTGGTGGTAGGGGGTGCAGAGCTGCGTCAGGCTGGCCGCCCCGCCCACGCCCCGGCCTATGGGACCCCGGCGTCCCGGCGGCCCGAGGCCCCGGGGCCCGGCGCGGGGCCCATGCGCTGAGGGCGAGCGAGCGAGCGAGCGAGCGAGCAGCGCAAAGGAGGGAGGGAGGGAGGGACAGGAGGGAGGGAGGGAGAGCCGGAGGCCGGGCGGGCGGCGGGCGGGCGCCGAGCGCTGCGGAGCGGCCCGTCTGCCTCGGAGCGAAGAAATCACATCCATATGGCCGGGCCCCCCGCCCCCGGCCCGCCCCCCGCCCCCCTCCCGCGCCGCCTTTTCTTTCTTTCTTTCTTTCTTTCTTTCTTTTTTTTTCTTTTGGGGAAATGGGAGCTGTGGCTTCGCCCCACGCCCAGTGGGGGGAGGGGGCGGGGGAGGGGTCGGGGTCGCGGTCTGCGGGGGGCGCGCAGGACTGTTATTTTTAGCTCCGCGACTTTCGGCGTAGGGAGTCAGGGCCGGGCAGGGGGCGCGTTCTGAGCCGCGCGGGGCGTGCAGTTAGGGGGTGCGATCTCAACTTTGCAGCCACACTGAGCCCTTAGGTGTTCCGGCCGCCAGCCCCCGGCCGTTCGGCCTCCTGAGATCCCAGACCCTCGGCAGCCGCCTCCCGCACCCCTTCCCCATCCTTGGCCAGAGCCCCGCTTGCGCCTGTGCGGCTCGGGCGCGCAGCGGCCCCGACGCTCTGTCGGTCTGCCTGTCTGTCAGTCCGTCTCTAGCTCCCCCGGCCTTGGCCTCAGTTCTTCCAGCGGCCCCAAGCTCCGTTTCGGTCACTCCCTCGCTCCCTCCCTCCCCCTTTTCTCTCTACGAAAACATTTGCAAGTTTCCAAAAAAGCCACCGAGCCGAGCGGCGCGGGGCTGGCGACTCCCCCGGGTTCCGAGGAGGCGCCGCCGACTGACACCGAGACAGAGCAGCCTGGCTGCTCCGGCCAGGCCCGGAGTCGCTCCTCCCCGACTCCGGCCACTTCCCCTCGGCGCGGGTCCCCAGCCCCGACTTACTCCGAGCGCGCCGCCGCGGCCCCCGCCTTGCCATGGATGTCGGGGCCCCCCCGACAGCCTCCCCAAGCCAGCGCCCCGTCCGCGGCCCCGGGGGGACTTCATGGAGCTCTCGGGATACCCCCCGCTGGCCGGCCTGGCCTCCAGCGCCCCCCGCCCGGCCGCCGCTCGGAGCCACCGCCCGCCGCGCGCATCCCTCGCCTCGGCGTCTGCCGCTCCCCTTCTCCCCGGCCGGGCGCCTCTTCCCTCCCCCGCGCCCTCCCGGGCCTCTCCCGCCCCCACCCCCTCCGCAGCCGCCGACGCGGGAGTGTGGAGAGGCCGAGAGGAGCCTTCCGCCCCCCGCCCCGGGACATTGCGCTAGAGGCCGAGGCCCGGAGTCTTACGGCGGCGGGATGTGAGTGCTGGGGAGACGGGGCGGGGGCAGCTGTAACATCGAGACCCGAGCAGGGAACCCGGGACGCCGCCGCCGCTTCATTCTCTTCTGGAAAGCACGGGCTTTTAAATTTTTTTTCCCTTGATCATCCGGCCCCCGCTGGCGAATAGAGACCCTGAGCCGAGAAGCGAGCCCTCTTTCATCATGGGCGAATCCCCTGAGGAGGCTGCCCGGTACCCCCGCGCGCCCCCGGCCGCGACGCTGTCAGTCCACTGGGCTCCCGTTCGGGCCGGGTCGGGGTCCCTGGGGAGGCCGCTCGGCTGCCAGCCCCGAGCCCGGCTTGGCTGCTGCCGCCCTCCCCCACGTCCAGCCCCACCCTCGCCTCGTCCCCTGCCCTCAGTCCCATCCCAGGCCTGTCGTTCCTCTCGGCCCTAGGCCAGCCCCGACCCCCGCCCAGGTCTGCAGCCACACATCCCGCTCCCTCCCTGCCCAGCGTCTCTTCGGGTCCGGGTCTCCGAGTCTCGACCCATTCAGCTGCTGGCCGGGCCTCTCCAGCTTGCCCAGCCCCAACCCCGGAGGCTCGAGGCTGCCAGACCTGGGGCTCAATCCAGACACCCACTCTCAGGCTTCACCTCCCTCCCCCGTTCCCACCCCCACTCCCAAAAGCTATCGGCCGGCTCGGACCGGGCCGCCTGGGACCCTCGACTTAGGGGAAGGCAAGGAGGAGTCCGCGGGGGTTGGGGCTGAACGGGGCGGGATTTCTGTGTTTGGCTGGGGAGGGCACGCTGGAGCTCTAAGAGGAGGGGCCCTTCGACCCCAAACCTACCACCTCCCGGTACCAAGTGGGGAAACTGAGGCAGAGGGAGGGGCTGGGGATGCCTGGAGCGCAGGGCTTTAAGGATCGCGGAGGAAGCGAATGCATGAGGCCCTGGGAAATGAGTCTGGGCTAAGCAACAGCCTGTGCTTGCCCGCTTACCAGTTGTGTGTCCTGGACACTACCACTCTTCGGCTGTCTGGACCTCAGTTTCCTCATCTGCAAAATGGAGAGGTTGGCCAGCTGATTCAAGGGCAATGTTAACTTTACTGTTTAGTTTCCACGAGGGTGGGCATCCTGGCCCATGGGCTCCAGGGGCTCTCAAGACTCAGCCTGTGGATATTGAGCTCCTCGGAGCCTGCAAACCTGCCCTCCAACCCTCAGTGCAAATCTGTCAAGCCCAAGTCCTAAGGCCTAGGATCCAGCTGCAGCCACCCTTCTGCTGGCTCAAGCCCATCCAGCTTCCAGACTGCACTCCCAGGTGCATTCCCCATGTATTTCTTCTGCTGCTACTTTCTTCTTCTTTCTTCTCCTTCTCCTTCTTCTTCTTCTTCAAGACAAAGTCTCACTTTGTCACCCAGGCTGGAGTCCAGTGGCATGATCTCTGCTCACTGCAACCTCCGCTTCCCAGGCTCAAGTGATTCTCCCAAGTAGCTGGGACTACAGGTGTGTACCACCAACCTGGCTAATTTTTGCATTTCTTGGTAGAGACGGGGTTTCACCATGTTGACCAGGCTGGTCACGAACCCCTGACCTCAAGTGATCCACCTGCCTCAGCCTCCCAAAGTGCTGGGATTACAGGTATGAACCACCAGCCTTGGCCCTCCCCATGCATTTCTATGGCTGCCTCCCTTCTCTGTGCCCACTGCCCTCATTTCTTTTTCTGGTGTTCAAGGGCTGTGCTATTTGAGACAGTTTCCTCCAAAAATGACTCTCCCTAACAGGAACTGTCTGCTAGACTCCTGGTCTTCTTCACACATCCACTCTCCTGCCTTTGTCCTTGCTGCTTCCTCTGCCAGGATCATACTCTTCTGCCTGGTGTAAAGGACACTCCCCTCCCTCCTTGTGTGCCCACATCCTCCGTTACTGGGGAGGGAGGTTGTGATTTCAGGGCTGCCTCCTATGGTATGTAGCCTCCTTGGGACGGAGGCCCAGGTGCCAGAATGGGCACCTAAAGAACACTTGTGGTTCTTCAGTGTTATATTTTAATGGTCTCAGCTTTATTATGCCTCTGTTTCTTTTCTTTTTTGAGACAGGGCTGTTGGCCAGGCTGGAGTGCAGTGGTGCGATCTCGGCTGACTGCAACCTCCACCTCCCGGGTTCAAGCAATTCTCTGGCCTCAGCCTCCTGAGTAGCTGGCATTATAGTTGTGCACCACCACGCCTGGCTAATTTTTGCATTTGTAGTGGAGATGGGGTTTCTCCATGTTGGCCAGGCTGGTTTCAAACTCCTGGCCTCAAGTGATCCTGTCTCGGCCTCCCAAAGTGTTGAGATTACAAGCGTGAGCCACCACACGCAGCATTTTTTTTTTCCCCAGACAGGGTCTTGCTGTGTCACCCAGGCTGGAGTGCAGTGGCACGGTCATGGCTCACAGCAGCCTTGACCTCCTGGGCTCAAGCAATCCTCTCACCTCAGCCTCTCATGTAGCTGGCACCACAGGCATGAGCTACCACACCTGGGTAATTAAAAAATTTTTTTTTTGTAGAGACGAGGTCTCACTTTGTTGCCTAGACTGGTCTCCAACTCTTGGGCTCAAGCAGTCCTCCTGCCTCGGCCTCCCAAAGTGCTGGGATTACAGGCATGAACCACCGCACCTGGCCTATGCCTCTGTTTCTAAGTGTCTCTAAGTTTTATGGTTCTGTGACCACTGATCTTCCACCCTGCTTTCCCCCTTGGTGATGAGAAAAGAACATTAATGGAGGGATTGGAAGGACTGAGAGATAAAACTAGAGGCTGAGGGGAGGAGTTCTTTTCAGATCTGACACCAGGGAAAACTTGAGATTTGGAAACATACTACTTGTACTTGGGAGGATGAGGGTGGGCTGTGGAGAGGGCTGCAGAGAGGAATCTGATGGGTGCTGGGTCCCTTAAGGGCATTCCTCCTGCCATAACTCATGTGCCTCACCCCAGAGTCCCCTGCTGGACATTCCACAGCTGTGGGTGGGGCCACAGATCATCTCTCTCACCCTCGGGCCTCTGGTTAAAGTGCTACCATGAGGGTGGGGGTGTCACACATTAACTGGTAGCACCCAAGCACCTGGCAGAGTCAGCTTGCCCTTTTTGACAAGCACGCCCCAGGGGCTCAGAGTCAGTTTCTGGTTAGTGTCAGGTCAGTGTTAGTTTCAATGGGGTTTGAAAAGGCCTGGCTGGGGGTGGGGAGTAGGAGTGAGTCCCTGTCTCTAATCCCCAGGCTGGGGCCTAGGAGGAGGAGCCAGGGTGGTCACTGGATCTCAGAACTGCAGTAGGGGCCAGACTCTGGCCCCACCCCTGCTGGTGTGGCAGCCCCAGGCTGACAGGCCTCTGCTGCAGCCATCCCACCGTGAGTAGGGCTCTGGCCAAGGTACACAGACCCTGGGGCCAGGGTGGGCATCAGACACCAACAAGCAAGGCAAGAGGCTCAGCTGTCTGAGCAATGCAGCCTGGCCTTCCTCCCTCAGAAAACCCCTTGGCCAGACCAGGGGTTCTCTGGGACTAATGGCTCACATCTATTTCTGAGTCCTTATATTTCCCCAGTGCTTCATCCCAACACTAGCCCCAAAGTCAGGCTGCATCCAAGCTTAGCCCTGATCCCAGACTGAGCTCTATCTCCATCATGAGCCCCAGCCTCAGGCTGAGTTCTTATCCCAGTCTGATTTCTAGCCCCTGGCTGAACTCTGACCCCAGGTTGTGCCTCCACCCAGCCCTCAACCCCAGACCTCTCTCGGCTTCTAGGCCCCTCTGGAAACTTTTTGAGGCAAGAGCCCAGTAGGGGAGGGGATGGCTAGGCCATAAGTGAAGCGAGGTGCCACTTTTACAGCCATTTCGGCTGCTCATAAACACCCCCTGACACCCAGCTGAGTCGCTGGAGGCTCCCATGGCAGCTGGCTGGGTAGCCCCCTTCCCTTGCAGCAGAAGCATGGCTGCCTGGCTTTCTTGCCTCTCAGGAAGGTGAAGGGAGGGGCGATGGGGGCACCTGGGGCCAGCAGGCTCTGTCCCAACCAGGGAGCACTCCTAAGGCTCCCAAGGAGCTAGAGGTATGGGCTTTCTGTCCCTGCTGGCCTCATGGTTACAAGCCCCCTGCTGTCATAACACCAGGTCCACAGATGTGTCTCCATGCGGGCATGTCTTGTCTGCCCCATAGCACGGCCCAGGTATTTAGACACTCACCCCCAGGGAAACCACAGACTTGGGCTTCCCAGCTGTGCTCAGGCCCCTAGGCTCCCCTGGCCCCCACTCACCTGCAGCCCATGGGCCTTCCAAGTCGGGCCTAAAGCTGCAGAGCAGACTCAAGTTGGCCACGGGGAGGCCATGGATAGTCCCTGAGCAGCTTCTGTGGCTCAGGCCTAAGCAAGGATAGTGCTGCTGGGGACAAGAAAAGACCTGAGTCAGAGCTTCCACTTGAAAAGAAAATTAATTATTTTTTACCAAGCCCTACACTGGCCCAGGACTTTGTCCCAGGCTCCTAGTCAGGAGTAGGAGGCAACAGAGGCAGATCCAAGTGTGCCGGTGTTCAGATGCCCAGGGCTGGGCCCTCCCCTCAGCACCCATGGGTCTGCCTGCCAGGTAACTGGGCCCACTCAGGCTGCCAGACACGTGTGTGTGCCTCAATAGTCCTCTCCTTGCCCTGCCATGCCTCTCTCTTAGTCTCTGTGTCCCTGTCTAACCCTCTGGTCCTTTCCACATCTCAGGAATATCAGGCTGCCACGAGGTATGAACACAGCCCCTACTAGTGACTTCACTCAAGTTTAAGGCACCCAGAGAAATCAGAGGGGGGCTGGAGGTGGTTCTTGCCTGTGTCACAGGCAGGAAAACTGAGGCCCAAGAAAGCCTGATCTGCCAGCACTGGGTACCCAGTGGCTCCTAGACGGAAGAGATGGAGGGGGCCGTCATTCCACTCCAGCCCGTGTCCTGACCCCTACAGCCCCACAGCCACCTCATATCTGACTCCTTGCCCACTGGAATGTGGGCTCCTGGTGAGGAGTCAGCCAGGAAGCCCTCCCTATCTGCCTCCCAGGCCCTTCCAGGCCCAGGGTCTGCTTAAGCTGTCACAGGTCTCAAAGGCAGGGGGCTGTGGACAGGATGACTTCTCTCTGTGGGTCTGTAGAACGAGCTGTGTTCAGAACCAGGGCTGGTTGCTCAGGATGAAGATGTGGGCAGACAGGGAGGCAGAGACCCTGCAAGATCCCAGAAACCTCACCCCCAGGCCCTGTGACCCGGCTGGAGGCTGCCCTTCTGCCTGAGCCCAGTCTGAGCTGGTTTGTGTCTGGAAGTCCTAGGCTCAGCCTGATGAGGTATAATGATTCACGTGGCAGCTGCCACTCAGCACATTCCAGCTGTAGCCCCCAGTGCCCTGCATGTGAGGCAGCTGGCCCCAACCACCCCCAGCCATTGGGCACATTCCTAGGGCCCCCCTCCCTGGGTCTTCCAGGCTCCTGGGGAGGGTACCACTCATTAGAGTTTCCAAAGTACTTTTTGTTTCACAAGTTAGTCAGGGAGGCAGGCTCGGTGATACCTGGCCTCCAGGTGGAGGAAACGGGACCAAAGAGCAGAATGGACTGGCCAGGGGACATAGTGAAACTATGACAAACAGCACTTATGGGACTCCTGCCCCAGCTACTCTGAAGTGCACTGCTCCAAGGGGTATCCTGGGACACGTAGGCTATTCTGTGACCAGGCCAGCGGAGGTCAGTGGGCAGTTGTGCCCAAAGGAGGGAGAGTTCCCCTGTGCTCTGTCAAGCCTCCCTGTTGCCCTGGCTCTTGACTGCCAGAGCCTCTACCTCCCCTGAGTCCACATGCACTGCCCTACCCTGCCCACAGGCCCCATCCTCACTGGCCAGGGAAGCAGGAGGCTGGGGCCTTTTCTGCTTTGACCTGTGGATCCCTGAGCCAGACGCCTTCCTGCTCATGGCCTCAGTTTCCTGATCTGTTGTTAACAGTTGGGCAGTTTCAGGCTCAAAGGGGATCTGTAAAGTGCCCAGGCACTTGGGTCTTGGATGCAAGCAGACCTGGGAGTCTGAAAACCTGAAGGCCTTTCTCTCCTCGAGCCTTGGGCCTGCCAGTTTGCGTTCCTCCTGTGGGCCCCAGCCCAGGGCTCTGGGGGGCAAGTCTGGCCCTCAGCTCCGGGGACAGGAAGTTGTATTTTGGTCCTGGGTTCTGGGGAAGAGGTAGGGGGAGAATGGCAGCTCAGACCCAGCCATGTTTACTCGGGCCCGGCCCCCTCCGAGCTCAACAGGCTCCCATTCATTGGGAGACCCATAAACCCTTTGGGGCTCCCTGAGGTTCAGAACGCCTGGATGCCAAGGCTGGATGCCGCCCCCAGACCTGCTGGGAGCTGTGGGCAGCAGGTGGGGCATGAGTGAGGCATAAGTGGGATGGTGGGTGGGAGCCTGAGACTCGCCTGAGTTTCCAGGTATTTGCAGCGTCGTAACAGTTCTTGCCCCATGCACATTGTGGAGCAGTTGGGAAATCCAGGGAGGTGGTGGAGGTTGAAGGGTTCCTTCCATGGCCACGAGGCCATCAAAACTGATTTCTCTTAGATCAGGCCCCAGAAGGGTGTCTCCTCAGACTAGGCTCCTGAGGGCATGTCCTCAAATTGCATGACCCTCAAGGCAAGGCTGAGACTGCTGTGTCCAAAGCGGAGCTGATGTCCTTGCTGAGGCTGCATACCTGGCCTTGGGTTGTTGACAGTCCACTCCCTGGCAGTGTGGGCATGGGCTTGCATCCCACTGGAGTAGGGCAAGTCTCTGGTCTGTTCCTCATCTGTTCAGCAGGAGGTCTTCACCGGAAGGGGAAGCACTGGGATTGGATGCTGAGGGATGGGGCCCTCAGGTCTGCATCCCTCAGTGTTGCGTGTTGTTACCTTTGTGCCCATCTCTGTGCTTTCTTTGGGTGAGTTAGAGCACCGTCCCGTGGTCCCTGGAAATGGAAGGGAGGCAGCAACAGTGTTCAATGGGAAGAACTGTGGCTTGGGGGTCCAAATCTTGTCCAGCTTTCCCATGACCTGGTAACAATTCTGTCCCCACTCAGGTCTTCAGTTCTCCCTGCCACAGACGGGTTAGAGTGGACTCTCTCCAAACCCACCCCCAGCCCTGCTGTTCCCAAGGGCAGCTCTGAGGGAGATCCCTGGTGGCATGGTGGCGGGGAGTGGGGTAGGAGAAAGGCCTCCCCACCAGATCCCCTTTCATCAGTGCCCCCACATGCCCGGGCAACCTGGCCAGCCACTGGGGACACTGGTTGGGGGTCCAAAGCGGGTCCTGTTTCCCAGACGCCTTCTGGGTAGAGTGTGATTTCCCGCTCCAGTGGTTGTAAAATCCCCAGAAGCCTAGTGCGTCCCTATTGTGTGTGTGGGGGGGGGTCTGTGCCTCGGAATACCCCCTCCCAGGCGTGTTTGACACGTGTTTCCGCCTCTCCCTGCATGGGCTCCCGCTGCTGCTATTTATAACCTTTAAGAGCTCCTGCCGACTGCAAAGTTTTCTTAAACTCAAAATATCACCGAGGTCCCGGGCACGCGTTCCAGAGGCCGGCTGGGCCCTGCGGTTTGAAGGGAGGAGGGGGCCAGGAAGGAGGAGGTGGTGGGGAGGGGGTTAGCTCAGACACTGGGTCCTTGCCGGGGGCTGTGGCCGGGAGCCCTCGAGTGGAGAACCCCTAGTCCTGACACTCCTGCCCTGTTAGGCCTGGAGGAACCCTCTATGTGGGTGGTCCTTTGTCGTGCCTTGCCAAATCTCTGGGCCTCAGTTTCCTCTCACTCTAAATGCCTCAGGGGACACTGGCTGGGGCAAGGCAATGAGCTGGCGGACACTGGGAATGTCTCTAGGGCTGGAATCAGGGTTGTGTCTGCCTGGCCATCCTGCAGGCTGCACCAAGCCTGGCCCAGAGGCACCGTGGACATTGGCTGAACTGGCTGGAGAGGGGAAGCACTCAGGGAAGTTTATAAAACCGTGTATGGGAAAGCGACATCCAGAGAAGGGCAATGGCATGCCAGAGGTCACCCCGCTCATCCAGAGCAAGTCTCCAGGCCTTCCGACACCCGTGCCCTCTGAGGTGAGCCTCTTTGGAAGAGGCCGAAGGGCTCTCACTGGGCACAGGTGGGTCGCCAGTGTGGAGGAGGTTCTGGGCTTAACGGGAGGTGGCTAGGCATAACTCAGATGCCTCCCTGAAGCTGGAGGGGACACTGGCAGCTGGTCTGGCCCAGTGAGGTCAGGCCTCTGCCCAAAGTCACACACCCAGCTCCTGCCTGCCCTGACCTCTGCTCTATCTCTGGGGCCTCTCTGCCTCCCGGACTAGTCATGATCTTTTTGGGGAGGTCAGTGGTCTAGGCTTCCCCCAGTCCCACTGCACTCCTTTCCTGAGCTGGTGTGGGGGCTGTGGAGGCAAGGGACTGGAGCACTGAACTCAGGGCCATCCAGTACATCCTGTCCTCACAGCAGCACCCTCTCTCAGCACAGCTGGCTCTGGAAGCCACTCTTGGCCCAACGAGCAGAGCTGGGTTCAAGATGGAAGGGTGACCACCCCCGCCCTTAAACTCAGCGGCCCCACATCAATTTTTCCAATCAAGCGTAACCACACAGGGCTCCTTGGGGGTGGAGGGGGGCAAGGAAGTGATGACCTCGCAAACAGAGGAGGAGGAAGAAGAGGAGGAGGAGGAACAATGTGTTCTGCAAGCTCAGCCCTGCCTTCCGTGGCCCCTGCCTGCACCTTACTGTGTGTTGGGCTCAGCTGGGAGATGCAGAGACTCAAGAGTTTGGGGGAGCCAACTCCCTGCCTGGCCCCACTGCCCTGTGTTCCCATTCCCTGAACCCTCCATGAGCTCTTGGCCTCTGCCCCTGCACTTCTTGCCATCTGACTTGTCCTTCCCTTCTCTGCCTGGGTGGCTCTTGTATGCCCTCCAAAGGCCCCCTCCTCTCTGAAGCCTTCCTGGATCTGCACCTTTCAACTCCCAGCAGAGTGAGACCTCAGACCTCCTGGTATGACTAGAAAATTTAGCACGGCATGATATGCTGCTGCCTCTGTCCCAATAGACGGCGAGCCCTTGAGGACAGGGGCTAGGTTATCTCTGTGGCTCTGCTGAGAAGCCTCCATCTCTTGGGGGAGGGCACACCTATTGGCCAGAGCTGTGGATTCCAAACACCCTGCTCCCTTACCTCTTTGTCTCTCAGTTGCCATGGGTAGGCTCAGTTTCCTCATGAGCAGGCCCCAGGATCAGAGACAGATCCCTTCATTGTTGGAACGCTCATTGTCGGAACGTTTTCCTCCAGGAAACGTTATGAGATGGAATCTGCCTGACGGCATCTTCTCAGAAAGCCAGGGAGCAGCCCCAGGGGTTGAGCTGGAGCCTAACCCTGAGACAGCAGCTGAACCTGGAGCTGGCAGAGAGGACCCACCCTCGACCCCCATCCCAGACCAGCCTGGCTGTCCCTGCAGCTGCTGCTGTGAGACCATGGGAGTGGGGAGACTGGCATGTCCTCTCTCTGGACCCCAAGGTCAGGCGAGGAGGGGCCTGAGAGGTGGTGACGGCTTCTGGCAGCCGCAATCAATGATGGTTTCTCCTTGTTTTCCTGCCCCTGGGAGGTGTATCTCCAATGATTCTAGGTGGGGCAGGGGCCACGAGCATGCTGGTTGGGGGTGGGCTGAGGGGGGGGGTCTTGGGGCCCTACAGCATCCCCTGCTAAATCCCCCACAGAGGCTGTCCTGCTTATGCTCTCAGACCAGGACTCCCGAAGGCAGGGCCTCCCTTTGGATGGATGGGCTCACTGTTAGGCAGGGCTCCCTCGGGGCGCAGGAACTCCCCAGCCCCTCCCAGCTCATCTGCAGCCTTGGATGAGCCCCTCTGTTTATGCAGAATTCCAGCCAATTGTTCCCCTGTTGTCTTGGCTTCAAGCTCCAGCCCTCTGCCCCTCACTGAGACCTGGCCAGGGGCACAGGCTGAGGCAGTGGGGAAGGAGGACACTCAGGTCCAGGGATGCCCCACCCTGGCTGCACTGGGAGGACCGTGCACCTGCTGAGCCCACCTTTAGGGAACTCTCGCCCCACTGTGCAGGTGTGAACACTGAGGTCTCCAGAGGGGAAGAGGTTCCAGGAGTCAGTGAAGGGGCCAGCACCAGAACTGAGTTCTCTCTCCCCAGCCAACCCAACCCCAATCCCAGGACCTGTACCCTCATCAGCTTTGGATGGGAGGATGATGCTCCAGTGTCTCCTAACATTCCACTGTCCTCCCAGAACAGTTTCTCATCCAACCGAGCTCCAGACCTTTGGGGCACAGAGGTATTTACCTCAGCCCTGGCTCTAAAACCGCATGAGGCTCCCTGGAGCAGAGGGCTCCAAGGCCAGATGCTGCAGAGAGCTGGGCTCCTGGCCTCACCCTTACCCGTAGGCTCTAGGCTCTGCATTTGGGGGTTCTTGTGCTGGTCTGAGGGGGTTATTACACATTCCTGGGTACCCGTGAGTCTCTGAACCTGCTGTGGTCTCCCCACAGCCCTCAAGGCTGACCTGATGGGAGCTTGCCTGTCTCCCAACCATCTCTCCTTCCCTTTTGTCTTCCCTCTGCTTGCACTGGGGTCCAAGATCTGGGAAAGGAATGGGTCGGGAGCCTTCCAGAGAGTCCTTTCCCACGAGAGCCAAGCTCTGACCCCGTCCTTATCTGGCCCGGATGTGCCAAGAACAACACAGATGCTGAAGCTCGAAAGCCCCAAACCAGGACGCTGACCTCCCGGCTCAGCTACTCTGCTTGGGCCTCTGTTTCCCCTTCTGTGAACAGGGTAGGGTGGGGTGAGAGGAGGCAGTGGAAAGCTCCCAAATGTCCAGACACACACGTTCACACACAAACAGATGCGGACACTACCGTGCCAGGCAGGCCTGGTAGGGTTCCCTGATTTCTGCTGCCTTCAGCCCTGCTCCTCCTTCCCAGTGCTCATTTCTGCCTGGAAATTATACCTGGGTGTTCTTTCTATACCCGTGAGCTAAAAGATGTGGTGCATTAGGTGTATGTGGGAGAGTGCATGGATGTGTATGCAAAGGCATGTGAATGTGTGTATACATGTGTGCAAAAGTATATGTGTACAAAGGAGTGTGGATATGTGTGCACAGGCGCGTGAACATGCATGCAAAGGTTTCTATGAAGCATGAGGATATATGGTAAAGGTGTGTGGTACAGCGTGCCTGCTCTTGGCCCAAGCTCCCTTGGGCCAGGATTCCTGAGTGCATGTCTGCAGGCTCCAGGAAGCTACGTGTGCACACACACATTTCAGTGTGATTCCTGCTGTCCCAGTACTGGTGGAAAGGGACTAGGCAAAGGTGGAGTAGGTGGAGTAGGGAGTGTCTAGGGGCCCATAGGTATCTCCAGACAGACACACATCAGGGGTGGGTTAGCCTGCCTGGGGATAGTGCGTGTGTGTTTCAGACATAGCCACACTGGGAGGGTGGATACATAAATACTCACACAGGCAGGTACCAGAGTTGACCCTAACTATTCCTGGCTGGGAGCTTGGGCCATTTTTATTGCAGCATCCACACCCTGGGCCACAGAGGATTTTTGTATGGCCACTGGAGGCAAGGCCACAGCTGGTTCTGGCGGGGGCAGAGTGGGGAGAGCCCTGGGTGTAGGGGGCCACCATGGCTAGGTGGGGTCTGCAAGGGGTCAGGGAGGTCCTCCCAGCCAGCACTCCCTCTTCACTGTCACCACCACTGTGGCCTTCTTGTCACCCTCCTGTCTTCACCTCCATCACTGTTGTCCCTGTCCTCGGCACTGCCTTCTTCATCTGTCATCCTGTCCCTCTGTCCAGGTGCCCATGCCCACCCTCTCTCCTTGCATCCTGGTCTGGTGCCCACTTCTTGTCCACTTGGAGCTGCTTGAGGATGGGTGAGAGGTGGGAATGAATTTGGGTTATGCTGGCTGGGAGCCGGGGTGAGGGGTGGCATGATGGTGTGCATGCGTACGTGTCTGCAGGCTCCAGGAAGGTACATCCTTTCCTGGGGCAACATTTGTCCCTGACCCTCCTACCAACCCTCTCTCCCCCCTGTTTCTGACTGCCCCATCTCTCTCTTTCTCTGTCTCTCTCCATCCTCCCATCTCTGTCTCAGTCTCTGTGTCTCACCTCTGCCATAGCCAAGGGTCCCTGTCTCCAGTTTCTCCGTGATGGCCCAGGGGAGCCGGTTCCTCCTCCCAGCCAGTGTGAACTGTTTGCCTGAGACAGTCGGTCCATCCACTCAAACAACCACTCAATTCAGACTCCTCGTCTGACTGACGGGTTTTTTTTTCTCCTGCTAAATTTACTTGCATTTTTGACTGAATTGGCCATTCAACAGAGGTTGTGTCCACATGCCCCTTCCCCACCCATGCCAACAGATGAACAGGCTTGCAGACAGACATGCACACAGAGCCAGGAGCACGCAGACATGCTCACGCCCACGCAGAGTCACAGCCTCGTGCCCATGGTGACACGTGGAAGCACGCAAGACGACACACTCCCACACAATCACACGTGTGGCCTCATCCTCTTGTCCATGGTTACACACACATAGACTATCCACACCCGTCCAGTCACACATGTTCACACCTCGTGTGGCAGTGTCTGCATGTCCTCACACCTATTCTGGGGAAAC
Source organism: Homo sapiens (assembly GCF_000001405.40). Lineage (NCBI taxonomy): Eukaryota > Metazoa > Chordata > Mammalia > Primates > Hominidae > Homo > Homo sapiens. Next base: position 46,869,484 of record NC_000003.12, on the reverse strand, counting down.
CTTGGGGAAATGGAGGCAAGGGGAGGGAGGAATGTGGCCCAGGGTGCAGCGCTGGGCAGAGCCCCAGCCCAGCACCCAGGGCAGCCTTTGCAGTCTCCTCCAAGGCCGGCTCATGGAACACCCTCCTTTCTTCCTCAGCCCGTCTAGGTGGGGCTTCTGGTCATTTCAGGCCGCTGCTGAGCCCCTGCAAACCTCAATAGCAGCTCCCAGACCCCGATCCTAAAAGGGGAGTCTTTTTTTTTCTTCCAAGGACAATAAATATTTGCTCTTTGGGAAGCTGCTGGTGGGAGAGTACAGGGTTTGGCCCAGTGGCAGGGAATGTCCAGGGCAGTTCAGGGAGGCCACAGGCCATGCTGTGGGGGGAGGGGCCGGGCCCCTGTCCGGAAGCTGGACCAGCAGGCAGAGCTGGGGAGCTGGGGCTCAGGGCTGCATCTTGCTCCATTCCTCCTGACCCAAGCCCCAGGCCTTTGTTTTCTCAGTTCCTTTGATTAGCACATTGGCACCCCCTCCTCCCATCCCAGACCCCGGTATCCCGAACCTCACCCATCCAGAGCTCCCACAAACCCTTGGCAGCCCGAGACTCCATCTCATGCACCCAGAATGCACAGACCCAACTGATGCTCACTCTTTGGACTAAACAGGGGTGCAGTATCTCCAGACACATTTTCAATCTCCCTCCTGAGACTAGCTGCTGAGAGTGGGGCTGAGGTCCCCCAGTCCAGGCCCCTGAGAAGTCAGGGCCATGCCCTTCTTCCAGAATGGACCAAGCCTGGCCAATGCTGTCCCCATCCTGTCCCCCATGAGGCTTGGGTCCCTAGAGGCTTCTGCCTGCCCACCCCTCCCTCATGCTGAATTGGGCTCCCAAATATAGCGGCCGTGGCCACAGCCGGCCAGGACACCACAGCCCTAAGCGTCAGTCCTGGGCCGGGATCAGAGGGGCAGGAGCTGATTATAGGTCCCTGGGCCAAAACCAGGGTTTGCCTGCCAGCCCGCTGGGCCCTGCCACCCCCACCCCTAGAACCACAAGGTTGGAGCATCTGGTCCCCGTCAGCACAGTGGGCAGAGGGAGGGGCCTGAGGGTTGTGTTTGGCCTGCTCGAGGACAGAGTTGTCTGTGTGTGGTGTGGGGGTAGTGAGGATGGGCTGGGACTCAGGGGCAGAGACTGTCCTCTGAACCTGGAATCACAGTGCCCCACCCATGGCCATGGTACAGGTGGGGAAACTGAGGCCAAGAGGAGCAGGGACCAGCCCGGGTCACAGGAGCATAGGGAGTCTACTGCCTTCCCCTTGGGTACTCTTTTCCATCTCTCAAGGCCCGGGGTTGTGCCTCTGGGAGGTGGGCCCCATCCTGTTAGTGGCAGAGCGGCTTTGCTGGGAAGTCCTCCTAGGAGTCAGACTTTCATCTGAGGCTCCAGGGCCATGGGATGGTGTAGAAATTTATCTCCTTCTGCTGGTCCTTGTACCTGCCTCGTGCCATCTCTAGTCAGAATTGCTGGGCAGCTCTTGCCTCCTTGGGGCCACGGTCTCCCCATCTGTGCAACTGGACAGGGACCTAGGGGCCCCGCGTGGGGTCTGTGTTCATGGGTGTCCAGTGTGTAGCGGTGGGTTCACATCTATGTGGACACACAAGTGGGCCCTGGTAAGTGAGCTGCAGCCTACGGGCCTGCCCACACCAGGACAGGGTCCCCAGGACCTGCTGCGCGGCAACATTTGACCTACTTCTAAGGCTCTGGGTCTGGCCCAGGCCGTGTTCTCGACTCCTCCGGGAAGTGTGGGCCTGCGTCCCAGCCCAGAGGCTGTGGGCCAGGAGGGGCGGGACCGGCAGGCCAGGGCGGGCCATGGCTGCCTGCGGAGACTGCGGCCCAGGGGACAAGGGCACGTGGGGAGCCCGACCCTGTTTCCCTGCCTCTGGCTCTTAGGCCCAGGGGACAGCTGGCCCTTACCTCCTTCTGCCCACCCTCCACGTGGCAACCATAGTCTGAGCTCCCCAAATTGGCTCTGACAGGATGATGGACATTCTTCATGCCCTTCTGAACGCTACCAGGGAGGTCTGCCAAGCAGCTACCCCCGCTGTTGCCAAGAGTGTGACCCCCCGGTGCCCCTTCCCACTGGCCTTGTCCACACAGGGCCACGCTGATCTGGAAATCCGTCAGCCCTTGTCCTGGGTCCTGGGTCTGGGGTTTGGGTTTGCAGTCCTGGAAGTCTGGGTTTAGAGTCCTGGGGCTTGAGTCCTGGATCTGGGGTCTGGGTTTAGAATCCTGGTTCCTGTGTCTGGGGTCTGGGGTCCGGAGTCTGGGTTGAAGGTCCGGGTTTACCATCCTGGGTCTTGGAGTCTTTGGTCAGGGTTTGGGTGCCAGGATCTGGGTCTAGGTCTCCACAGTGGGGTCTAGTCCTGGAATCTGGGTTCTGGGTTCTGAGTTTGGCACTCAAATTGTGAGACCTGAGTCTGGGGTCTGAGCTTGGGGTTCCGGTTTCCTGATCTGGGGTCTGGGTTGGGATTCTGGGTTCTGGGGTTTGAGTTCAGGAACCAAAGGTCGGTTCCCATCCCTTCTGCGCCCCCTGCTGGCTGATCGTGGTCCAGTCACTGCCTGTACCACAGGGGTCACCCTCACCTCTTTAGTCTGTGAAGAGCACGCCTGAATTGGGGTGGGCATGGGGAAGTGGTGGGTGGGCTTGGAGGCAGCTGCTGGCCGCACTACTGTCCCAGAGTGCCCTCTGCACCGCCAGAGCTCCTGTCAGTCAGTTGGCAAATCTCCCCATCTCTCCGGGCCCACTCCAGGACAGGGTTTAGCAAGGGGTTCCAGTACCTCTGTGAGAGGTGGGTAAACTGAGATATTTGGAACATTTGTTCATCCAGCATTTATTGAATGCCTGTGGTGTACCAGGTCCTGGGAAAATGTAGCTGTGGAAGAGCAGAACATTCCTCCCTCCTGTGATGGCTGACATTCATAGGAAGGCGGACACACGGAAGACGCCAGGTAACAAGAGCCCAGAAGAAGGCCGGCGTGGCCGGGCTTTCCTGCCTTAGTCCACAGGCTCCTCAGAAGTCAGGGCCCATATCTTCCCCGCATTCTCCTTGGCTGGGGGAAGGGAGAGGTAAGTGGCTGCCTGAGAGGGCTCTGGGACATGGCGTGTGCCAGCCTGCAGCACACTGGGCTGCAGCTCAGACATCAGAGCTTTGGGAGCTGAAGCAGTAGGACCCAGACCCCCAGCCCTGGCTCTCCAGGCCCCCGAGGCCCTGCCCAGATCCTGCCTGCTAGGCTGACTCCTGAAGGGCACAAAGCTCAGGTTGGGATGTGGGAGAGAGAGGGAAGTGCCAGGCATGGTGTGGCCTGTTCTTACCGCCAACTGCTGCCCACCCTCCCTCCCTCCACCCCCAACTCCCTGCCCACCTTCCTGCCTCCTGTTCACCCCATGCCTTGCTCCTGGTCTCGGTGTGCCTGGGAGGGCTCTGGCTGGTCCTGAAGAGTGCCTACTGGGGGCTAGGCAGTTGTTATAGGTTTGAGGGTGGGCCTGTGGGTGAGTCCTGGGGCACTGTTGTTCCCAAGCCAGCAGGGACATGCCCAGAATCAGAGCTCAGGCAGTCACCATCCTGGCCCTAGCCTTCATCTGGGTCCTGATGAGGGAGTGAGGATGGCTCTGTGCACCCTGTCCCTGCTGCAGGACCACGTTTGCCCTGTGTGTGACAGGAGGGGCCCAAGCCACTGCCTTGACTCTGCCACACACAGGTGGAGGAAGGTGGCACTATGTGGCTCTGGCTGGCTGCATGAGCCTGCCCATCCCAGATCACAGACCTGGACACTGAGGCCCAGGATGCTCTTGTCACTGGCTTACCCCCATTTGGGCCAACGTTGGGTGGTTTCCAAGGGGTGGTAATTGTGTGAGGATGAAAGAAATGAGATGGGAGAGAGGGCCCTGTATATGTCCTCTGCTCTGGCCCTCTGCTTCCCTCATGATGAACACAAGGAAATTGGTCTTGTTGGCGGTGTCTGTGGGTGGCTGGGGCTCCCGTGTGACTTCCAGAGCCCGTTGTCCTGAGGGTCGGCAGGCCTGGGTGGTGGGGCCTCCCCGGGGCCCCTCTGTGTGGCCCTCTGGCTGTCTTCTCCTCTTGTGGTATTTCTGGCTCGTCTCCACTGACCATCCCCCCACCCCTTTCTTTCTCAATACTGTTGCCAAACATTTGGAAGAAAAGTGAAAAACTTGCCCCCCCGCCAGTCCCGGATGTTGTCAGATTTCCAGATGTGGGTGTTCTGCCCTCCAGATGAGAGGCAGAACGTGTTCCAGTCAGGAGCGGGCTGGCCCCAGCCCTGGACTGCTGTCCCTCCCTGTGAGGCGGAGTGACAGGATGAGAGGGACTGGGCCCAGTAGGAAGACAGCAGGGCGTGCCAGGTAGAGGCCCTGGGCCCCACAGCACCTCTCAGCCTCAGGCTTAGCCCCTTGCCACACCAGGGAAATCCCTGGCTTTGAAGTTTCTATCAAAGGCTCCAGGCACTTAAAAGTAACCAGGAGCACCTCCTTCCCACCCCCCAGGCACAGATGCTGGGCAAGGAACAGAGCCCAATGTGTTTACAAGATGTCCCCACTGTTGGCGTCCCCATGCGGGAAGAGCCTTGTGCCACCTCAGCCCTCCCACCTCCCCAAGTGGCAGTCCCGTCAGGCTGTACTCTGTCACTGTCATCTGCTGAAGGCTGGGCTTGGGATGGACCCTGGGGGCCGGGCACTGCAGGATGGGCACTGGGGGTGGGCACTGAGTGGTAGGAACAGGGAATGAGCATCACTGCACTGGGGCAGACCCTGCTTGGCAGCTTGGGGTTCCTCAGAGAGGCAGACCCTCTCAGAGCCCCTGCCAAAAGGGTCGGCAGAGGGCAACATGTGGCAGTGGAATAGCATTGGAGAGAGCTTTCTGGAAGAGGGCCAGTAGAGCCAAGCCTTGAATATGTCAGGCAGAGGGGGCGAGGGCACTCTGGGCAGAGGGTGCAGTGGGGAGCCAGGCCTGGGGTGTGTAGGGAAATGTGCATCCCTGGGGCCTGTAGAGAGGGGAAGTAGGAATCTAGGGGTGAAAGCTGAGAAACTGGTCCCTGGGCCAGCAGGGGCTGAAGAGGGAGGCTGCTGAACTGGCCTGGGGCGACTGCCCTAGAGGGAGCAGCATCCTTTCTCTTGCCCTTTGTGGGGGTTCCTGGAGACCCTTGGACCCATAGCCAGGGCTACAGCTGCCTGCCATGACCAGACACTCACATACAGACACATGTAAACACCCAGACATAAACACACAGAAGCAACACCCGCAGACACACTCACATAGACACATAGACACACCACGCACACATAAAGACCCAGACCCACAGAGACAAATGCAGACACCCGGGCCATCCCTTACATAGACACAGATACGGAGCACACATAGGCACGCACAGAGCCCCCCACCACGGAGGCACCCAGACAATACACACAGGTGTACACAGACCCCCCTCCACACAAACACAGACACAGAGAGACCCACAGACACATAGACACCCCGACACAGACACAGACAACACACACAGACACATGCTGACTTCCGCCTTCCCCCACATGGACACGGTCATAGACACAGACACAGACACAGGGGACTTTGGAGAGCTTAAGTTCAGAGGTGCCCTTAGATCATCCCAGTCCTTCTGGCCCCAACACAACACGTAGCATGTACTTGGTCCACCCTTCTTCACCTCTTCAACTTACGGACCTGCAGAGAGGCAGCAGGGCCCTGTGTGGGTATGTGCGGGTGTGCAGATGAGTGTGTGTGTATGTGTGTATGTGTGTGTTAAGCAGTGGCCTTTGTCCCCCTCTCTCCCTCCCCCTTCCCAACAGGTGATTGGGAGGAATGGAGATCCCTCCTCCACTACCCATTCCTGAGCCTGAACAATGCCCTCCCCAGGCCCCAAAATAGCCCCTAAGCCTAGCCATATCCTTTTATGGCCCTGTCCCTATTGTGCACTGCAGGGGTGGGGCTGGGGTCATGAGGTATCCGGGCAGGATAAAGGCCTGGGTGAGGCGGCTCACCTACCCTGCTTTCTGCATTCTTCTCTCCACATCCCTCTCTGTACTTACAGCCCCCAATGGCCCCCAAAAAGCCAGAGCCCAAGAAGGATGATGCCAAGGCAGCCCCCAAGGCAGCTCCAGCTCCCGCACCTCCCCCTGAGCCTGAGCGCCCTAAGGAGGTCGAGTTTGATGCTTCCAAGATCAAGGTGGGTATGGAAGCTGGGTGGTGGCAATAGGAGCAGGGCAAGTGAGTGGATCCCAGAGTGGACCTAGCAAGAGGCAGGTCAGGCTCTGGAGGTGAGCACTGAGCTGACGCTGGAAGCTTCTGTGCAGAGGTCAGACAAGCCCTGACTGCTTCAGGCATCAGAAGGGCTGCAGCAGGAGGGATGGTGGTCAGACGTTCTGCAGGACTCCTCTGGTGCTGCTGAGAACTAAGGTGGAGTCTAGACTGGGGTTTGAGTCTGGACTGTCTTTTTAGTGGTTTTGGAAATGGACTCTCCCTTGCCCTTCTTCCTGGACTTCTCATCCTTGGGGAATCCTGGAGTCAGCTGGAGCCAGGCAGGGATTTTCCTTGTTCAGCTGAGGGGTCCCAAGTCCATACACGCTCCCAGCGTGGATGAGATAGGGAGTAAGAAGAAGCAGGGCCCCTGTCCAGGCTGGGTCTCGTTCAAATCACCGAGCCCAGAGCTGGTAGAGCACTTCCAGGCCTCAGCTTTTAGGTAGGGAACTTGAAGCATCAGCTGGCTGGGGACATTCTGAAAGCTGTGCAGGAAGCTGGTCATGGAGCTATGACCAGTGGCCCCAGGAGCCCTTCCCCAACTGCAAAGTCTTTCTCAGAGTCTAAACTTGGAGGGAGCCATGACTCCCACCTGTGGTATCTGCATAGCAGCACGTACCCTGTGTCCTGCCTGCTCCCTGTTCTTGGCTGGGACCACTGCTGCCCTGGCTGCCTCCTCAGGAGCCCTGTGGAACCCTCGCCATCCCTGCATGCCCAGCAGGACCTACATTCCATCGGTGAAGTCTTGCCTCCTGTTCATGAGCCCTTCCCAGAGACACCTACCATGTCCTTTGAGGCAAGGGTTCAAATCCCAACTCTGCTCCATTTTAGTTGCCAAGTTCTTCGCTGCTCTGAGGCGTGGTTTCCTCAGCTGTGAAACAGAACAGCAAGTCCCCTCTTGCAGGGCTGCTGGGAACCATTCAGAGTATATGCACCTGGAGTTGGCCACCCAGGTCCCAGGCTTGCATTCTGCAGGCCTCATGGTGAGGCTGTGACCACAGCCACGGCCCATAGTGGCATTGTCCTTTCTCGCCAGGCCTTAGGTTGGCACAGACTTCCTTCTGAGAGGTGGGGACAATGAGACCCCTCATGCGCCCTCTTCCCCCATCCCCAGGTTGCAGGTAAAGGGCAGGGAGCCTTTGCCAGGAGCCCAGAGACCCTAATCTCAGTAGGCTTCCTGGTGGAGAGAGCTCTCAGGGAGCCAGGAATGACAACCTGTTCTTCCCAACACTGGGTCAAGCCAGAAGCCAGGAGGGACAGTCATGGTAGGGTGGCCCTGAACAGGGTGTCCCTCTGTGCCGGCATGCACTGTGGAGATTGGTGGGGCTCCGTGGCAGCAGCCATGAGAGAGACGCCAGTCATGCCCCTCCCCCAACCTCCTTTCCCTTGTGTGACCTTGACCTTGGGGCGAGTGACTGCAGTGATAAAAATAGACCTGGTATCCGGTGAGGAGGGGGACACTGGATCCCGGGAGGCCTCTTGATTGACGTCAATCAAGGTGGCCCCAATGTGACTTCAGCAAACACTCAGCAGCACTGCCCTGGCCCTGTGCTGTCCTGGGGTGTGGGAGCTTCCCAGGGACCTACGGACAGGGTGTGTGAGAAATAGGTATAGTGGGGCTGGTGAGTGACTGCCTGGTCTTTAGGGCTTAGGGGGCTCTGTGAGGGCAGACGTATGTAGACACATGCTCACACACAAACATGCACACTTGTGCTCACCCTCGATGCTTCCAGCCACCAGCCCTCGGCCTGTACCATTGCCCTTACTCCTTCTACCACCCTGGGCCCTCCCATCTCACTTTTGCTGACAGTCCTGCCCACCAGGCCCCAAGCAAAGCCAGCCTGACTGGGGCTTGTGGCTTAAGGTACATCTGTCCAGAACCGGGAGCATCAGGTAAGGCCCACGCTGGCCTGAGGCCTTGGGCATGTGGCCTCCCTCCTCACTGCTACCCCTGCCAGGGTCCACCGAGCATCAGGGCCTCGGTGCACACAGCCTCAAGGCCTTCTGGCTGGAGAGGTGGAGGGGGGCAAGGAGGCAGGAGGGCGTCAAGATGGACTGCAGGAGGTCCTGGGGGTGCAGGCTGGGATGCTGGAATGGGACAGGCTGAGACAGTTGACATTCTGGGCTGGCCACCGAGTGCCCAGGAGGAGGTGTGGCCCCACCTTTTAAGCCGGGCATCTGAGTCTTTGGGGTCTCTTTTCAGATTGAGTTCACACCTGAGCAGATTGAAGGTGAGCAGGGGTCTTGAACCCAGGGGTTGCAGGATTGGGCTGGGGTTCCCTGGTCTGAGGGTCCTGCCAGGGGTGTGGGGAGTGGGGTAGGCTGACCCTGGGAGTGTCTGTGGCTCACTGCCCTCTCCTGGCAGAGTTCAAGGAAGCCTTCATGCTGTTCGACCGCACACCCAAGTGTGAGATGAAGATCACCTACGGGCAGTGTGGGGATGTCCTGCGGGCGCTGGGCCAGAACCCCACACAGGCAGAAGTGCTCCGTGTCCTGGGGAAGCCAAGACAGGAAGGTAGTGCACCTGCCCGAGAGCCCCCATAGTGTTAGTACCGGGGAGACTGGCTGGGTGGGCTGCCATCCATCCTGCGGGATAGCACGAGAATCTTTCCTGACATCTCGCATTGTCCCGATGAGGGCACCGAGGCCAGTCACAGGGCCATGCCGACCAGGTGACATGCAGTAATGGTTTGCTGGAGCATCTGGATCCATGCTGATTTGCCAGGCCCCCTGGTGGTAGGCGCTGACACCTATGGAGAAGTGAGAAGGTCGGGCAGTGACAGCAGTGGGCAGTGGGATGCTGTCATCCCAATGCTTTGGGAGGATCACTTGAGGCCAGGAGTGAGACCAGCCTGGGTAACATAGTGAGATTCTATCTCTACAAAAATTAAAAATTTAGCTTGGCATGGTGACATGCACCTATGGTCCCAGCTACTCAGGAAGCTGAGCCAGGAGGATCCCGTGAGCCCAGGAATTTGAGGTTGCAGTGAGCTATAATCACACCACTGTACTCCAGTCTGTGTGACGTAACAAGAAGACCTCGTGTCTAAAAATAAATAAATGAATGAATAAATACATAAATGAATAAAATTTTAAAGCTAAAAAAAAAAAAAGGAGTGAGGCCCAAGCCCCCACCAAGGGTTCAAAAGTCCCAGGGAAGGTCTCTGATTGGCCTAGCTGCTCCTGACCCAATCACAGGTGGTGGAGGGTGAGGTCTATAAGAAAATGCCACGAGGGGAGGACTGTTTCCCAAAAGTAGGCAAGGGGTTCTGGACAGAGCCCTCCGTGGTGGCTCAGGGCAGCAAACTCCCTTTGTGAATAGCAAAGGGCTATGGAAACAGTGCATTGCTCAGTAGACTGTAAAGTGCCTCGCGATGGTAGTTTGCTTTTAAATGGCAAACTGGTGTAGACTGCTGTGAGAACTGGTGTAGACTGTTGTAGAACTGTGTGAGAGGTGGGGATAGCTCCTCATTATCAGGCATGGGGGAGGGGTGTGCCCACCCCAGCCTTAGACCCTGGAACCTGGGACCATTTCTCTGCAGAGCTCAATACCAAGATGATGGACTTTGAAACTTTCCTGCCTATGCTCCAGCACATTTCCAAGAACAAGGACACAGGCACCTATGAGGACTTCGTGGAGGGGCTGCGGGTCTTCGACAAGGAGGGCAATGGCACTGTCATGGGTGCTGAGCTTCGCCACGTGCTGGCCACGCTGGGTGAGGGCAGCCTCCTCCCCTACCCCAACTCCTTCCAGGGACATCCTGGGAGAAACCACTCTGTTGCCCCCCAGGCCTGTGACCCATTGGTGAAATGGAGAGAGTTACATAATTAGGGAGCCTCAATGGCAGACAACAGAAATGTTACTTAGGAGGAGAGTAAAGCAAGCATGCTGGTGCAGCTCACAGAAGGGGGATGACATCAGCTCTGGGGACAGAGCAGGGCAGGAAGGAGCCGTCTTGATATGCTCCCCTCCTTCCCACGACTCCAGGCCACCGTCCTGGTGGTCATTACTCCAAGGTCAAATTCCAGGGCCACAGCCCTAAGTGGTCAAGCAGGTCAAGTGCCTGCCGCCTGGGGGGATCCTGACCTCTGTGGAGCCCTGTGTACCTCCCACTTATACCCCTACCATCGGCTGCCTGCAGCAGGGGGTCCCTCTTCAAAGTGATTTTTTCCTGCAGCAAACATTTGAGTGTCTACTGTTTCAGCTCCGTGCTGGTCTCTCTCTCCTCTCTCTCTCTGTGTGTGCATGTGTGTCTAAAGGTGGGGGTAAGAAGGGGGAGCTGCGGCTGGCATTTTGAAGGGGGGCCAGCACAGCACACAGAAGTACGGAGGCAGGAGAATACCAGACTTGGGGAGCAGCGGGTGGTCTCTTGGCTCCCTCCACCACCCTCTCCCAAGATCCCCAACTCCACCCCATGGGCCCTTCCTCTAGCCTCAAGGGGCTGCCCCAAGGGACTGCTTCTAGGGAGCCCTGGCTTCGTCCTGGCGGAGGGACCCCCTCCCAGCCTAGTGGGACAGAGGACAGCACGTACTGCACCCCAGGCCCCTTCTTAACTTGTCACTGATTCTCCTGGCCTCAGAAATGGGGTGATGGCCAAGGTCTTGTGAACAGTGCTGGTTGTGGGAATACTGGAGAGGTTGAGCCACCATCTAGAGGGATTCAGTGGGTGCCCCCACCCCATCATGCCTCTGCACGCACGGTGCTGACTCAGCCTCCCACTCCTGCCAGGTGAGAGGCTGACAGAAGACGAAGTGGAGAAGTTGATGGCTGGGCAAGAGGACTCCAATGGCTGCATCAACTATGAAGGTGGGCTCAGCAGGGGCAGGGGTCTTCTGGGAGGGGAGTGCTGGGACCCAGGCTCCCAGCCATGGCTTCCCCATGTTGCACTCCTGCCACTCACTCTCCTCTTCTTTCCAGCATTTGTGAAGCACATCATGTCCAGCTAAACCTCGTGCCCAGGTAGGCACCCACTCCCTCCTGAACCCGCTGCTGCCACCTGCCCACACTCCACCAGCTGCAGTGCTCACTTGACATCCTGCTGCCTCCGTCTCCCTCCTCCTCTGTAATCTGCACTGCCTTTGCTCTCAGGAAGCCCAGGGAAGGCTGTGCAGGGACGTCTCATCTCCCATGTGTGATGCTGACACCAGCGGCCTGGAGTCGTGGGAAGGAGGGGAGCCTTACCAAGACTCCTGCAAAAACCCTTGGACCTCTCCACGTGGTTGCCGTCTCTGGCCCCTCTCAGGCTGTGCTTACCTGTGACAGCAGCTCTGTCCCCACCCCATGGGCCTCATGAATAAATGGCTTCTTGCCGGCCTTCCTTTCTGACTTATTTCCCTTCCTCCCTCTCTTTTTTCCTTCTCTCCTTCCTTCCCTCCCCTCCTCTTTTTTCTTCCTTTTCTCCCTCCCTCCCTTCCTACCCACCTCCCTCCCTTTCGTCCTTTCTTCTTTCCTGCCTTCCCTCCCATTTTCCTCCCCTTCTTCCCCTTCTTCCCTCCTTTCCTTTCTTCCTTTCCTCTTTTCCTTCTTCCTTCCCCCTTTTTTTCCTTCCTCCCTCCTTTTCTCCCTCCCTCCCCTCCTTCCTTCCTTCCTTTCCCTCTTTGTCCCACATTTCTCCTTCCCCTCTTCCCTTTCCTCCTTCTTTCCCTCTCTCCTTCTTTCCTCTCTGTGGCCCTTGGCTTGCCTATGTGAATTCTGTGGCCCATGGACGCTGAGCTGGAGGAGGCCGAGTGCTTCTCTGTTGCGCTTGCCCCTCACCTAGCCTTCTGCAGGAGGCAGCCATGCTGGGGCCGCTAACACAGGTATGCGGGCTGCTGGGAGCCTGAGAGCACTGTCTGAGCTGTCTCACTGCATGTCCACCAATTGGGTGACCATGGGGCATTGGCCCAGAGCCACCCTGTCACGGGTGGGAAAGCTGAGGCCCAGCACAGGGAATGGCCTTGCCTGAGTGACATTGGGAATGGGTGGCAGGGCAGGAGCTAACTTTGTCCCCAGGCTGTCAGAGCTGACCCCTTGCCCTGACTCCGATGGTGAAACTGAGCCACTCTGCCAGCAGTGTGGCTCTAGGTCAGAGGTAGAGGCTTTGTGGGGATAGCCCCGGGCTCCTCAGCAGAAGACAGCGTGCAATCCCTGCGTGGTGGAGGGAGGTGCACACACCTGCAGACCCCTGCCCCATTCTATCCCCTGCTCTGGGGCCAGGGCCCCTCCCCTGAGTCCTGGAGCCTGATGAGGATAGAGAGGGGAGGCTTCCTCGAGGAGATGATTCACGCAGGCTTGATGTGAAGAGAGAGCAAAGCCCTGCAGAGAGGCTGGGGGCCCCAGATATAGAAATGTGGGGGAGATCAAAGGCTTTGAGTGGGGAGTGGGCCACACTGGATGGGAAACACCTTGCAGGCCAGGACCCAGGAGTCAGGGCAGCTCCAGGGGGCGCCTTTTCATGACCTCGTGTGGATGCGCGTGTCTGCGTGGCAGGGGGGATGTGGTGGGGTGAGAGCAACTTGGAAGGCCTGCGTGGATCAGACTGTCCAAGGGGCTGTGTTGTGTGGGGAGTCCTGAGTGTGTGTGAGAGTGAGTGTGTGTGGATGGGGGCTGCTGGCAGTGTGTGGGAGAGAGTGCATGTTAGGGGTGAGTGTGTCGCAGGAGTCTGTTGCATCCTCCTTTCATTCTCTCAGCATTTACTGAGCACCGACTGTGTGTCAGGCTCTGTTCTAGGTGCTGGGAACACTGCAGTGGAGAAGGCAGTGGAAACCTCTGCCCTTTGTGTAGAACTCACACAAACCAGACAAATCCTGACAGTGGAGTATCGAATGGTGCTAAAGGCAGAGAAGGACTGAAAGCAGGGAGGGCTGTGGTGTGTGTGTGCATGTGTGTGTGTAAGCCGGGAGGTGGGTGACATGTTAAATAATGAGGTCAAGGATTATCTGGGCAGGAAATAGTTGAGCAAAGATTTAAAGGAGAGAAGATAATATTTAGAATATATAAAGAACTTCTATAACTCAAAAACCACCCCCCAAACAACCCAACTAAAAAATAGGCAAAGGACTTGTATGTATACATTTCTCTAAAGAGGATGTGCAGGCTGGGCGTGGTGGCTCACGCCTGTAATCCCAGCACTTTGGGAGGCTGAGGCGGGTGGATCACATGAGGCCAGGAGTTCAAGACCAGCCTGGCCAACATGGTGAAACCCCACCTCTACAAAAATACAAGAATTAGCCCAGCATGATGGCCGGTGCCTGTAATCCAAGCTACTCGGAAGGCTGAGGCCAAAGAATCATTTGAACCCGGGAGGCGGAGGTTGCAGTGAGCTGAGATTGCGCCACTGCACTCCAGCCTGGGCAACAGAGCGAGACTCCATCTCAAAAAAACAAAACAAAACAAAACAAAACAAAACACCAAAGGATATACAGATAACCAATAAGCACATGCAAAGATGCTGAACATCACTAATCATTACAGAAATGCACATTAAAACCATAATGAGATACCACCTCACACCCATTAGAATGGTTTTTATAAAAAAACAGCAGAAAATAACAAGTGTTGTTGAAGATGTGGAGAAATTAGAACCCTTGTGCACTGTTGAAATTTGAAAGTAAAATGGTGCAGCCACTGTGGAAAACGCTATAGCATTTTCCCACAAAATAGAATGACCAGATGACCAGCAATTGTACTTCTGGGCATGTACCTAAAATACTTGAAAGCAGGGTTTGAACAGGTATTTGCACACCCACGTTCACAGCAGCACTATTCGCAGTAGCTAAAAGGTGGAAGCAACCCAAGTGTCCGTGGAGGGGTGAGTGGGTAAGCAAATGTGGTCTATCCACAAGGGAGTATTACTCAGCCTGACAAAGCAAGGCCATGCCGACACACGCAACAATGCGGGTGAACCTTGAGGATGTTACACTAAGTGAAATAAGCCAGTCACACACACACAAAATACTGTAGAGTCCACTTATCTAAGGGTCCTAGAGTAGTCAAATTCATACAGACAGAAAGTAAATGGTAGGGGCTGGGGGAGGGGAGATGGGGAGTTATTGCTAAAGGGAAAAGGGAGAGATGAAGTGTCTTAGGCTGGGCTCCCCCAGAAGTAATCCCTGAGACAAGGACCAGATCAAGGACTACCTGCAAGTAGTCTCCCTGGAAGGTGATTCCAGGGAGCGTGGGAGAGGGGTGGGGTGGGGGGCGTGGGAAGAAAGAAAATCCCCCCAAAGGGGTGCATGCAGAGCAGATGACACTATGAGCAAAGGGGTCTCAGCCCTGCTGGGAACCTCCGGGAGATGGTGGTATTGTCTCACTGAGGGATGAGGAAGGCAGACTATCTACAGACTCCCATCTGTCACTGGCTGGGCAGGGCCCCTAGGTTGGCTGGAACATTCCTATGCGGCACCTCAGCATCTGCTTCAGGAGGCTGTGTGGGCATCTGAGGGAAGACGTCCTGGCAGAGGGCACAGAGGCCTGGTGATGGGAGCAGAAAGTGCCATGGAGAGGGACAGGTCCTGAGTCAGAGAGGTCAGGGAGGGCTGCAGCATGCGCCCTGGGGAGATGTTTTCTCAGTGCCACCCTGGCCGCTGTGTGGAGAAGAGACTGTGGGGGCCACAGGGGCAGCAGGGAGGCCAGTGAGGAGGGTCCAGGAGAGAGGAGATGCACACTTGGCCCAGGGTACTGGTGGGGGTGATGGTCGTAAGTGGTCAGATTCCAGGGCTGTTTTGAAAACATCCTCAGCAACATCAAGGACAGATTTCAAGGCCTTCTGGTTCAGTCCACTCCAGCCTCAGATCTAATTCAGGGGAAGGAGTCGTAATCTGCTCTTTCACAGTTTACCGCCATTGTGCTGAGAGGTGCACAGTCTGTCGGCTGGTGGGGCAGATAAAGACGCCCTGTGCCCCGTTGCAGTGCACTTGGCCAATGAGGGCATCTTCATGTGTGTGTGTGATCTTGGCGGGCTCTGGCCAGCCTTCCTGGCCCATGAGTGACTGAGGACCCACACAGAGGGGAGCAGATCCCAATCAGGTTCCACCTCCAGCCACCTCCGGGGTAGGGCACCACCTGAAGTGGCTGACACTCTCCCGGGCAGTCCCCAGTTCCCGCCTGTCCGGTGCACCTTGCTCCTGAAAACCAAGCCCAGAAGTGCTGAGCTCCCCTTCAGAATTCTGCATGGGACTGAGTAGTTTCAGCATTTTCTTTCTGGGTATGCCTACCCTGGGCTGGTGTCCTGAGCACAGATTGCACCTGCTCTCAGTCGTCTCCAGCAAGGAGTGCCCTGCATCCAAGTTCACATGTGTCTTAGTCCTCAGGCATACACGTCCCGCTCTCTCAAGAATGCCTGCCCTTCTGGTTTCCAGGGTGGCCCACAGTACTCCCAGGCCTTCCCCAAACATACCCTTCTTCTTGCAGGCTTCCCTAGTCCCTGGGAGCTACTGTCCCACTTGGTTTGGCTTGGTGGTAGAAGGGAGCATCTTGCAATTCCCAGCCCCTATTCTTCTTGCGTAGCTGGGAGGGGACGGGTTGGGGGCCCCTTGGTGAGGGCAGGGATGGAGCTGTTGTCTGATGAGCCCTGGCAGGGGCAGCTTGGTTCCACTTGTTGCAGCTCAGCTCCACTTAGAATGTGCCTCTGGCCCAGCCATGGCCATGTTGCTACCCTGGGGCCATTTACCTCTCATATGTGGCTCTGCTGACCACATGTTCCTGGGTTTGGTTCACTGGCTGTGGGTGCAGACATCAGAATGGATGGGGTGGAGGCACCTAAAGGTGGGACTCAGCTGCAGAGGTGAGCTTTCTCCTTACTCAGCATCCTCCCATCCTGGCTGGGTGAAATGTGCGTGTGTATGTGTGCATAGGTCCACAGTTGTGCATGTATGCCTGTGGATCTGTGTCTGTAAGTGAATGTGGGCTTGTGTTTGTATGTGTGTTGTATATGTGTGTCTGTGTCTGTGAGTGTGTAGGTGCCCATTTGTCTGTGCATATGTACATGTGTGTTTGCCACTGTGTGTGCGTGAGTGTGTGTGCCTATGTCTGAGTGCATATGTGCTGGGGGGGCTCTGTTGAATCAGCACTGGCGCTGGGCAGGTGGCACTCCTAGGCAGGCTGTGGCCTCCCTACAGTGGCATAAACACTGGTCCCAGCTTCCCCCTCAAGCAGGGTGGTCCAGCCTATGGCCCTGTGGCTGGTAGAGAGGGGTGGGAGGGGGCAGGGGGTTTGCCCTTGGGCTACCTTGATACCCCTCATGCCTCAAGTGCCCTGTCATGTGCCCCATAAGGCTGGGGTCTGTTCTGGGGTCTCTCTATGCCTCACTTTCCTCCTCTGGCCTGGGGCCTGATCTCTGAGGTCTCCTCAAGGTGGCAGGAGGAGCCACCACTACATTCTCAGTCCATGCTGAATCAGAGGGTCAGTGGGGTAGTCCAGGGGCAGAGTTCAGCTTCAGCACCCCAGGCAGGGCCAGGCAGTCCCCTTGAAACTGCAAAACCTAACACAGAAGGTCCAGTGACATTGCAGGAACAAGGTTCTGATGGGCCCTTGACACTCACAGCTTTAGGGCAGAGTTTGGGGATCTAGAACTTGAGCACAAGGGACAGAGGATTATCGGAGCTGGGCCCGCGATGGTCCCAGAACAAAGCGTCCCTCCGCTGCTCGGATGTTCCTGCATGGATGCTCATGGCTCTTGTTAGCCTGCCGCACCCTGCATCTTCTCTTCCAGACATCATCCCCAGGGATCCTGGGGTTACCACTGGGACATGAATGAGATGGCATGGAGTAGCGGTGCCAGGAAGGCCAGAAATTCAGGCCGAGATAGAAAGAAGTCAGGTGGGATCTTGAAGAAGTCAGGCATTGGATGAAAATTTTGCCAGGCCACAAGAAGGAAGGAAATCAGTGCAGCTGTGGGAAAGTGGACTGTAGTGCTCAAAGCACTCAGTGGCAGAGAGTCTTATGGAAAGCTGATGGAGGCCTTAAGAGAGGTCGGGGGTGACGGAATGTATGGAACAGGGGAGGAGGGGCCAAAAAAAGTTGGCAGCAGTGTGACAGGAGCTCCTTGTGTTGCATAAGGGGGTGTTTGGGGTGTCCTCCGTGGTCGGTCCTGGGGCCATGGGTAGTAGTGAGAGTTGTGGGGTCAGGGAGAGGGCGGGCCTGCCTGGGAACAGGGGAAATGCTGATCCAGTCACCTCAGAGCACAGCAGGAAAGCCCGGATCTTGAACCTGGTGACCCACCACAGAAGTGGTTCCCTGGGGTTCTCCCAAGTTCCTTCCAACCAGCCCCAGTCCCTCCCTCACCCACTTTTGGGGGTTATTTGTTCCCTGCCCTCCCAAAGCCACACAATCCTGGTTTGCCCAAACGCTGACAGAGCACAACTGGAATGTGGCATGTGTGTGTGAGTGTGTGCACACGATACTCCCCCAGGCCGGATCACCCAGCGGGCCCCTCCAGTCTCAGCAGCCAGGGCCCGGGGCCTCTTGGACAGAGAAGGCCCTCGAAGGTCAGGTCTGGGCAGGGTTCCTGCCTGCACCCTCCTCTCCACTGCCTGAGGACTCCTGAGGTTCCACCATTTTTTTCCATTCTCCACCTCCACCTCTGGTCTATGGGCTTGGGTACCTCACATATCTACCAAGGCCGTGGCCATGGGGCCATCAGAACCTTTCTGGAGGGCTAGTTGGGGTGGAATGTGGCAGCTGGAAGACTCAGACTCCAGACTCTGCACTTCCAGGTGCCCCTTGGGCAAGTTCAGGTCTTGGCAGCTTCCTGATTTTTCTACTTTGGTCCAGCTAAACATGAGTATGCCCTTTACCTTACCACACCTATGCCCTGGGGCTGGAAGCCTTGGTCTTCCCTCCCCTCAACACCTCTGCCATCATACCCTGCTCCTGGTCTCCTTACCTCTCTCCCGTGGTAGGCTTGGAAGCATTTAAAGGTGCTCTAGAATGTCATCGTCAGCTCCTGAGCTAACTGGGAGAGGTGGTGAGCCCTCTGTTCTGAGGAATATGCAAGCAGAGGGGAACCAATCCGAGCCAGAAAGGCTGCAGAAGGGGCTCTTACCCTGGTGGAGATTGGAAGCACTTGGGCATTTCCAAGCCCTAAGGCCCAACTTATCACAATACCCAAGAAAGTTTTGAAAAAATGTCCTATCTTGTATATTTTCCAGAAGCCCAATCTATGCATCTTCAATGCCTGTCTTTCTTCCAAGATTGCATCCTGCCTACTTTCTTTTGCCTTGAGAATATCCCTCTGTTTACAGAAACAATAACGACGGTAGCTGTTGTTTTCCATATCTCTACTTGGCAAAATAAGAGCTTACCTTACAAGTCAGTTTTTAAGTTTTGAAGAAATTTCACGGTTTGTTGTAGTCAGCATTTCCCAAAACCCCTGGATAGAGACCCTTGAATGGAGCAGATCTTTGCCAGGCCCAAGGCTCATTTGAATCAGCTTATTCATCCATTCATCCATCCATTCTCCCTCCTTTCATCCCTCCCTCCCTCCCTCCCTCCCTCCATCCATCCATCATGTAATTTTCAGGTGCTAACTGTGCCGACCTGTGATAAGTAACAGAGGCCCAGCCTTGCCACTGGGATGGAGTGGGGAATGGGAACTTGGCAGGGAGGTGCTGATGAGCCTGTGGGACAACCAGGTGCTGTGAGGTCAGGGCTAGGGGGTGGTGGGGCACAAGGGAGAAGATGCCTCAGCTCTTTGTTGGAGTATCTGGGATCCTGAGATTCTGAGTGTCCCCAAACCTCTGGATGTCCATACCTGTTTTCACCTCTGGGGCCTGCAGCTGGAGGTGGGGAAGCTCATGGCAGTGACCTCTCATCCATAGCTGCAGCACAAGGTGTGGGATGGTGGCTGCTGTGGCAGGAAGGCAAATGTTCAATGGCTTCTAGCCCCGGGAAAGGTGGATGGATCTTGAGGCTGAGGGATGAGAGGGGAAGCAAGGTTTCCCTCTGTATGGCCCAGGCTCAGTGGGGGGCCCTGGGCTGGGAGCTCTGGGAGGGTGACATGGCCGGATCCCAAGCTCTAGGCTGGGACAGCTCTATTGCTGGAAAGGGGCCTGCTCTGAGGGCTGACTCAGGCTCTGTGCAGTCCGTCTTCAAGAGGGGGCCTTTCTCATAGTGATGGAGTCCTTGGGGTGTTTCACAGAGTAGAGCTGGACGTATGGGAGGGCTCTCGGCTCCCAGGCTTGCAGTGGACTCCAAGAACCCTCCAGGGCCACATTACAGAGTCACCTTTACCCTCCTGGGCACTCGAGAATGCTACCATCAAGCCCCAGGCCTGAGTGGGCATGCCCAGTGATAGGGTGAGTGTGGGCAAGACAGCCTGAGTGCTGACAGGGACAGGGACATCCAGACTCAGTTTCCAGGCCCCCGGGTTGCCTGCCCCACTTGGACCCCTCCCCCATTTTCTCCTGGGGCCAAAGTCCCTCCTCCAACCTCTTTTCCAGGGCAAGTCTGACTAAGCTGCTGCTTGCTTAAATGCAACAGGGATCTTAGCCCTTGCTAAGGAAGCTCTGCATGGGCAGCTCTCAGATGTAGGGGAGAAATCTGTCTAGGGCCTCCCCGTTTCTCTGAAATTGAGTCTCCAGAACTGTTTCTCCCCTGGCTGGCCCCTTGGTGGTTCACTAGGCTGACCCTGGCCCTGCTATTTTCTAGGGATGGGCCTTGCCCTCTGTAAGGCCACTGACTCAGTGAGGGCTCAGTTTGCCAGGGGCCTGAGCAGGGCAGGGACTTTGATAATTCTTCTAGCACCTGCTCCAGTGGGGGAGGCAGGGGTTGTGTTTGTGTTATGAAGGGACCACTGTGGTCACCTGTGTGGAGGGTGGAACAGAGTGGGTGCAGAGAGGCAAGAAGACAGTGTTATGGGAGGGTGACTGCGGCACTTAGGGGAGGATAAGTTCAGGTGCAGACTGTTGGGGAAGAGCCCTGCAGGTCTCCCTGGGGTGCTACCCTATCCATCTCTGGCCTTAATTCTCCTCCTGTGCCGGGCTGGAGGTGTTGGAGACTCTGGTGTTCTGAGCCCTAGAGAGGCCCCTTCTGGACTCTGAGCTTCGGGCTGGGGGCGGTTGGGGGAGGCGACAGCTGCTTTGAAATGTGGAGAATAATAAAGTGAGGAATGTCTGAGCTCAGGGGAAAAAAAAAACCCTGCTCGCCAGGCCTCCCACCCAGCCGAGCATAATGAATTAAGTATAGGCAGGCACGTTTCATGTGGGGGTGTGGGTTGGGGGAAGCAAGAAGGCCCCAAATGAGAAACAGGGTCCTGGGCAGGCTGCCGGGAGCTGGGGGTTCTGGGCATCTGACCCGACCCCTGGGGATGCCCTCACTCCCCAGAAGCTTCCCCTCCACCTTCCCTTGGTCTGTATGGGTGAATGGGTGAAATGTGTCCCAACCCTATGTTGACATCTGACCTCAGGCTGCACGCTGGTGCTAACCCTGTCCCCAAAAGGCCAGAAATAGGAGAAGGTGTGGTTGACTCGGAGGGATCATCTCTTCATTCTCACCCTTCTACATGCATTTATTGAACACCGATGGCATGCCTTCTCCATGCTGGATGATGGAGTCAACGCTGCCCCCTGTTGGACTGACTGAACCTGCAGTCCTGCCCATCAGCCTCTGGGGAGCAAGCCCTGAGGCTTTGGAATGCGTCCTGCTTCCAGTCTCCCAGCCCTCCACTTCCTCTGGCCAGTTCCTCACATATCCCCTCTGCTCCATGTGAGGTCATCCTCCCTTCCCACCCTTCTGTCCTTGGCACCAGCTCAGCCTCCCTGCCCCAATCTCCCTGGGGCTTGGACATCAGTGGCTTCCAGGCCCATGCTTTCAGGTTGTTACTCATGCTGTTTCCTTTTGCTTATCTGCCTGGTGGACCTCATTCATTGAACGCCAAGACTGCTTTATAAAAGACCACACCGGCCAGGCGCGGTGGCTCATGCCTGTAATCTCAGCACTTTGGGAGGCCGAGGCAGGCAGATCACTTGAGGTCAGGAGTTCAAGACCAGCCTGGCCAACAATGCAAAACCCTGTCTCTACTAAAAATAGAAAAATTAGCTGGACGTGGTGGTGCGTGCCTGTAATCCCAGCTATGCAGGAGGCTGAGGCAGGAGAATTGCTTGAACCCCAGAGGCGGATGTTGCGGTGAGCTGAGATCAAGACACTGCACTCCAGCCTAGGTGACAGGGTGAGTGAGACTCCATCTCCAAAAAAAAAAAAAAGACCTCCCCTTCCCAGAGTGGCCCAGGGAATAGTAGGTAAGTAACTGAGCCATCAGCGAAAGGGCAAATTCTCAGCCAGGGAGCCGGAGAGTGGTGGAGGCAGGTAGTAGGGCTGTTCCTTGGGCTCTCCAGCAGGGATTCTTGCCTCCCAGCCTCTGCCGGGTTGGGGCAAGACTCCCACTTTATTTTTAAGAAGTCTGGCCTGGAACTTGGAGCTCCTTGAAATATTCTCCCCTACAGTCCCTTCTCTCCCCCACCCACTTTAATGAAAACCATTGTTTTTCAAGCA
Source organism: Homo sapiens (assembly GCF_000001405.40). Taxonomy (NCBI): domain Eukaryota; kingdom Metazoa; phylum Chordata; class Mammalia; order Primates; family Hominidae; genus Homo; species Homo sapiens. The sequence goes on along the minus strand of NC_000003.12, from coordinate 46,847,721 downwards.
CATGTTAATTAAAAAGCAAACATGCTTTGCTAAGTAATTTGGAAGCTCTGGTTCTGCAAACCATAGCCATTCCAGTTAAATAACATCCCTCACCCAGCTTGCCCCAGTGTTTTGGGAGCTGAAGACCCCCGTGGGTACTGCAGATGCACTTTACAGTTTAGGCACCCTGTGGTGGAGTGGTCAGGATAGGGTGTCCTCTCTATCTCACAGGTGGGGACATGGAGGACCCAAGCTCCTGGCAAGTTCAGCCCCACCAGCCCTCTGCAATCCTGTGCTTTGGGCCCAGGGGAAATAGCTGGTAAGGAGGGGTGAAAGACTCATGTGTGCCATCCTGCAGGCAAGGTCACTGTCTCAGAGCCATGGCCCAGCTGTAGGGTGAAGGGAGGAGGATGGGAGCATGACAGCCCTGTGAGCCCAGGCGGGAAGGCTGGCAGGTGCTGCATGGCCTGGGCTACCTCCCATAGTTCCCAGTGCAGCTGGGTGACATCTACCCGAAGCTGGGATAGTAGGTCCCTGAGGCGAGTGCCCAAGGTGAGGACTGGCCTGATGGGTGGAGGGAACCTTGGATGCTCCGAAGCACCCACTCCAGCCCAGCTCCCCCCCCGGTGTCTGGTGATCAATATCACTACAGTGCCCATATCCCCACCTTGGCTCCGGTCCTTGGGAGTGCTGGGGTTCTGAGGCCCTTCACACAGGGCGGTACCCTCAGGGCCCATCACAAGGTGCTGGGGCCGCTAAGGTTCAAGGTTCAGTGACCTCCAGCCTTCCTGTTCCCAGCCCCTGGCAGAGGGAAGGGGCATCTCACCAAGAAGCCTTTTCAAGCCTTGCCACTGCCTCACAGCCTGCTGGTGGGCTCTCCCAACTAGGATTCCAAGAGCAGGAGTGCTTTCCTTGGGTGTGCTTCCAGGTGTGAGCCTGTGTCCAGGTATGTGTTCCTGTTTCCGTGTGGGCTGTGAGTGTCTCTGTTAGCCAATACCCTGGTGTGAGGGGTTCCTTTCTCCTTCCTGAAGGAGAAGATGCCTGGGCTCCTTGGGGGGAGTGTGAGGGGGGCAGTGACCAGGAAAAGTATGTGTGTGTCTGGGGAGGTGGGCCCTGGGCCCTGCCAGACACCTGGGCTGGTTGGTCCAGAGCTTCTGCATCCACTCAGGGACACAGGCCCCGGGTGGGAGCCAAGCCCCAGTTTGTGCACTGGCCAGCCCTCCTTGTCCTCTGCCCTCAGCTGCTGATTTTTGTAAAACGAGGAGTGTGTGTTGGGAGGTGTGCAACTTATCACACGCACAGTGTTTTCCCTTCGGGACACACACACCCTCGCAAGCCACCACACACGGTGACACCAGCGACGCATGCTGGTGGCCGGCTCCCAGGGCTCAGCCTCCCTCGGCGACGCGCCAGTGATACACACTCCCGCCTCTCCCACTCCCACCCACATCCCGGGAGGAGCGGCCGCTCCTCTGTGCTCCTCCGGCCCGGCCCTCGGCGCGGCGTTTCTGTGTTCTGTTCCCTTCACAGCCGCGTGGAAACCGCAGCGGGGCGGGCCGGGATGAGCTCACGCCGCCGCCCGCCAGGCCGCCAACCCTAACTCGCTCCAGATGCAGGGCGGCCTGTGCTGGCGCGGAGAGTGGCGGGGTGGGCCGGGGCCTGGGCCGGGGCCGGGGGAGGCATGGCCCACTCGCGCCCCCTGCAGGGGAGGCCTCCGCAGATCTCCTGGAGGCGGGGGCTGCAGGCTCTGGGCACAGGGGCGCGGGTGGCGGCTGCCTACCCCGGAAGAGGAGGGACTTATCGCCATGAGCCTGCTTTTTCTCAGGCCTTGCCCACTGCCTGAGATTTGTCCCCGGGCCGGGGTGGGGGGTGCAGCTGTGGAGGTCACAGTCCACAACCCCTCCCTGGTCGGCGCAGCCTCGAGGTGTTGTGGGACCATCCCCTCCCGGGCCGGTGCCCGCCCCTCACACAGGCTGCCTTTGCTAGCCCCCACCCGCGACTGCCGGACTGGGGCTGTCCCCTCCACTTCCTCTCCCCGCAGCTCCCGGGACACCCTGACCAGGTACTGCAGCTCAAGCCTCCCGCCTCAGGGCCCTGGCCAGGCCCTGCCCACTCTTGTTCCTTTTGGAACAAACACTCCAGTTTCTACTGGGAAAGCAGCGGGGGCCTGACCACCGCCTGTTTTTAATAAGGAGCTGGTATTTCCCCGAAATCGCCAGCTGTGGCTGACCTCATGGGGATGACGGCTGGCCCTGGGCCAGGGGGCAGGAGCCGGCTCCCGTGTGAGCCCCTGGCCTGCAGACAGACGCGCAGGGAGGAGGCGCTGGCTTCTCGTCCCATCTCAGCCGTTGGCTCATCCAAAACTCTGTCTATCTGTTTGACTGCTGTGTTGTGTACCCTGGGTCGATACCCTGCCAGCCCCCGCACCCCAGCCCTGCCCAGGGCCCTGGGTTCAAGCCCCGCTTTACTCCTGCCTCGTGTGATCTTGGCAAATTGCTTAACCTCTCGCCACTCATTTCCTCCACTGTAGGGTTGAGACTGTTGTGGGGATTAGAGAGGGAACACTGTGGGGAGGGTCGGTGGATTCCAGGAACGTTTCTAGACGGCAGGGGGAGGGGGGTCTCAGGAGCTGAGGCGCCAGAGATCAGGCCCTGGGCTTCCTGGGTGGGGCATTGTGGGAGGAGGGGGAGCTTGGGAAATTGTCAGCCTTGGGGGAGACAGGGACAGCACAGAGGTTCCAGCAGAATGAGAGTGCTTCGTAAGGGATCAGCACGGTGGGGGGTCGGGGGGAGGCTGTGGGCACCAAAAGGTTGGGGAGGGTGTCAGCAAAGGCTTTCTAGAGGATGGGCGCTTAGGTGGAATGTGGCGGCGTTGGTGGGGTGGGGGGTCTCAGGGTGGGAGCAGAATCCTAAGGCAACAGCCTGGACGCTGGAACAAGTGAAGGGGTGGAATGGGGGGAACAGAATGGAGGAGAGTAGAAGCAGGCAGTCGGGTTCAGGATATCTTAGGGGGACTCTGCCTGAGGCACTGTGGAGAGTCCAGAAGTCCCATCTGTAATTGAGGGACAAAGATTGAGGGAACCAGAGGGGGACACAGGCTCCAGTAGCAGAGAGGGAGACCAGCAGCCCCAGAAGGAGCAGGGAAACCAGGAGAGGAGATGCAGTAGACAGGGAGGCAGGCGGCTGGATACAGATAGTGGCTGGGAGATTTTGCTTGCTCTGGTGCCTGCACCTTTCAGATGCTTGAGGCTCCTCGTGAAGGTAACAACTATAACTACAATAAGGAATAAGGGTGACTAATATTTATTGAGCACTTAGTGTGTGCTAGGCAGTGCACTAAGCACTTACAGGTATCAATGTGTTCTATCTCCACTTCATTTCTATTTATTTATTTCTTTATTTTTCCTAACTGCTAGGCTATATAGGATCTATTTATTTATTAATTCACTCACTGATTCATTCATTCATTTAACAGATGTTTATCGAGTGCCAGACATGTTTCAGGTGCTGGGAATACAGCAATAAGCAAGACAGACAAAAAAATCTGCCCACATAAAGTTTACAAGAGGAAGAATTTATGAAAGAGGAAGATACCCAATGTATTAGGTTGGTGCAAAAGTAATTGCGATTTTCACCATTGAAAGTAGTCGTAAAAATCTTTGCCCCAGAAAACGTAATATGTGTGAGAAAAATACATAGTATGTTAGACTGTGCGAAGTACTATGGGAAAAATTAAAGGAGGATAAGGAGGATTTGGAAGGATGGGGGACACAGTTTTTGAGGGTGTCCTAGGAAGGCCTCATTGAGGAGGCAATATTTGAGTATAGACCACATCTGGCCGCCTCTTGTTAGCCCATGAGCTGAGAATGGTTGTTACAGAACATTTGCAGCTGGGTCTGGTGGCTTATGCCTGTAATCTCAATACTTTGGGAGGCTGAGGCAGGAAGATTGCTTGAGCCTAGGAGTTCGAGATCAGCCTGGGCAACATAGCAAAACCCCACCTCTACAAAAATTAAATAAATAAATAAATAAATAAATAAATAAATAAATAAATAAATAAAATTAGCCAGGTAGGGCCAGTTCCTCCTGGATGCCAAGAGGAGGATTTGTTTCCTTGATTTTTATAGATTCTAGAGGTCACCAGCATTCCTTAGCTTCTGGTCCCCTTCTTCCATCTTCAAAGCCGCAATGTTACATCTCTCTGACCCTTTGGTAGTCCTATCTCCCTGTGAAACATTCTCCACTTTTGGGTACTCATGTGATTAGACTGGGCTTTTCCAGATAATCCAGGATAATATCCCCATTTCAAGGTCCTGAACCTGAATCACATCTATAAATTTCCTTTTACAACGTAAAGTAACATATTCACAGATTTTGGGTACACGAACACGTATCTGTTTGAATCCCTGCTTTCACTTCTTTTGGGTATATACCTAGAAGCAGAATTACTGGATGATATGGTAATTCTATGTTTAACTTTTTGAGGAATTGTCATACTGTTTTCCACAGTCACTGCACCATTTGACATTCCTACCAGCAAGGCACGACATTCCAATTTCTTCATGTCCTCTCCAATACATGTTATTTTCTGTTCTGCTCGTTTCTTTTTAATTAACCATCTTGGTGGGTATGAAGTGTTATCTCACTTTAGTTTTAATTTGCATTACCCTAATGATTGAGTGTCTCAATGTTGAGCATCTTTTCATGTGCTTACTGGCCATTATTTATATTCTTTGGAGAAGAGGTTTATTTACAAATTTATTTGCCCATTTAAAATAGAATTGTCCTTTTGTTTTTGAGTTGTAGGAGTTCTTTATATATTCTGGATATTAATCCCTTATCAGGTATATGATTTGAAAATATTTTCTCCCATTCTGTGGGGTATCTTTTTACTCTCTTGATAGTGTCCTTCATAGCACAAAGGCTACCAATTTTTATTAAGTCCAGTTTGTCTACTTTTTTCTTTTGTGGCAGTGCTTTTGGTGTCATATCCAAGAAATCATTGCCAAATCCAATATCATGAAGATATTCTCCTATGTTTTCTTCTAAGAGTTTTATAGTTTAACTCGTACATGGGGCTTTTGATACATTTTGGGTTAATTTTTGTATATGATGTAAGGTAAAGTTCTACCTTTATTCTTTTGCTTGTGGATATCCATTTTTCCCAGAACTATTTTTTGGAAAGACTGTCCTTTCTCCATTGAATGCTCTTGGCATCCTTGTTGAAAATCATTTGACCATATATGAGAGGGTTTATTTCTGGGTTCTCTATTCCATTGGTCTGTATGTCTGTCATTATGCCAATACCATGCTGTTTTAATTAATATAGCTTTATAGTAAATTTTCAAATCAGAAAGTGTGAGTCTTCCAATTTTGTTCTCTTTTTCAAGATTGTTTTAGCTATTTGGGGTGCTTCAGATTCCAAATGAATTTTAGGACGGTTTTTCTATATCTGCCAAAAAAAGTCATTGGGGTTTTGATAGGGATTGAATTGAGTTAATTTGGATAATTATTGTCACCTTAATAATATTAAGTCTTCCAATCCACGAATATGGAATATCTTTCCATTTATTTAAGTATTCTTTAATTTCATCAAGCAGTGTTGTACAGTTTTCAGTATGCAGGTATTTCACATCTTTGGTTAAATTTATTCCCAAGTGTTTTATTCTTTTTGATGCTATTGTAAATGGGATTGTTTTCTTAATTTCCTTTTTGATCATTCACAGTTATAGAAATGCAACTAATTTTTATAAGTTGATTTTGTATCCTTCAACTTTTCTGAATTTGTTTATTATCTCTAACAGGCTTTTGTGGGAGTTTTAGGGTGGAGTCTTTGGGGTTTTCTAAATATAGGATCATGGCACCTGCAAACAGAGATAATTTTACTTCTTCTTTTCCAATTTGGATGCCTTTTGTTTCTTTTTCTTGTCTAATTGCTCTGGCCAGAACTTCCAATACAATGTTGAATAGAAGTGGTGAAAGTAAGCATCCTTGTCTTGTTCCTGATCTTGAGAGAAAAGCTTTTAGTCTTAAATCATTGAGCATGATGTTAGATGGTGGTTTTTCGTATGTGGTCTTTATTACATTGGAGAAGTTTCCTTCTATTCCTAGTTTATTGAGTGTTTTTATCGTGAGAGGGTGTTGAATTTTGTCAAATGCTTTTCTGTATCAATTGAGATCATCAAGTGATTTTTTCCCCTTCATTATATTAATGTGGCATATTACATTGATTGATTTTTGTATATTGAATCATCCTTGCTTTTGGGGAATAAATTCCACTTGATTAGCTGGGCATGGTGGCCCATGCCTGCAACCCCAGCACTTTGGGAGGCCAAGGCAGGAGGATCACTTGAGTCCAGGAATTCAAGACCAGCCTGGACAATACAGTGAGAGCCCATCTCTAGTTTCATTAAAAGAAAAATTCCACTTGCCATTGGGTATAATCCTTTTAATATGCTGCTAAATTCATTTTGCTAGTATGTGACTGAGGAGTTTTGCATCAATGTTCATAAGGAATATGCACCTGTAGTTTTTTCTTATAATGTATTTGTCTAGCTTTAGTAATAGACTAGTGCTGGCCTTATAGAATGAGTTAGGAAATGTTTCCCCCTCTTGAATTGTTTGAAAGAGTTTGAGAAGAGTTGGTATTAATTCTTTAAATGTTTGATAGAATTCACCAGTGAAGCCATCTGATCCACAGTTTTTCTTTGTTGGGAGATTTTTGATTACTAATTCAGTCTCCTTACTAGTTATAGGTCTACTCAGATTTTCTATTTTTTCAAGGTTCAATCTTGGTAGATTGTGTATTTCTAGGAATTCGTCCATTTCTTTTAGGTTATTCAGTTTATTGGTGTACAGTGTTCATAGTATTCTATTTTAATTCTTTTTATTTCTGTAAAATCAGTAGTAATGTCTCACTTTCATCATCTTCATTTTAAAAACATGGACTTGCTGGATATAACATTCTGGATTGAACATTTTTCTTTCAGTCCTTCAAGTAAGTTGTCACACTATCTTCAGCCCTCCATTTTATTCTGGTAAAAACTCAGGTATAATCTTATTATGGTTCCCTTGTATGTGATGAGTCATTTTTCTCTTACTGCTGTCAACATGTTCTCTTTATCTTTGGCTTCCAACATTTTGACTCTGATGTGTGGGTATAGGTCTCTTTGAGTTTATTCTACTTGGAGTTCATTAAGCTTGTTCGATGTGTAGCTTAATGTTTTTCATAAAATCTGGGAAGTTTCTAGCCATTATTTCTTCAAATATTTTTCTGTTCCTTTCTCTCTCCTTCTGGTACTGCCATTATGTTTATGTTTGTGTGCTTAATGGTGTTCCACATTTCTCTGAGGCTCTATTCATTTTCTCCTTTCTTCCTTCCTTTCTCCCTCCTTCCCTCCCTCCCTTCCTTCTTTCCTTCCTTCCTTCCGTCCTTCCTCCCTCCCTTCCTCCCTCCCTTCCTTCCTTCCTTCTTTCTTTCTCAGAGACAGGGCCTTGCTCTGTCACCCAGGCTGGAGTGTAGGGGCATGATCATAGCTCACTGTAACCTTAAACTCCTGGGCTTCAGTGATACTCCCTCCTCAGCCTCCAGAGCACCTAGGACTACAGACATATGCCGCCATACTTGGCTAATTAAAAAAATTTTTTTTTGTGGCTGGGCACGGCAGCTCACGCCTGTAATCCCAGCACTTTGTGAGGCCGAGGCAGGCAGATCACGAGGTCAGGAGATTGAGACCATCCTGGCTAACACAGTGAAACCCCGTCTCTACTAAAAATACAAAAAAATTAGCTGGGCATGGTGGCGGGCACCAGTAGTCCCAGCTACTCGGGAGGCTGAGGCAGGAGAATGGCATGAACCCGGGAGGCGGAGTTTGCAGTGAGCTGAGATCATGCCATTGCACTTCAGCCTGGGCAACAGAGCGAGACTCCGTCTAAAAAAAAAAAAAATTTTTTTTTTTTAAAAGATAAGGTATTGCTATGTTGCCCAGGCTTGTCTGAAACTCCTGGTCTCAAGCAATCCTCCTGCCTCAGCCTCCCAAAGTGTTGGGGTTGCACGCATGAGCCATCATGCTCAGCCTCTGTTCATCTTTCTACATTGAGGTTTTGTTTTTGTTTCTTCATATTGTAAAATCTCTGATGACTTATCTTCAAGTTTACTGATCCAAATCAAATCCACTGTTGAGGCCATCTCATGAATTTTTCATTTTAGTTATTGTGCTTCTTCACTTGATTCCATTTGGTTCTTTTAAATATTGTCTATTTTATAAATCACCATTATTATACCTTCCTTTAATTTTAAAACATGCTTTTCTTTAGTCCTTTGAAGATACTTCAAATAGTCATTTTGAAGTCTTTGTCTACTATGCCAAAGATAGGGGGCCCTTCAAAGATAATTTCTATTACCTTGCTTTTTTCTCCTGTGAAGTGACCAAACTTTCCTGTTTCTTTGCCTGTTCTGTAATTTTTCCATTTCGAAGAAGACATCTTAGATGATATACTGTAGCAAGCCCAGGCACTGATTCCTGCCTTTTGCTGGCCCCAACCTGTTTTGTTGTTTGTTTGGTCTTTTGTTTGTTTAGTGACTTGGGTGAGATAATTATGTGAAGCCATTTTCCCTCTCAATTTTCATGCATCACTTATTTGTTGGTGGTTGTAGGTAAGCTCCTTTAGTCAGTTTTACTTCCACTATTTACCACTGGATGTGTGTGTGGCTGGGAGACTGCTTCACAGTTTAGAGAATTTACTATTTCCCCCCATGTTCAGCCAGAGAGGCAGAGGCTGCAGTGAGCTAAGATTGCACCACTGCACTCCAACCTGGGCAACAGATGGAGACCCTGTCTTAAAAAAGTAAAAATAAAAAATAAAAAAAGAAAAGATGAAGTGCACAAAATATCATTACAGCTCACCATTAACAGAAAATGTGCAATTGATTTTGACAATAGAGAACACTAACTTGAACCCCAATAAGTAAAATGTTATACTCCCCTCAAAACAATTTTATTCCTCTCATTAGTAGATCTGAATCAGCGAATATTGTATGCAATTAGTATTATGACAATAATTTTGTGGGAAAATTGTCTTGTTGCTATATAAGAACCTACATAATATCCTCAGTTTTGCCTCATGGTCTGCAAATCCTAAAATGTTTCCTATCTGGCCCTTTGCAGAAAACGTTTGTTGACCTATGAACTAGAGTCTACAGATATATCCATCATAGTGTTTTCAACTCCCCGTGTAATAGTTCCAAAATCCATGTCACAGCTGAGTCTGGTTTTGTTGATTGGTTTGTCTCTTGATAGTGTGTTATTTTTTGTTTCATTATGTGTCTCATAATTTTTGGTTGAAAGCTAAAGCCTTCTTGTGAAGGCTAGTGGAGACTTGGGTAAACACTATTTATGTGCAAAAATGGACATGCCTTTTCTTTAAGGAGGAGGCATTGAGACAACTCTGTCAGGTTTTGTTGTTAGTATGGTTACTCTCAAAAAGTACATAATTCAAATTCTTCCAGTATTATTTTTTTGCTTAGTGGCTGGTTTGTTGGAGAGTTTTTCTCAGTGTCTGTTCAAATCACAGTTATTGGTCTTTTCTTTGTGCCTACGTCTAAGAGAGGATATCTTTCTGTGCTTTTACCCTCACTCTTCCAGCAGTAGACTGCTGTTACTTGTTCCTGGACACTTGCTATCCTGGTACTGGGGGGCTTTCTTTATTGTTCTGGCTCAGCCTCACTCTTAGGCAAGTGCTATGTTCTTGGCTGTTAGTCATGGGGCCTTCTAAGTGACCTTGCCCCTCTCCCAGAATAGATAGTCTTTAAAAGTTTGGAGCAGGACAGTTTGCTACTCTTCCCCGAGAAATAGAGGGTATTTAATGTTATCTTCACCCAGCTATAACAGGCTTTTACCTGTGCCCTGGAAGTGACATTTTTATGCCCCCTCTCCACCCCGGTGGCATAGGGCTGGTGTATTTTGTGTGTGTGTGTGTGTGTGTGTGGTAGTGGTAGTGTTAGTGGTGGTGGTGGGGTTGCTGGGAATCAGAGTAGAGGATCCAGGCCAGATGTCATGACTTTCCCACAGTGGCTTTTGCTCACCTCCCCAAAGACTGCACTGCGGGCAAGGCTTTCTTTGGTCTCTTGCCCTTCCTCTAATCTTTCTCTTGAAGACCTGGTGGAAATTTGTGGAGAAGGGCCTGTGAGTAGATGCAAATTTGCTTCACGTTTGCAGCTCCCACAAATTCTAAAGTCTTACTCTAGGCCACACTCTGCCTTTCACAGTTCATTAAAAGATAACAGGCTGCCACAATAGATGTTATTGTGGAAATGAAAGATATAAGGACTGTGGGGAGGACTGGTTACTTATTACTACACGAAAATTTTAAAGAAGGCAAATGGCAATATTGAATTTTAGTTTCTTGGATTAAAAGCTTCTATGATTTCCTGAAATAATTTCATATTCCTTGTCACTGCAGGATTGATGTAGTTGAAAATAAAATGTAGTATCTCATCTTTTGGGCTGCTGAATTTCAACATAAATGGAATTAACAGCTTCATTATAATTCTTACATAAAAGTCAGGGCATTGATTGGGAAAGAGTGAGACCATGAAAATTTCAATGAGGCATATTTGGATAGATTTAGGACATCTGACCCCCAGCCACACTGAACCTCCCTTGCTAACAGAAGCAGTGCATCTTCTGTTTTGACAAGGGTGGTCTTCTCTACCCTAGAGCTACTGTATTGACTTCAACTGAGGAAGTTACATGGTAAGGGCATGCCAGTTCCATACCTACCTCTAGTAGGTCTAAAGGTCTACTGCCTCTAGACCCGTACCACCCCAGCAAATCTTTACTGCCTCTACACCTAATAAGTACAGTCAGATCCCAGCAAACTCTAGAAGGACAGATACAAAGTATAACCCAGGGGGAGAAGGCTTCCTTACAAAAAGAACTGCAAGATTTTGCTAACTTTCATGGGAAAGAACATGGGAGATATGTACAGGACTGGATTCTACAGACTCTTGATTAGAGAGGCTTGGGCCTAAATTTACCAAGAGTACATTTACCAGAAATTCTGAATTCAGTTTGCTGGTGTCCATTTGTAGATACCAAACAGGCAGGTGAAAGTGACTCTACATCAAGCTAGTCCAACCTGCGGCCCATGGGCCACATACAGCCCAGGACGGCTTTAAATGTGGCCCAACAAAAACTTATAAACTTTATTAAGACATTAATTTTTTGTGATTTTTTTTAAAGCTCATCAGCTATCATAAGTGTTAACATATTTTGTGTGTGGTCCAAGACAATTCTTCTTCCAGTGTGGCCCAGGAAAGCCAAAAGATTGGACACCCTTGCTTTACATGTTTACTTGTTTATTTTTATTTTTGAGGCAGAGTCCTGCTCTGTCATCCAGGCTGCAGTGCAGTGGTGCGATCATGGCTCACTGCAGCCTGGAACCCTCGGGCTTAAGGGATCCTCCCACCTCAGCCTCCTGAGTAACTAGGACTACAGGCACAGCCTACCATGTCCAACTAATCTTTTTATATTTTGTAGGTACAGGATTTCTCCATGTTGCCCAGGCTGGATATGAACTCGTGACTCATGGGCTCAAGCAATCCTCCTGCCTTGGCCTCTCAAAGTGCTGGGATTACAGGTGTGAGCCACCGCACCTGGCTGCCACTTGGTTGTTTTAAACCTGAACTCAGTGGTGGCCCACACTTGACTACCAAGTGTGATATGTCAGAAATTCCTTGTTTGTGGGCGGCAAGCCACCCAGGTGCCCAGGCAAGAGACTGAAGGCACAAGCTGTTCCAGTATAATAAAGAAAATAATTAAATTAAGAAAAGTTATACTAGAAATAAGATATAGGTATGATTATTATTAATCATTAGTTTGTAGTATTACTTTGTTCTATTATTATAATAATCTCTGTTTTATAATTATAACCTAGAAAAAACCAGGCCATACAGAATTAGGAGCTGAAGGGACACTGTGAGAGATGACTAGAAGACAAGAGCGTGAGCCCTCTGTCATGCCCAGATAAGGGCTTCTTGAGAGATCCTTGGTCTAGTGGTAGCGCCAGTGCCTGGGAAGGCACCCGTTGCTTAGCAGACCTTGGTCTAGCAGTAGTGCCAGTGCCTGGGAAGGCACCTGTTACTTAGCAGACTGGGAAAGGGAGTCTCCCTTTCTCTGGAAGAGTTAGAGAACACTCTGCTCCACCAGCTCTTGTGGGAGGCCAGGCCTGCCTGCAGTCATCCGGAGGCTTAAACATCTCCCTGTGGTGCTGTGCTTCAGTGGTCATGCTCCTTGTCCACTTTCATATTCTGCCTGTACGCCTGGCTCCTCCTTTTAAGTTCTTAGAAGATAGCAGTAGCAAAATTAGTGAAAGTATTAAAGTCTTTGATCTTTCTGATAAGTGCATAGAAGAAATGCTGATGTATGCTGCCTTTCCTCTCTCCCTCGGCTACCTGTCGGGTGGACACGTGACTTGCGTGACCTTATCAATCATTTGAGATGACTCATACTCCTTACCCTGCCCCCTTGCCTAGAATACAATAAATAGCAGCGTGTCCAGGCATTCAGGGCCACTACCGGTCTCCGCGTCTTGGTGGTAGTGGTACCCTGGGCCCAGCTGTCTGTCTCTCTCTTTGTCTTGTGTCTTTATTTCTACGATCTCTTGTCTCCGCACACGAGGAGAAAAACCCACAGGCCTGGTAGGGCTGGTCCTTACACTTGTTCAATGTAGAGACAGAGTTAGAGAGAGGCAAATATTGGGATGGATTCATGATGTGTGACCTGCTCGCCCACTCCTCTGAGCTCCAAGAGGGCCATAGAGAATGCCCCCTTCACCAAGACTTAGAACAATAAATTGGTGAGGAGAGCACTGGCATCCGTGGAAAACACTGTCATGGCTGTCCACTTTTGGACAGGAAAAAGTGGAACATACAGCAATTCAAAAGTTGTTATTGTTGTTGTTTTTCCTCCAACTTCAACAAAGATGAAGCCAGGAGAGGCAGAGGCTTGGTAGTAGCTCTTGGGCAGCAGACAAAAGGATGAGCTACCAGAACAGACAGATTAGACATTAGGGACACAGAGCTAATAAGAGTGGATTGACCTGCGGGCTGTTTAAAAGATGTCCCTGCGACTGAAACAGAAGAGCAGCCCACTCCTCTGTCTAGCCTGCTTAATCTGTAAAGCCCTCCTACCCCGATATCTAGGTCTGGTGAATGAAGCCCTGATTTGAGGACGCTATGGAGAATGAGGGCTCCTCCATGAATTCCCAGAAGGCCCATCCTGACCAGCTCCAGGCCAGGTACCATGCCTACAAGGTCAGGGGCAGCATCGCACCAGCCTCCTAAGTGCCGACCCTAAAGCGGGAGTTCTCCATCAGGGGCAGTTTCCTCAGAAGTACCCTAATCCCTTGGCCCTGGGCAGGGTTCTGGCTGGACATAGTCTGGAGTGAGGATCTGAGTGAAACCGCGAGGGCGACATTTCCCATTCAGACAAGGAATCTAGCAGGACCGGGGTCCAACAAGTCGGCTCGGCCATTTCCACCCCCTAGGCACCGGCCCTGCCCCCTCGTCCCTCGCAGGCGCCCTGGTTCCAGCCAACCCCTGGCAGGGGCGCGAGCTGTCTGGAGAGGGGCAGCCGGTATCCATGACATGTCCTCTGGCGGCGGCTCCCGGGGCCTCCTGGCGTGGCTTCTGCTCCTTCAGCCCTGGCCCGGGCAGAACTGGGCGGGCATGGCGGCGCCACGCCTCCCGTCCCCTCTCCTCTCAGAGGAGGGCGGCGAGAACCCCGAAGCGAGCCCGGCTCCAGGACCTGAAGCGGGCCCCCCACTCAATCTGTTTACGTCCTTTCCAGGTGACTCACTGCGTGGGAGGCCCGGAGGCGGAGGTTGGGGCGCCAGGCTGGGGCAGGTGCTACCTGGGAGCCTGCGGTCCGCGGCCCGGGGAATCTGAAGCGTGGCTCGGGAGCCCCGGGGGACATGGCCTCCTTCTTGGCTGTCGTCGGGGCGCCCGGGGGAGTCAACTCCTGTGTCTTTGAGTGAGTTCTTCATCCTACACTATCCTCACCCCAGTGTGTGGCCGAACCCCTCTGAGAATCGTGGGAGGAGTGGACGCGGAGGAAGGGAGGTGGCCCTGGCAGGTGAGCGTGAGGACCAAAGGCAGGCACATCTGCGGCGGCACCCTGGTCACCGCCACGTGGGTGCTGACGGCAGGCCACTGCATTTCCAGGTGAGGAGCGGCACGCGGGGCTGGGGGCCGGCCCCCTCAAGCACACACAGTTCCATTGCCCCGGCAATTTGGCGACAAAGAAACAAAACTCACAGTGAAGCCGGAGTGCATCGGTCGTCTTGCTGTAGGCATGTCTAAGTCGGGCAGACAAACCAAGTTTGAGAGTGATCAAGGAAGGGTTTTTGGTGATGGCGATGGGGTGGTAGGGACAGTGGCCCGGGAGGTTGAGGCCAGTTTCAGAAACATTGGAAATGTATGGAAAAGGCACAAAGGATGTTTCCCAGGCCTTCTCTTAGAGGCATCTCTTCCACAGCCGTTTCCATTACAGTGTCAAGATGGGAGATCGGAGTGTCTATAATGAAAACACAAGTGTGGTGGTCTCAGTCCAAAGAGCTTTTGTCCACCCTAAGTTCTCAACAGTTACAACCATTCGAAATGACCTTGCCCTTCTCCAGCTCCAACATCCTGTGAATTTTACCTCAAACATCCAGCCTATCTGCATCCCTCAGGAGAATTTCCAGGTGGAAGGTAGGACCAGGTGCTGGGTGACCGGATGGGGCAAAACACCAGAACGTGGTGAGACTTCAAGGCAGGAAGCAAACTTGGGGCAGAGAGGAGGCACCCTTACTCCTGGAGTAGACATGAAGGCCACAGAAAGGGGCAGGGAGGCAAACTGCCTGGTGAGTGGCAGGTGGTGAGGGGCACGCAGTTTAGCAGCAGTCAGGGTCATGGTTCCTGGTTGGCTTGGGTGACATCAGAAACTGGGTTGAGTTCTTTTGTTGCAACACAAATATTTGATGGCAGCCATTTAGGAAGACTTCTGTCCTGGAACTGGAGTTGCTCAGCCAGGAGAAGAAGAAACACATGGGCAACATCTCCTTCTGTGGATTCGTGGGGGCACTGTGCTTGACTGGTTTGGGGGATTTTTAGGTTCCCTGGACAGAGCAAGATGCTATAAAGTTCTCCCCAGGAACAGCTCAGAGGGTGATGAGCTGTCTGCCAGTCAGAGCTGCTCCTCATTCGAAGCACCTGCTTTGGTGGATAGGGTATTTTCTGTTCCTGGGGATGTAGAGAGAACCAGAAGACTCCTATGGGTCGGGTGTATGCCCTCCTATCCCTGGGGAGAAGCTGGATTTGGTACTTCTGGGGCATTTTCTGCCTGAGAGTCTGTGATCCTGCTCTAGACAGTAAAGATGCTTTACTGATGCACAGGACACACTCTCACTATTACTACTGATACTTACAGTGACGATACTTGGTTGTCATTTCTCAGGTTGGCAAGGCCTTGCCTCTCCCTCTCCTGAAATATTCTTCCTGTTCCTGTCTTGGTTTTGTTTCTTACGTCCTCCTCTCTCCATGTCAACTTTGGGCCTTCTGTGTCAAATGAGAATAATACTCACTGCCTTGGCCTTTTTCCAGAGGGATGCTGGGTGCTTAGGGGCCTATTGTCCACTTGTGCAGATCTGATGATCTTCTTTGATAGGAGAGAAACTTGCATCAGAAATTCTTCAGGATGTGGACCAATACATCATGTGCTATGAGGAATGTAATAAGATAATACAGAAGGCCTTGTCATCTACTAAGGATGTAATAATAAAAGGGATGGTCTGTGGCTATAAAGAACAAGGAAAGGATTCTTGTCAAGTAAATTCATGGATCCTTTCCCCATTCTCAGATGGCAGAGTCTGGGTTATTTGCTGCTTCCTCTATTCACACCTAGTTGAGTTAAAGAGATTCATAGAGGGAAACCTGCCATGGCTGCCCTAACTTGGCCTGGTCTGTTCTTTCAAAAGGGAGATTGCACTGCCTGGGGGCACTGCTGGCATGTGGGAAAGTTGGGGTGGGTAATGCTAATAACATATGCTGTACTAATTGAGGTTCTCCTATGTGACGCTCACCATGCCAGTGTGGACATTAACCCTCATTATCTCAGTTAAACCACACCACAACCCCGCAACATAAACATCACACCCCTTGGATGAATGTGAAAGGTGATATCCAAGGACATTACTTCAGGATCCTCCTGTGAGTACCAACTCCCAGACCCATGCTCTTCCCTCGGCACCAAGCTGCCTTCCTGAGGAGGAGGCATTAGAGCTGGGTCTTAGAGAATGAGTATTTGGATTTCTTGGAAAGAGGAAAACAGCATTGTAAGAAGAGGGAATAGCATGTACAGTGGCTCAGAGGTCTGAGGGAACTTCTCATGTTAAGGGACACTTTACACATTTGGAGAAATGAGGCAGCAAATGTGGCTGAGAAGTGGGTTGGAGTCAGAATGTGTATGGCTTGGAGTGCGGTGCCAAGTTTCTAGATTTTGCTCTGGCAGGACTTGGGAGGGAGGCTTGGTGAGCATAATTAGATTTGCCTTTTAGATAAATGACTCCCTGAGCTGTGTGGTGCATAGATAGAAGTCTAAATGCTTGTTTTCATCACCTAGGCTGTGATAAATGGAGTCCTGAGCAGTGCCTGGGGCAGGGAGGCCGGTGAAGGTGTTTTTGAGTTTGACCCATTCATTCTTGTTGACTGACTGCATGTAGGGGTGGGGGTGAGGGAGAGGTTCAGGAGGACCCTGTTTTTCTGACTGAGATGATTGGTCAGCAGAGGAGGTTTGGGAAAGGACACGCAGAATTCTGCTTGAGTTGGAGGGTGTGGGGCTGTCTGAGAGTGGAACTGAAAATATGGAGGGAGCTGGCTATGTAGGTTAGGAGTTGTAGAGAAACTTCAGGCTAAATATGAGGATTTAGTGGGCTGCCATGCAGAGGTTCAAGACGTTTAACAGCCACTATAGTTTGGAAAATGAGAAGCCATCATTTTCTCAGAGCATATTAAAGTTTTCCCATTAACTTTTTAGTTCCCATGCTCACATATTCAGTTGTCATATTCACAGAAATCTGGGTGGTGGGGCCTTTGAGGTGCCAGAGGAAGCCCTATGTGTGCCTGTCTCCTCAACACCTTGTAGTACAGTCAGTCTGCTCTGATATAGATCCTATTCAATTTCTGAAGTTCGTTTCTTTCTCTTTCTCTAGGGAGATTCTGGGGGCCGCTTGGCCTGTGAATATAATGACACATGGGTCCAGGTAGGGATTGTGAGCTGGGGCATCGGCTGTGGTCGCTGAGGGTTGCCTGGAGTTTATACAGAAATTGGTGTCTACAGTAAGTGGCTGATTGCAGTGGTGGATCAGGCTACCTGTTTGTATCCAGCAGTGTTCCTCATCTTAGTCCTGCATTTGGTGCTGCCCCTGGGCATCCTGGTGGCCCAGTGATCACCCCAGCCCACTCCCCTTTTGTTTCTGAGTCTCATACTAGGCCTCTCCTCCAACCTCCCACTCCTTCTCAATGCCGTTTCTGAAAATCCCAGTTGGAATCCACGGGCCCTCTGGAGATCCATACAATAGAGCACAGCAGGGAGACTGGGGCCTGGAAAGTGCCCCTGCCTGGTGCTCTGGTCACCTGCCTCAGCCATGCCTGCACCAGGGCTGTGCTCTGGCTAGTGGGAAGGAGGGGGTGAACTAATTCCAGCTAGAGGACCAGCCTCCCTGCCAGGTGGGCCACAGTGACTCATCAGTATCTGGGGGAACATCTATCAAAGAAGAGACATCATCAACAGTGAAGCAAGTGTTAGATGTGGTTCTGGTTTCAGGGCTCCCACCTAAGACTTTGTGAAACCAGCCAGCTGGGTGATTGCTCAGCGTGAAGGAGGCGTTACCAGGTCCCTGCAGAGGTGTGAGGCCTGGGACTTCCACTCTAGGCTCAGTTGTCTGGGGCTGGGAGAAGTTCCCCTGCAGCCCAGTGTGGATCCATCTGTGAGTGGACAGCCTCTGCCACACTAACTCTCTTGGGGCTACCCATTCTTGGCACCCCCTTCCTCAGTGCCCTAGTGGCCACTTTCAGAGACACTACAAGTTGTATTGAGGCAGTTATGGAGTGCAGAGTTTTCAGAAATCAACTAAATAAATGTTTGGAGAGTCTCCTATGTTCTCCATGTCTACTGGCCTGGTTATTGGGGACACTGAAGACAACTTACCTCACATTAAGCTTAGGAAGATGTTGATGATTCTTTTTAAACTAAAGAGTGAGAGAGGAAGTCTCTGCCTGCCCAGTTGTGAGTTGGATGGATGGTTTTAGACAGTTGGGTTTTGCTGCCTATGCTCTCCATGGCCATCAGCATTTCCGCATGGAGCTTTGTAGCTGAGTTTGCTAGTCATTGCATCTGGGAAGGAGGAAGCGAGAGAAACTGGAAGCAAGAGAGTGGTCAGGGCACTACACCCCAAACTGCAACCTCCATTTTCTGCCTATTTCTGCCCCTCCTTCTCCAAGCCTTGAGCACCAGATCACTTTAATCAGGCTCTATGGAAAACACAGGGCTGAGGGTTAGGGAGATGACAGGTTGGGGTGCTTACTGATTCTGGCTCATTTCCCTCATTACCCTATGGGTCCCAGGGTAGTTCTTTGATATGATGCAGAGCCCATTATTGCTTCCAGTTTCCTTCTTTGTTTATGAAACATTGAAGTTGCCTCCTTTTAGGAGAGGATTAGTGTGTTTTGCCTATGGAAAGAAGGTGCATGTGAATATTTACTTGAATAAAGATTGGTAGAGGCTGGACAGTGGCTCACACCTGTAATCCCAGCACTTTGGGAGGCTGAGGAAGGCAGATTTCTTGAGCCCAGGAGTTCGAGACCAGCCCAGACAACATGGTGAAATCCCGTCTTTTCACTAAAAATACAAAAATTAGCTGGACATGTTGGTGCATGCCTGTAGTCCAAGCTACTCAGGAGGCTGAGGTGGGAGGATTGCTTGAACCTGGGAGGTCGAGGTTGCAGTGAGCCGAGATTGTGCTGCTGCATGCCAGTCTGGGCAACAAAGTAAGACTCTGTTTAAAAAAAAAAAGGGTAGAGACTGGCGGCTAGCTACCGTTCTGATTACTATCAGATTAGGTTTGCATGTTATTGAACCTCATATAAATGGAGCCATATAGCAAATGCTCTTTTGTGTCTGGCTTCTTACCCTCCACATATTTTTTCCACACATTGTTTTTGAGATTCATCCATATTGGACCTAGAATTAACCGATGCAGATAACTATTGGATTTCAAGACCTACTATAAAGGTATGGTAATTAAGACAGAGTTGTATTGGCATAAGGTGTTGTGCTGGAGCCCTGTTGATTCTAATAGGGATGGCACTGTATCCACGAGGCTGAAGAAAAGAGCTGGAGGCAGTGAATGAGACATAGGGTTTATTGGGGGGACTTATATACAGGGGTGGTCCAGTGGCAGTAGGCTGGACAGGAGAACTGCTACTGTTTGTAAGAAACATGCATTTTCACCTAGCACCCACCACCTAGCAACCTCCATCTAATCCAAAACAAAGGGCCTTGATCCCCCTATATGGCCTGTGTTCCAAGGGATGGGCTGGAGGTTCAGATGTTCTTCATAGACAAGGAGGAAATCTCTAGGATGGCCACTCCTGGATTCCTTAGCTCTGGAATTTGAATACACATTCTTCTTAGATGGTAGGGTCATTCTCCAGGTATGCTTAAGTTAAATTATTGCTTTCAGGTGCATCTGCCATACGTATATATATCAATGAAACAGGATAGAGAGTCCAGAAATAGGCCCCCACCCATATGGCCAATTGATTTCAACAAAAGTGCTGAGGTAATTAATTGGGGGAAAGGGTAAGTCTAATAAACGGTGCTGGAATGATGCGATATTCCTATGCAAAAAAAAAAAAAAAAAAAAAAAAAAAAAAAAATGAGCCTTGGTCCTTATCTTGCATTATGTAGAAAAATTAACTGAAAACATATTATAGAACTAAATGTAAAACCTGAATTTATAAAGCTTCTCTAAGAAAGCTTGAAGAAAAATCTTTCTGATCTTTAGTAGGCAAAAATTCTTTAAATAAGATTCAAAAAGTATGTACCACATAAGAAAAGAATGATATATTGGATCTTAACAAAATTAAAATCTTCTGCTCTTAGAAAGACAGTATTAAGAAAATGAAAGTAAAAGCCACAGACCTGAAGAAAATAGCAACAATGTTCACTGTTAAAGAAAAAATTATTCAGTAATATTTATTAAAGCACAGCAAGGAAGACTTTATTGAAGACCATTAAAACAGGTTTAGGGATCACTGCAATAGGGTCTCCCAGGATGAGGAAGAGAGACTGGACTCAACTTTGAATGCAGCGTAGACATGTGGGAATTTATAACCAAAGAGCAGTGTGGGGATCAGTGGATGGAAAATTACTGAGAAGAAACATCAGGGGTGTCTTAGTTCATTTGTGTTGCTTTAACAGAATACCACAGTCTGGGTAATTTATAAAAGAGAATTTATTTTTTACAGTTCTGGAGGCTGGAAAGTCCAGTCTTAAGGTGCTGGCATCTTGTGAGGGCCTTCTTGCTGTGTCATCCTGTGGCAGAAGGCAGAAGGGTGAGAGAGAGAGAGAAAGAGAGAGAGAGAGAGAGATAACTTATAACCTGAAGCCCTTTCATAATCAGCATTAATTCTGTTATAAAATTTGATTATAATGTATTAATTGGTGGAGCCCTCATGACCTAAACACTTCCCATTAGGCCCATCTCCAAACATTTTTGCTTTAGGGATAAAGTTTCCAACACATGAACTTTGGGGGACACAGTGAAACCATAGTAAGGGGTAAGAGGGATCCTGGCTAATCTGACCTAACAGAATTCTTGCTTAAGATAGACCAGAGTGATCAGACATCACCTGGGGGACGGGAGAGGATGAGGAACCTGATCAGATAATGAGGATAATCAGATATCAAGAATGGGAGTTCTGGCTAAATGGACTTAGCAGAATTCTTTTGCTAAAAGTAGATTTTATGAGGAAGTGCACAGACAGACCGAGGAGAAGATTTAGAAGCCTGACTAAAGTTTGGCCAGGCAAATAACTTTTGTCACCATTCAAAGACTTATATATGAATGTTTATCGCATCTGTATTCATAACAGCCAGGATCTGGAAACAATCCTAATGTCAACAGTTGAGTGATAAACAATGAAATACTACTTAGCAATAAAATAATAAACTTTTGTTTATTTAAAAATAAATGAAAAGAAAAAGTAAATAACATTTAAAAAGTAAGAAAAAGAATAAACTATGAATATACAAAATAACATGGATGAAATTTAAAAAACATTATGTTGAGTGAAAGAAATTAGACTCCCTCAATTTAGATTGCAAGTAGTCTTCCAAGTTAGCAGAACAATTGAGGACTTTCCTATTGCAGGTTAGGGACTCTCTCACCACACGTTTGTCCTTGATGACTTCTTTGGTGCAAGTGCTATGTCTTCACTTAATGACCTTTAAGGTTCCTCCTATAGGTCAACAGCATGAGCTTTAAAAGCTGGCTTTACTGGCCGGGAGCGATGGCTCATGCCTGTAATCCCAGAACTTTGGGAGGCCGAGGCAGGCGGATCACAAGGTCAGGAGATCGAGATCATCCTGGCTAACACGGTGAAACCCTGTCTCTACTAAAAACACAAAAATTAGCCAGGTGTGGTGGCTTGCATCTGTAGTCCCAGCTACTCGGGAGGCTGAGGCAGGAGAATCCCTTGAACCTGGGAGGTGGAGGTTGCAGTGAGCCGAGATTGCGCCACTGCACTCCAGCCTGGGTGACAGATTAAAACTCTGTCTCAAAAAAAAAAAAAAAAAAAAAAAAAAGCTAGCTTTACCTTTTACACACACATAAAAAGCTAGCTTTACCTTTCACACATGTTACTTTCCTGCAGGTCACCAGTTGCAAAACAGAAATTTCAGACCATTAAACACTTGGGTCTTGAGTAGCTGGAGGAGTAATGACAAGGAAAGAACGAAGATTCCGAAGTTACCCAACTTCTTTTCTTTCCTACATTTCTATGTGATTGCCTTATCTAAGAAAGTCAGATGTCTCACAGCAAGGGGTATGGGAGGAGAAGGGAGTAGCCAAAGAGATTCTGAGATAACTTCATCACCAGATTGATTAGGAATTTATCAAAATCTGGGCTAACTCTAGACTTTGGTTAGGCATTTTTTTAAAAACAAAAAGAGTGATGTGGAAATTTCAGATCAAGAGACCTAGAAATCAGTCCAAGCATTATTCTATTACCTATTTTTTAAAAGACACAAAATGATATTGTAGGGCCATTAAGGAATATTCACTAAAGAACTTGCTTTCCCACTACAAACAATTAGAAAAAACTGGACAGAATAAAATAAATAACTTCAGATATTAGGACAATAGCCAGTATAGGACTGTGATCCTAGAGAGAAGGAAAACAAGTGAAGTGAATTCTATAATTATATTGGCCTCCTTTGTGGAGGCAATTTTCCGATGGCACAGAGAGGGAAACCCAAATAGGGCACTGATATCACTAAGTGAAGGAGACAGAGATTGGAGTTCAGGAAGGCTAGGTATCTGGAGTTTGCAGATCAGAATACTGTAGAGCAGAGGTTGGCAGACTATGGTTGTGGACCAATTCAAGACATAGTCTTTTTTTTTTACAGGCCTAAGATAAGAATGATTTATACACTTTTAAAAGACTTGTTTTTTAAAAAAGAATATAGCAGAAACTATGTGTGTCCTACAAAGCCTCAAATATTTACTATCTAGCTATGTATAAAGTTTGCCAAACCCTGCTATATAGGATGAAGATACACAGAGAAAGTTACAGAAATCTGCGGAGCACTCCCTTTCAGTCTTTGGCTGAATGTTAATTTGCACATGAATAGGGTAAATTTCCAGATGACTAGGCAAAGAACAAATGCTAGGGAGCCATAAGCTGAGCAATTATCAGAACTTACACAGTACCAGGAGACATTCAAGTTTCATCCAACCAGAGAGGAGGGATCTCATTGAATACTTGGGTGATCAGTAGAGATCCTACAAGATTCATACCTTAATATCAAGGGTAAGGTAGCTGATATGGTTTGGCTCTGTGTCTCCACCCAAAGCTCATCTTGAATTGTAATCCCTGTGTGTCTATGGTGGAACCTGGTAGGAGGTGATTGGATTAAGGTTGGTGGTTTCCCCCATGCTGTTCTCATGATAGTGAGTGAGTTCTCATGAGATCTGATGGCTTCAAAGTGTTTGGCAGTTCCCCATTTGCTTGCTCTCTCTCTTGCCACCACGTAAGCTGTGCATTGCTTCTCCTTTGCCTTCCACCATAATTGTAAGTTTCTTGTGGCCTCCCCAGTCATGTGAAATTGTGAGTCAATTAAACCTCTTTTGTTTGTAAATTACCCAGTTTCAGCTAGTTCTTTTTAGCTGTGTGAAAATGGACTAATACAGAAAATTGGTACTGGAATAGTGGGGTACTGCTCTAAAGATAACCTGAAAATGTGGAAGCAACTTTGGAACTGGGTAATGCACAGAGGTTGGAACAGTTTGGAGGGCTCAGAAGAAGACAGGAAGATGTGGGAAAGTTTGGAACTTCCTAGAGACTTGTTGAATGCTTTTGACCAAAATGTTGATAGTGATATGGACAGTGAGGTCCAGGCTGAAGTGGTCTCAGATGGAGATGAGGAGCTTATTGGGAACTGGAGCAAAGGTCACTCTTGCTATGCTTTAGCAAAGAGACTGGTGGCATTTTGTCCCTGTCCTAGAGAACTCTGGAACTTTGAACTTGAGAGAGATGATTTAGGGTGTCTGGTGGAAGAAATTTCTAAGCAGCAAAGCATCCAAGAGGTGACCTGGCTTTTTCTGAAAGTGTAGAGTCAGCTGTATGCATTCATAGAGAGATGATCTGAAATTAGTACTTAGTTTAGAAGGGAAGCAGAACATAAAACTTTGGAAAATTTGCAGCCTGACCATGTGGCAGAACAGAAAAACCCATTTTCTGGGGAGAAATTCAAGCCAGCTGCAGAAATCCACATAAGTAAGGAGGATCCAAATGGTAATATCCAAGATAATGGGGAAAATGTCTCCAGGCCATGTCAGAGATCTTCATGGCAGCCCCTCCCATCACAGGCCTGGAGGCCTAGGAGGGAAAAATGGTTTTGTGGGCCAGGCCCAGGACCCTGATGCTCTGTGCAGCCTTGAGACATGATGCCTTGTGTCCCAGTTGCTGACACTCCAGCCATGGCTAAAATGGGCCAAGGTACAGCTGAGGCCATTGCTTCAGAGAGTGCAAGCCCCAAGCCTTGGCAGCTTCCACATAGTGTTGGGCCTGTGGGTGTACAAAAGACAAGAGTTGAGGTTTGAGAACCTCCACCTAGATTTCAGAGGATGTATGGCAATTCTTGGATGTCCAGGTGGAAGTCTCCTGCAGGGGCAGAGCCCTCATGGAGAACCTCTGCTAGGGCAGTGCAAAAGGGAAATGTGGGGTTGGAGCCCCCACAAAGAGTCCCCACTGGGGCACTGCCTAGTGGATCTGTGAGAAGAGGGCCACTGTCCTCCAGACCCCAGAATGGTAGATCCACTGAGAGCTTGTACTGTGTACCTGGAAAAGCCATAGGCACTTAATGCCAGCCCATGAAAGCAGCTGCGGGGGCTGTACCCTGCAGATCCACATGGTTGGAGCTGCCCAAGACTTTGGGAGCCTATTCTGCATCAGTGTGCCCTGGATGTGAGACATGAGTCAAAAGAGATTATTTTGGAGCCTTAAGAGTGCCCCGTTGGGTTTCAGACTTGCATGGGGCCTGTAGGCCTTTTGTTTTGGCAAATTTCTCCCATTTGGAATGGGAACATTTACTCAATGCCTGTACCCACATTTTATTTAGGAAGCAACTAACTTGTTTTTGATTTTACAGGCTAATAGATGAAAGGGACTTGCCTTGTCTTAGATGAGACTTTGGACTTGGACTTTTTGGGTTAATGCTGGAATGAATTAAGACTTTGGGGGACTGTTGGGAAGGCATAATTGTTTTTTTATTATTTTATTTTATTTTTTTGAGACACAGTCTCATTCTGTTGCTTAGGCTGGAGTGCAGTGTCATGATCTTGGCTCACTGCAAGCTCCACCTCCTAGATTCAAGTGCTTCTCATGTCTCAGCTTCTCAAGCAGAGTAGCTGGCATTACAGGTGTGTGCCACCACACCCAGTTAATTTTTGTATTTTTAGTAGAGATGAGGTTTCTCCATGTTGGCCAGGCTGGTCTTGAACTCCTGGCCTCAAGCAATCCACCCCCTTTAGCTTCCCAAAGTGCTGGGATTACAGGTGTGAGCCACTGCACCTGGCTCATGATTGGTTTTTAAATGTGAGAAGGACATGAAATTTGAGAGAGGCCAGGGGCAGAATGATATGGTTTGGCTGTGTTCTCACCCAAATCTCATCTCAAATTGTAATCCCCATGTGTCAATGGAGGCATCTGGTGGGAGGTGATTGGATCATGGGAGTGGTTTCCCCCATACTGTTCTTGTGATAGTGAGTGAGTTCTCACAAGATCTGATGGTTTAAAAGTGTTTGACAGTTCCCCGCTCACTCACTTTCTCTCTTGTTGCCATGTAAGCCATGCCTTGCTTCCCCTTTTCCTTCTGCCATGATTGTAAGTTTCCTGAGTCTTCCCCAGCCATGTGGAATGGTGAGTGAATTAAACCTCTTTTGTTTATAAATTACCTGATCTCAGTTAGTTCTTTATAGCAGTGTGAAAACGGACTAATGCAGTAGTCTTAGCATAAAGGCTGCTCTAGACTCATCCTAACAGACTTCAGAATCAACCTCAAATGGATCAAGATGAATTGGAAGTAACTTAGCTGTCTGCCAAATTTCAACATTTCTTAAAGAAAGACAATGTAATTGAAATAGTCAACAATGTAACATTTAACAGTGGTCAGCATTTATTAAAAATTATAGATATGTGAGAAGGCAGGAAATTGTGACCTGTAATTGAGAGGAAAGTTATTTAATAGAAACAGGCACAGAAGTGACAGAGATTATGAAATTTTAGACAAATACTTTAATATATCTATTATTAATATTATAAATTTGACCAAGGATTTAGAAGAAAACATTAACATAATTAGGAGAGACATTCAAGATGTAAAAAGAGCCAAATGGGACCATTTGAGCTGAAAAATACAACATCTGAAATGAAAAATTAACTGGATGGTTTTAGCCATAGATTACACTGCAGAAGAAAATATTAATGAAATTGGAGGCATAGCAATGGAAACTATCCAAACTGAAGTACAGACCAAAAAATTTGAAAAAAATTAGGTATGATAATTTCACCTGGGGGTCTATAGCAAGTAATGTGACATGTGAGAAACTAGAGTACAGAATGACAGAAGAAAATAGTAGGAGCCAAAAATATATATTTGAAGAAATAATAGCTAAAAATTTTCAAATTTGATAAAAGCTAAAAGCCACAGATTCTAGAAGCACAGTGAATCTCAAGCAAGGTAAACACAAAGCCACACTACAGAACATAATAATTGAATTGCTATTTAAAACTCAGTAGTAGAGTTTAAAAGGACATAGACAGAGAAACAAAAATAAGAATGATTACAGACTTCTCTCCAGAAACAATGCAAGTCAGAAGACAGTAGAGTATCAGCAAATGCTGAAAGGAAAAAAAGTGAATGTAGAATTCCATTATTAAGTAAAAGTATCTTTCAAAATTGAAAGTGAAATAAAAACTTTTATAAACAAAAGCTGAGTGAATACCTTCCTGGACTTCATGCAATGTTAAGGAAGTTCTTCAGGGTGAACAGAAATGATACCAGGTGGAAATTTGTATCTGTACAAAGAAATGAAGTGGACCAGAAATGATAGCTTTGTTAGTAAATATTAAAGCCTTTGTTTTAAAATTTCTTTTTTATTATTTTTTGAGATTGTCTTGCTCTGTTGCTCAGGCTGGAGTGCAGTGGCATGATTATGGCTCACTGCAACCTCGACCTCCCCAGGCTCAGGTGATCCTCCCACCTCAGCCTCCCACATAGCTGGAACTACAGGCACACACCACCATGCCCATCTAATTTGTTTAAAAAATTCTTTAGGCCGGGCGTGGTGGCTCACACCTGTAATCCCAGCACTTTGGGAGGCCAAAGTGGGTGGATCACGAGGTCAGGAGATCGAGACCACGGTGAAACCCTGTCTCTACTAAAAATACAAAAAATTAGCTGGGCGTAGTGGCGGGCGCCTGTAGTCCCAGCTACTCGGTAGGCTGAGGCAGGAGAATGGCGTGAACCCGGGAGGCGGAGCTTGCAGTGAGCCGAGATTGTGCCACTGCACTCCAGCCTGGGCGACAGAGCAAGACTCCGTCTCAAAAAAAAAAAAAAAATTCTTTAGAAAATTACATCAAATGCGAAGTGGTATAATATTGTTTAGCCCGTTTTCATGCTGCTGATAAAGACTTACCTGAGATTGGGCAATTTACAAAAGAAAGAGGTTTAATTGGACTTACAGTTCCATGTGGCTGGGGAAGCCTCACAATCATGGCAGAAGGCAAGGAGGAGCAATTCATATCTTACATGGATGGCAGAAGGCAAAGAGAGAGTTTGTGCAGAGAAACTCCAATTTTTAAAAACCATCGGATCTCATGAGACCCATTCACTATCACGAGAACAGCACAGGAAAGACCCACCATATGATTCAATCATCTCCCATCGGGTCTCTCCCACAACACGTGGGAATTATGGGAGCTACAAGATGAGATTTGGGTGGGGACACAGAGCCAAGTCATATCAATATTTGAAGGTAAGCTGTAATAATTTAAAGACATACTGAAAACACTCAAGCAACCACTAAAAAATAAAAAAAAATATATATATATAATAAGGCAGTTTAGGATACTAAATGAATTAAAACAAACAAACAAACAAACAAACAAAGAGTTAATCCAAGATTTGGCAGGAAAAGAGAAAAGATGGGATAGAGAACAAATGGAATAGAGAAGAAATAGCAAGATGGTAAACTTAAACTCAACCACATAAATAATTACATTAAGTGTAAAGAAGCTGAGTAATCCATTTAAAAGACACATTTTTAGATGGAAAAAGAAAGACCCAACAATATGCTGTCTACAGGAAATGCCCTTTTTTTAATTTTTTTTTGAGACAGAATCTTTCTGTTGCCCAGGCTGGAGTGCAGTGGTGCAATTATGGCTCACTGCAGCCTCAACCTCTTAGGCTCAAGTGATCTTCTCACCTCAGCCTCCTGAGTACCGGAGACCACGGGCAAGTGCCACCACACCTGGCTAATTTTTAAATTTTTGTAGTGATGAGATTGTACCATGTGGTCCAGGATGGTCTTGAACTCCTGGGCTCAAGTGCTCCTCTTGCCTTGGCCTCCTCAAGTTGGATTTACAGGTGTTAGCCACTGTGCCTGGCAGGAAATGCGCTTTAAATATAAGGCATAATTAGATTAAAAGTAAGAGGAAGAAAAATGATATACTATGCAAATACTAATAATGAGAAAGATGTAAGGCTATATTAATATTAGAAAAGTAGACGTCAGGGAAAGGAAGATAGCCATACACAAAGAGGGACATTTCATAATGATAAAATGTGTAATTCACCAAGAACACTTAATAATCCTAATTACAGAGTTTCAACAAAAGCAATAAAGCAAAAATGGACAGAACTGCAAAGAAAAATAGACAAATCTATAATTATAATAGGGGATTTCAACACTCCTCTCTTAATAATAGATAGAACAAGTAGACCAAAAAATCAGTAAGGATGTTGAAGACTTGAGTAGCACTATTAAACAATTTGACTTCGTTGACATGTATAGAATACTTCATCTAACAACTGCAGAACAGATTCTTTTCAAGTGCACACGTAATATTTCTCAAGAAAGATCATGTCCTGAGCCATAAAACATGTCTTAATAAATGTGAAATGACTGAAATCATTAATAGTATGTTTTCTGATGAGAATGGAATAAAAAAGTAACAAATAGATATCTTGAAAAATCCCCAAATATGTGAAAATTAAAGAATACTCTTCCAAATAACCTATGTATCAAAGATAAATCACAAGGGAAATTAGAAAATATTTTGAACTGAGTTATAATGAAAACATAAAATATCGAATTTTGTGGGATGTAGCTAAAGCAATGCTTAAGATATAAATTTATGACTTCAAATGCCTATGAAAAAAGAAGAAAGATTTTAAGTTCATTATCCAAACTTCCACTTTAGGAAGCTAGAAAAAGAAAATTATTCTCAAATGAAAAAGAGGAAGGAAATAAAGACTGAAATGAAAATCAATGAAACAGTAAATGGATAACAAATAGAGAAGCTCTCAAACATTTTGGTCTCATGATCACCTTACACTCTCAAAAATTATTGAGAATCCTAGAATCTGGTTGATGTGTTATATATCTACCAATGTTTACTGCTTTAGAAATTAAAACAGAAATTAAAAAATTATTTTATTATTTATTTAAGAATAAAAATAAACTCATACATGTAAACATGAATGACGGACTTTTATGAAAAAACTATATTTCCCAGAAGAAAAAAATTAGTGAAAAGAATGGTATTACTTTTTAGTTTTTCAAATTTCCTTAATGTCAGGCTTAATGTCTCTTCTGCATTGTTTATTGTTTTGATTGAAGTTTATGAAGAAAACCTAGCCTCATACAGATACACAGTTGGAAGTGAAGGGCTAGTTTAATAGCCTTTTCAAGTAATTGTGCCTTTTCAAATTACTGTTTACACTCTGCCAGAACTTGACAAGTGGTAGATTTTTGTAATGTAGAATATAAAACTGAACTTTTGTACTCATTACGTTAAAATCAGTTGGCCCTTCACTGTGAATGGGCCTTTCACCCATGCATAACTTTGTAAAATCATTGGAAAATATTGGTTTACTTAGTTATGCAGATTTTCCAAAAGTTGACACATTTCATTATACAGTACTGTACAATATCAAAAAAGAATTGCCTTCACTCATATCACCACCAGTGTCATCAGAAAAGTCTTTAATTATTGGAAAGCTGTTGTGTTCATGGTAGCACATACACATTTTCCAAAATTCAAATTTTCACTTGAAAGCTCAAATTTTAATATTGGCAACAAATACTTTCAGTCATTTTTCTTAAAGTCACAGATTCTAACTTAGTTTATTTTTGAGAAAAAGCCTGCCAAATACTTAGGTCAAAATAACAATAGTTCTATTGCGATTCATTCTTTGAAAGTAAAAATGATGTCCCATGATAAAACCAGCTAGTTCAGTTCACAACTCAAACAACTGCACATGTGTTTTCTTGAGTCAGCATCATACTTCTGTGTACAGCAGCAGTGCTTTATGCATACTTGCCATTTCATCACACAAAATAATTAAATGCATGTGCATTAAAAGATCAATACTTAATAAATTAGTAATTTTTACAAAGATTATTTATAAGATATACATATATGTATTTTTTTATAATATGTATGAACCCCAGTAAGGATGAGATATTGGCCCTCCAGGGTAGAAGGGGGTTGATATAATCATCTTCCTACCAAATATCTAGTTGGTTTCCTTCAGGAATGTAGCACATCAAAGGCTTGGCATTGCTTTCTGATGCTGACAGATTAGACATTCAGAGCAGTAGTAGCTAGATCACCTTTGTTCAGAGGAAACTGGTGCTGTTTTATTGGGTGAATGAATAGCCTCCAATCCTGCCAACACAATTATACTCTTTTCCTGAGCACAGTGTGTAGTGCAGAGGTTGACAAGGACAGGAGCTAGCTGACCTCTACTGGAGGAGTCATCCTATCCACTTGGTTGTTGAGTACTTCCTCTTCAGCGGATACCCATTGGTGGGCATTGGTATGAGATTTTAAAAAGCCACACATATTATATCCACTCCTATAGGTCTAGCCATGTGCTTCTTCCCCAGATGTTTGAATTTTGCTCTAAGGCCCAACCAACCAGACAAGCCATTCATCACTGCTTGAGGGTCCATATGTATTCTTACTCAGGCCACTTCTCCCTTTACAACAAGCTGATGACCAGGTGTACTGTGTGAAGCTCTACATACAGGATTTCCCCTCACCACTGTCTTTTAGGGCCACTCATGAATGGGGGATTGTGACGGTTGATACTGAGTGTCAACTTCATTGGACTGAAGGATGTAAAGTATTGATCCTGGGTGTGTCTGTGAGGGTGTTGCCAAAGGAGATTAACATTTGAGTCAGTGGGCTGGGAAAGGCAGACTCACCCTTAATCTGGGTGGGCACCATTTAATCAGCTGCCAGGACAGCTATAATATAAAGCAGGCAGAAAACATGAAAAGACTAGTCTGGCCTAGCCTCCCAGCCCACATCTTTCTCTTGTGCTGGATGCTTCCTGCCCTCGAACATCAGACTCCAAGTTCTTCAGTTTTAGGACTTGGACTGGCTTTTCTTGCTCCTCAGCTTGCAGATGGCCTATTGTGGGACCTTGTGATCGTGTGAGTTAATACTTAACAAACTCTCATATATATATGTATGTATGTATATATATGTCTCCTGTCTATAGAACCCTGACTAATACAGATTTTGATACCAGGAGTGGTTCTAAAGGAACAGAATATTAAGGATGGAGTTCTTTCATTGGTTTTGGGGTTTCTGGAGTTGGCTGCTTAATATGATTAGTCCCAAAAATGCGGACTCTACTTCTAAATTTTTTTTTTTTTTTTTTTTTGAGATGGCGTCTCACCCTGTTGCGCAGGCTGGAGTGCAGTGGTGCGATCTCGGCTCACTGCAACCTCCGCCTCCCGAGTTCAAGCGATTCTCCTGCCCCAGCCTCCGGAGTAGCTGGGATTACAGGCACGGGCCACCACACCCGGCTAATTTTTAAAATATTTTTAGTAGAAACGGGGTTTCACCATCTTGGTCAGGCTGGTTTTGAACTCCGACCTCGTGATCCGCCCGCCTTGGCCTCCCAAAGTGCTGGGATTACAAGCGTGAGCTACCATGCCCAGCAGGACTCTACTAATAGTATGGAGAACATGATAGTCCTCAGCATGAACTGTTTAGAGAGTTATGCAAAATAAATGCATTTGACACTCCTGATTCACCGCTCATGAAAGGCAAGGACTTTAGTGACTCTATACATAATACCTTTGACCATATGTGGAGAGCCAAGGAACGTAATGAAGCTGGTTGTTTGCTCTTAAGTTCAGTGGACAAAGTGATGAAAGAAAATGATGAACTCAGGGATTCTAACACCCAGTTTCAGAAGCAGATACTGAGCCTCAAATCTGCCAAGATTGCCCTGAGTGAGAGTCTTATCTCCTGTAGAGAAAGAGCTGAAATTGTGGAAAAACAGACATAAGCGCTTATCATGCGAGTGGCTGACCTGCAACAAAAGATGCACGCACAGCCACCTGAGGTGTGTACTGCTAAAGTGAGGGCATTGATTGGAAAAGAATGGGACCCTGCAACTTGGAATGGGGACTTGTGAGAGGACCCTGATGAAGCTGGGGACACTGAATTTGTAAACTCTGCTGAACCTTTTTGGCTAGAAGAAAAGCTTTCCCATCCCCAGTAGTGACAACATCCCCTCCCTGACCCATGCTGCCATCAGCCTTTCTACCTTTGTCTAAGGAGATAAACCCTGTGCTGCCTGAGGCAAAAGTGATGGCCTCTTCTGAGGCAGTTGCCAGACAATGTAATGTTGATTCTCCTCTGGAGCCACCCCCAACACCCCCATTTGCTTCTAGACCTGTAACTAGACTAAAGTACTGGTGGGCCCTTAGAGGTGAGGTTGAGAGTGTGACCCATGAGAAGGTGCACTACACTTGAAAATAACTACTTGAGTTTTCTCATTTGTATAAGTAGAAATCTGGAGAATAGGCATGGGAATGGATATTAAGGGTATGGGATAATGGTGGAAGGAACATAGAGTTGGGTCAGGCTGAATTTATTGCTTCAGGCCCACTAAGTAGGGACTCTGCATTTAATGTTGCAGCTCAGTGAGTTAAAATAAGGTTCTAATAGTTTATTTGCTTGGTTAGCTGAAATACGCATTAAAAGATGGCCCACTGTGAGGGAGCTGGAAATGCCTGATCTCCCTTGGTTTAATATAGAAGAAGGCATCCAAAGGCTTAGGGAGATTGAGATGGTGGAGTGGATTAGTCACTTTAGATCTACTCATCCCAGCTGAGAGGGTCCAGAAGATATACCCTTGATCACTGCCTTGTGAAATAGGTTTGTGAGGGCAGTACCTGCATCTTTGAAGGGTCCTGTAATTGTTCTTCTCTGTATTTCAGATCTAACAGTGGGAACTGCAGTCACTAAACTACAAAATTTAAATACATTGGGAATAATTGGATCCCAAGGTGGCAGGGGCCAAGTGGTGGCACTCAACCATCAAAGGCAAGGTGGGCATAGCTACTGTAATGGGCAGCAGAGGCAAAGCAGCAATCAGAATAGTCTGACTCGTGTAGAGCTCTGGCATTGGGTAATTAATCAAGGTGTTTCTAGAAATGAAATTGATAGGAAGCCCACTGCATTCCTACTTAATTTATATAAGCAGAAAACTTCTAGATCGGATGGACAACAGACTAATTTGAATTATAAACATAGAGAATCACGGCTCCTCAGTCAATTTCCAAACTTGAGCCAGTTTACAGACCTAGAACCTCTTGAATGAAGGGGAGGCTGGGTCCCCTTGAGGAAGGACCCCATTACACTACCGACAACTTATGCTGTTAATATTTCTCCCATCCTTCCCCAAGGAGACCTATGGCCTTTTACCAGGGTAACTGTGCACTGGGGAAAGGGAAATGGTCAGATATTTTGGGGACTACTGGACACTGGTTCTGAGCTGACATTGATTCCAGGGTACCCAAAATGTCACTGTGGTCTTCCAGTTAAAGTAGGGACTTATGGAGGTCAGGTAATTAATAGAGTTTTAGCTCAGGTCTGACCTCGGTCCAGTGGGTCCCTGGACTCGTCCTGTGGTCATTTCCCCAGTGCCAGAATGCATAATTGGCATATACATACTTAGCAGCTGGCAGAACTCCCACATTGGCTCCCTGACTGGTAGGGTGAGGGCTATTATGGTGGGAAAGGCCAAATAGAAGCCCTTAGAGCTGCCTCTATGTAGAAAAATAGTAAATCAAAAATAATATTGCATCCCGGGAGGGATTACAGAGATCAGTGCCACCATCAAGGACTTGAAGATGCAGGGGTGGTGATTCCCACCACATCCCTGTTCAACTCTCCCATTCGGCCTGTGCAGAAGGCAGATGGATCTAGGAGAATGACAGTGGATTATCATAAGTTTAACCAAGTGGTGACTCCAATTGCAGCTGCTGTACCAGTTTTTCTAGTCCTAGATGGAAATAAATTTCATCTGCCTCAGGTTTCTGGTATAAAAGGTGCAATCCCAGTTACCTCACAGGCCTGGGTGAGGAAAATGCCAAGAGCTGTAAAAGGGCTTGGAAAAGTAAAAAAGGTGATGTATAAATGTAATGATTATCATTTTGTGCTCAAGAATAAGCCTTGGAACACAAAATAGGAAAGTAAGTCTACAGCCCTAAAATATATGCATATAAAACTTTAAAATAATGCAGTTCCAACTCTACAGATGGTATCTGGGGATTGTCTACTGCTTTAGAGTCTCAATGCCCCTTTTCTCACGTGGGTGTTGATTTCCAAAAAGGTAGCAGTGTCGTCTCTAATGTGGGTGTTGATTTTCAAAAAGGTAGCAGTATCGTCTCTAACGCAGTGGTTAGTAATGTTAAGTGCAACATGCACGTTAAAGAGTTTTAATTTTTATTGCAAACAAGTAAGGGAAGGAGACTCTAAAGCCCTGGCTGGAGGAAGCTCTGCCGTAGAGTAGTGGTCGCATTTTTGTGTGAACAAAGGGCTAGACAGCTGCCACTCTGAGGCGAGGGCCCTAGGCCAGGAGACGCTGAGTGCCTGGGAGGCTCCCGATGAGGTGGAGGGCCCTGAGTCCACGGAGAGCTGCGAAGAGAGAGAGGACTCATCTGAGTCAGGACTGCACGGCGCGACCCCGCCCAGGCCCCGCCCCTCGGACGGCCTGGTGGCCCCGCCCCGCCCCCTCGTCCCTCCCGGGCGCTCCAAGTTGCCGCCAGAACCCATGGCCGGCGTGGAAACCGCTGCGAGGCGGCGCCACGACGGAGGCTGAGGTCGCCGGCAGTATCCATGGCGTCCCAGAGCGGCAGCTCCCTGGGGCTCCTGGCCTGGTTCTTGCTTCTTCAGCCATGGCTCGAAGAGGCCCGGGCAGGCAGGGTGGGTGCGCAGGGAGGCGTAGCACTGCTCTTCCCCTCCGCGCTCCCCTCAGGGCCAGGCGGCCAGGACCCCGGAGCGAGCGGATGGGAGCCGCCACCTGTAGGGGCTCCAGGATCCCCAGCGGCCCCCCAGTCCAGGGGGAACGCAGTGCGCCCCGCTTCGGTGTTACTTCCCTCAGGTGAGTCTGATTCTTACCAGGCTCTGGCAATCCCACACACACTATCATCAACATGGACCAAAGGGACAGTAGCATTAAACGTCAGGTGACGCTTCTGGGCCATGCCCAGCCGCAGAGAACTGGCCTGGTTTGAGGGGGAGGGGACCTGCCCTAGAGGAGGAGGGGCTCAGGGGACACGATCTGTCCAGGGGCGGGGCGGCTCCCTGAGACCTGGGAGGACACAGCCATTTTCCGAAGAGCCTCAGGGGATGCAGGCCTTGCTTTGAGGGTTCCGAGGCGCATTTGGCTCTGGTGAAGGTGCTGCAGCAGCGTTACTCTTAGTCCCTTCCTTTCATTGACCTGCCCCAGCCTGTGGCCAGCGGACTTCAAGGATAACTGGAGGATTGCCGGCTCCAGACAGGAAGTGGCCCTGGCAGGTGAGCCTGCAGACCAGCAACAGACACATCTGCGGAGGCTCCCTTATCGCCAGACACTGGGTACTCACTGCCGCTCACTGCATCTCTGGGTGAGGGTTTGGGGCTCAGAGCTTGGGCCCTGATCAGGCTGTGGGACCTGGAGCCAGTCTGTCCCCCTCCCTGAACTTCCTCTTCCTCATCTGTAAAAGGGGGTGACAGCCCCATAGTTTTTATCCAGTCTGGGTGAGACCTGAGGATTTGCATTTCTAACAAGTTTCTGGGTGTTGCCTCCGCCGCTGATCTGGGGACTACTGGCTAAAGTGGTCAGGGGTCCTGGAGGGATGTGGCTTGGAGAGAGGGAGGTAGCTGCTGGCTGGCATAGGAAGATGGTACCAGGCGGGAAGCACCTCGAAGGTGTGGAAGCAGAGTGTAGACCCTGGAGGATCTTCCTGCAGCCATCTGGAATACACAGTGAAGCTGGGAGACACAAATGTGCATCATCGCTCCAAAACAGCACTTGTGGTCCCAGTTCGTGACGTCGTTATCCACCGATATTTTACGTCTCCTGGAATAATTGAAAATGACATTGCCCTTGCCCTGCTTGACTTCCCTGTGAATTACTCCACGCACATCCAGCTTGTGTGCCTCCCTGAACAGGCTTTCATGGTGCAAGCTGGTACGAACTGCTGGGTGACCGGATGGGGCAAAGTAAATGAAACAGGTGAGACTATGAAGCAAGACTACAGCAGCCCCAGACCAGGGAAAATGTTGCTCGGTGCCCTGGGGTTGATCTACAAGCTAAAGGGAGGGACAGAGAGGCAGATTTTTTTAGTAAGTCAGGGAGGAGGGTGCAGTAGATGCTGCCTGGGAATAATTTTAACAACTGGTCTATGAAATTCTTTTGGTTTGTCAGGACCTGGGGATTTGGGTGCCAGGCATGGAGGGTTCTCTCTAGGGTGGATTTTACCTCTGGGGGCGATGAGCTAGCTGTCTGCCCTTTTAAGCTGTCCCTCCCTGGAAGTACCTGCCTTGGTAGATAGGAAGCTTCCTGTGTGTGAGAAGAGGCCAGAGACCTTTCAGAGAGGTGTAGGGCCTCCTATCCTTGGGGAGAGGCTGGATTTGGTACCTTTGGGGCATTACCTGTCTGACAGTCTGTGATCCTGCTCTAGAAAGTATAGATGCTTTACTGATGTACAGGATACTGTGTCACTATTAGTACTACTATTCAAAGTGACAGATGCTTGGTTTTGGTTTCTCAGGGTGGTAACGCCTTGCCTTCCCTTTCCTGTCTGTTCTTATTTCCCCTGTTTTGGTTTGGATCTTATGTCCTTATCTCCCCATGTCAACATTGGGCCTCATATCTTCCTTTGTCAAATGGGACAATATCCAATGCCTAAGAGCGTGTCTGTGTGTGAACACATGGTATTGAGACCCAGAGTGGGTATGGGGTTCTCCTGTCCTGTCCCACTTATACACACCCACTCAGTTGTAAATTGTCTCTCTGTAGATTCATCAGAAAAGATAGTAACTGAGCCTCAGGAGGCTGAGCTAAGCATTATTCTTCATGATAAATGTAATGAGGTGCTCAAGGAAAAGATAAGAATGAGGAGTGAAATGGTCAAGAAAGGGACCATCTGTGGCTATAATGACCAAGGGAAGGATGCCTGTCAGGTCAGCTCATGGGCCTCTTGCTGCCTCAGCATTGCAGTTGTCTCCTCAAAGCTTCCTCATCCCCAACCAGTAGGGACTGGGTTATCTCCTAGCCCCTCCGTTTACCCTTATTCATGGTAATGGGACGTGAGGACAAGCCACCAAGGCTCTCCTGGGCAGCCTACCTGATCCTTCAAAAGAGAGCAGCTGACACAGCCTGGAGTGG
Source organism: Homo sapiens (assembly GCF_000001405.40). Classification (NCBI taxonomy): domain Eukaryota; kingdom Metazoa; phylum Chordata; class Mammalia; order Primates; family Hominidae; genus Homo; species Homo sapiens. The sequence continues at coordinate 46,809,950 of NC_000003.12, read as the reverse complement.
GAGGAGGGGTGAATCAGGCAGGTCCCACCAACAATACATGCTCCATGTTTTGGGACCCTTCTGTGTGACAGGCAGTGTACTCAGGTTAGCACTTGACTCATTATTGTCTCAGAGTAGGCACAATTTCATTAGGTATATTCCGTTTTTTGGAACACGCCTTTTTAGTAGGTACATGATTTTGGTTTATTGGAAATTGTCAATTCTCAGATCTCATATTGACAGATACCTAAGGCTAGGAGGGTCTTAGGGGTTCCTGGGGAAGCCCCCTTAGTGCTTAGCTCTGTAGCGCATTGCAGTGCAATTAGCCTGCTCTGATGTGGATCCTATTTCTTTCCTACAGTGACTGTCTTTCTTTTTCCAGGGAGATTCTGGGGGGCCCCTGGTCTGTGAATTAAATGGCACATGGGTCCAGGTGGGGATTGTGAGCTGGGGCATTGGCTGCGGTCGCAAAGGATACCCTGGAGTTTACACAGAAGTTAGTTTCTACAAGAAATGGATTATTGATCACCTGAGACAAGCTTCCTGTTTGAATTCAAAGACTTCCTCATCCTAGTCCTGTGTCTGGTGATGCCCCTGGGCATCCTGGTGACCCTGTGATCAGACCCCATTCCACTCTTCTGCTGTTTCTGAGTCTCACACTTAGGTGTCTCCTCTGACCAACTTCCCACTCCTTCTCAATGCCCTTTCCACAAATGCCAGTTGGAATCCACGGGCCCTCTGGAGATCCGTACAATAGAGCATGGCAGGGAGACTGGGGCCTGGAAAGTGCCCCTGCCTGGTGCTCTGGTCACTTGCCTCAGCCATGCCTGCACCAGGGCTGTGCTCTGGCTGGTGGGAAGGAGGGAGTGAACCGATTCCAGCTAGAGGGCCAGCCTCCCTGCCAAGTGGGCCACGGTGACTCATCAATATCTGGAGGAACATCTATCAAAGAAGAGACATCATCAATGGTGAAGGAAGCGTTAGACGTGGTTCTGGTTTCAGGGCTCTCACCTGAGACTTTGTGAAACCAGCCAGCTGGGTGATTGCTCACAGAGAGAGAAGGAGGCGTTACCAGGTCCCTGCAGACGTGTGAGGCCTGGGACTTCCACTCTGGCTCAGTAGTCTGGGGCTGGGAGAAGTTCCCCTGCAGCCCAGTGTGGATCCATCTGTGAGTGGACAGCCTCTGCCACACCAGCTCTCTTGGGGCAACCCATTCTTGCACCTCTTTCCTCAGTGCCCTGGTGGCCACTTTCAGGGACACTACAAATTGTATTGAGTCTGTTATGGGGTGTGGAGTTTTCGGAAATCAACTAAATAAATATTTGGGGAGTCTCCTGTGTTTCTGAAGCTCTGCTCACTGGGGTGTGAGGTTGTATATAACATACTCTGTAAAGAATTGGCTTCCCATTTATTAGGAAGATATTCATGGTTTTTATTAAACTCTGGCAGAGCCAGGGATGAGGAGCTTGTCTGCCTTCATTTAAGTCTGACAGGTGGCTTTACCCAGTGGGTCCTGCTGCCTGTTTTTTTTTTTTTTTCCATCAGCATCTCTGTAGCTGGGAGTGTGGTACTTGAGTTTAACAAACCCTGCATCAGGAGTGGGGCATCAAGAGGGACAGAGACTGGGGTGTAGCACACTCAGACACCTTCCTGCTTCTCCTTGCTGCTCTATAACAAGTGTGCCTTGAGGAGACAAAATGGACTATGGGCTGGTCCTTGAGCCCAGAGAGCTGAGTACCCACAGGGAGGAGGGTGGGAAGGAAGAGCTCATTCTCTCTTTGTATGTGTATGTGTGTGTGTGTTTGTGTGTGCATGCAGGAGAGAGAGAAAGAGGGGAGGGGGAGAGAGAGAGAGAGAAAAAAAAAACCTGCTGCCTGAGGGAGCTGGGGCTCAGTGAGCGAAAACACTCTGCTTTTCAAACTCTACATGGTTACAGCTAAACCCAGCAAGTCCTAGGTCATGACCTACAGAAATGCCCATGAAGAAAAGTTGGATGCCCAAGACTTGCCACATATTTCTGTTACTTGCAGCTTTCTTTCAGAACAGACTGACTGACCCTTTTCCATGTTCCATCTGCGGGGAATGCCAGTATGGCTTCTCATTTCCTTCTTTCTTCTTCCTCATCAGTTCAGCCCCAGTAAAAGCATTCCCCCTTTCCACAGACCACTCCTGTGGACTCTGCTGGGCTGTGTAATGTAATGTGCCTTCTTCTGGGCTCCCTGGACTCTGCAGTCTCTGTGCCTGTTAATTTCTCTGTTTCCACTGGTTGACATTTTGTTCCTCATGGCCATGGGACTCTGTCTAATCTTTCCTTATCTTCCATCCTCCACCTCCAGGTGTGGAACAGAGCAGGAGTTTAGGAACTATTTGGTGAGTGAGTGAGTGATAATAGATAATTAGATGCTCATATATAGATAATTAGGTGCTCATATATCCTCTATTGCCTTACTTTTTTCTCTCTCTGCCCTTTCACCTCATTGCTTTGTCCTCCTTTTGCTTTCCAGGTTGCCTTCGTGAAGGGGGGAAAAAACACAACTGGGTAGGCAAGGGTTACAGCCCCTGCAGTGGGGAAAGTCCCAGGCTCCAGGAAGTTTATGGTTCTGGATGGGGTGCCCTTTGGTCTGCCAATATTAGAGCATGTTTCTTGTTATAGGAGAATAGAAATTCCATTCAAGCATCTTGGCTACTGAGGAATAGCCTCTGGCTACCAGAAAAGATGGGCATGGCCCCCCAGGGAACAAAACATCAAGTGCCAAGTAAACGTTAGTCGATTTTACTCTTTCCAACAAAAATTTTGAATTATCTTTTATGAATGAGGCACTGGCCTTCATCCACAGATAAGATGTAGATGGCAGTTGGGGGATAGAGGTGGTCATTAGGAGGACTCCTAGGTAAGGAGCTTGGTGGCTAGGTAGAACCTGAAAGAGATAGATGACACAGGGAGAGGAGTTGTTGACTGGCAGGCAATCAGTTTTACTAAAAATGCCAGACTTGAACAAAAAGGAAATAAAAACAAACAACAAAATTCCCTATGGGTTTCTAGTCATAAGGGGCAAGTGACATAGGGCGCAATAAGCATTTTTAGTGGTCTTGAAATACCATTTGCCGGCTAGGCACGGTGGCTCATGCCTGTAATCCCAGCACTTTGGGAAGCTGAGGTGGGTGGATCACCTGAGGTCAGGAGTTTGAGACCAACCTGGCCAACATGGTGAAACCCCGTCTCTACTAAAAATACAAAAAAATTAGCCAGGCGTGGTGGAAGGTGCCTGTAATTCCAGCTACTTGGGAGGCTGAGGCATGAGAATCGCTTGAACCTGGGAGGCAGAGGTTGTAGTGAGCCGAGACCGCTCCATTGCACTCCAGCCTGGGCCACAAGAACAAAATTCCATCCCCCCCCAAACAACAACAACAACAACAACAACAACAACAACAACAACAACAACAAGAAATACTGTTTGCCACCAAAAGAAACCAGGGCTTCTTGGAGAAATGGCTTGAAAAATTTACAGGTATGAAACAGGAAATATATAAAATAAGCCTGAAATTTCTTGTCATACCAGATAGCAAGGAAGCTATCATGTCAACAGGACTCAGAACCAATCAGAAGAGGCACCCTGTGTTCTGACATGTGGTGTTCCTGCTAGATCCCATTGCAGAGAAATCACAGCCATCCCTCAGCTTCTGAAGATACTGATTCACAGCTGCACCCCTCACAAAATGGGCACTCAGCCTCAGGGAACTGATTCCCTCAAGATTAAGTCTCTTCACAGGGGTATCCCATAGCAAATAATTGCTATGCAGAGATATAAAGGCCCAGTCTTCTTCCCTCAATTTGGGACAACTTGGAAAGGCCTCTTGTAGGATCAGCTGAGATGTCAGTTGCAACTGCCTTCTGTGAGCAGCTTCTCCTATGAGCACTCCTCAACAAACCGTTGGACAGAATTCTCTCTCAGAGCCTATGTTCAGGGAACCCAATCTAAGTTACCCTGCCTGGCAAAAGATGTCTTTGTGTGTTTCAGGATTCTATTGCTGTGTAACAATCACCCCAAACTCAGTGGCCTAAAACAACACATTGTATTATGGTCAATTCTCATTGTTCAAGCATTCGTACTTGCAAATTCACCTACTTGCTGAAATTTATTTTAACCCCCAAATCAGTACTCAGAGTGATTTTTGGACATGCCCAGGGCATGGAAAAATTTGAGTTTTCTGATGCCTAAGTTCCTAGCTGAGGCTGTACAATGTGCTATTTTGTCTGCTTTCATCTCTCTTACTGTAAACAAGTATCTTTTTTGTCATCTCTTAACTGTCACTTTTAAAAAAACATTTTTGTGCTTGTTGTTGGTGATTTTGCTGTTTAAAAGGGCCCTGGGGCCAGGTGCGGTGGCTCACGCCTGTAATCCCAGCACTTTGAGAAGCCAAGGCGGGCAGATCATAAGGTCAGGAGTTCGAGACCAGCCTGGCCAACATGGTGAAACCCGGTCTCTACTAAAAATACAAAAATTAGCTGGGCATGGTGGCGCATGCCTGTAATCCTAGCTACTCAGGAGGCTGAGGCAGGAGAATTGCTTGAACCTGGGAGGCAGAGGTTACAGTGAGCTGTGATCATGCCACTACACTCCAGCCTGGGTGACGGAGCAAGACTCCATCTCAAAATAAATAAATAAAAGGACCCCAAGAGTACTGCTGAAATGCTGGTTAGTGCTCCTAAGTGCAATAAGGCTGTGATGTGCCTTATGGAGGAAAAATAGGCGTGTTAGATAAGCTTTCCTTAGGCATGCATAGTTCTGTTGCCTGGGAGTTCAACCAGTCGAGTGTGCTAAAGGAGATGTCTTTAAAGGAACATACATAAAACAAGGTTATATGTTGACTGGTTGATGAGTCTATTTTGACTAGAGGCTCACAGGAATCTAACCCTACATTTCCTCTAGGAGCAATGATTCAGTATTCACGCATTCAGTCCTCATGATGACTTTATAAAACATAACTTCTGTGAATAATGAGATTCAATTGTATTCCTCATAATTTTGTAGAATAGTTGGCAGTTCTGCTGGTCTAGTCTGAGCTAATTCCTGTAGTTACACTTCAAGCATGGTGGGGATGTCCCAAGATGCTCTTGCTCAAATGGTGAGTGGTTATATGGGAATATAGGTAGGGGTGCCCTAACTTTTCCTCCAAAGGCCTTTCATCCTCCTGTAGATTAGATCAGGTGGACTCAGGACAGTGCTCCAAGTGGGTGAAAGCAGAAATTGCCAGGCCTCTTTATGCCTAGATTCAGAAGTTGTAAAACTTAATTTCTACCACATTCTGTTGGTCAGAGCATGTCACAAGGCCAGTTCAGTTTAAATGAGGATGGAGAACTAAATTTCATTTCTTGATGGGAGAATATGCAAAATATTGTGTCCATATTTTCTAATCTACCACAGTAAGCATAACAATTACAATGCATAAAAACTCATAAAATATGTTAAAATCCAAAATCTTCATAAAACTTTTCCACCTCAAAAAGAGAAATGATACCATTAGATTACTATTTTTCAACCTTCAGTGAATTAGTAGATCCAGGCAAAAATAATCAACAGCTGATAACATCAGAAAATGAGCCCATCCAGACATTGTGTGTCTCCAAGTGAAAGAATGCAACACCTACTATGTTGACAAAGGGATTGAACCTGAGACTAGCTGCTGATTTACAGGAAATACAGAAAACAGAACATGTTGAACCACACCATGAAGGCAATTAACAAAGTCCAGATTGTGGGAGACTCTACACGTCAGGCAGCCCAGATTCTTCAACAGATGAACTGTAAGGCAATATAGGGGAAAATTATAAGTGAAGAGTGTCTCTAAAGACATATCAAATATGAAACAGTCATAGCAAGACAAAAGTGTAGTGTTCAGGAAAACACATTTGGGTGATAAAATTATAAGAAACACAAGGAAAGAATTACTTAAAAGTCAGATTAATAGGTTATATTTGAGAGACAGAAGGCAATTGTGTTATGGAAGGCACATGGAAGGGCTTCAAGCATGACTGGCATAGCTCTATTTCTTGACCAAAATTGCAGTTACAAGTATGGCCCCCTTAAAATAATTACTTAAATGAAATGGTTTTTGTGTATCATTTTTTTTTAAACAAGTAAAAGGTAAAAGGAAAATGGTGGAACTCATCTTTAAAACTGCTATTGTGTGAAGCTTTGTGGGGATGGGTGGGGGGAGCCTTTTATTATTTATTTATTTCATGGTTATTGGTCTTCAGGTTGTCAATCTCTTCTTGTGTTATTATTGATATTTTAATTTTTTTTAGAAATATATTTAATCTAGATTTTCAAATTTTTGGCATACTTTTTTTAAAAAAGAAAACAGCTTTATTGAAGTATGATTGACATACAATAAACTGCATTTATTTAAAATGTACAATTTGATAAGTTGTGATATATGGACACACATCTGCAGCTATTACTGTAATCATGAAAATGAACATTTCCCTCAAAAGTTTCTTTGTTAGCCTTGGTAATCCCTCTTTCCCAGCCCTTCTGGTTGCTCCTCTGTCCTCAACTGGTGATCTGCTTTCAGTCACTATTCATTAGTTTGTAATTCCTAGGATTTTATGTAAAGGGGAAACATAGAGTATTCTTTTTCAGGGGGGTCTGGCCTCTTTCACACAGCACAATTATTTTGAAATTTATCCACAATCACAGTGTGTATCAATATGTTATTTTTATTGACGAGTAGTATTTCATTGTATGGATATACCACAATTTGTTTACCCATTCATCTATTGATGGACATTTGGGTTGTTTCCAGGTTTATACTATTACAAATTAAGCTACTATGATCATTTGTGTACAAGTGTCTGTTTTTAAATTATTTTATACTACTCTAGTTTATTAAATAAATGAAACAAGGTTTATGCCACATGTTTCAACAATGTTTAAATAAAGAGCTTGAAATATAAATGCTTACGAAAACTTCATACTCTTTATATCATGTATACTATTTCTAGCACATGCATAAATATGGAGGACAGGAGTCATTCTTTATATTATGAATCAGCAATAGTAAGCATCAATGATTATGCAAATCCGCAAGCAAGCAAGCAAGCAAACAAACAAACAAAAACTATTAGTTATAAAAACTAGAAATCCTTTTGCCATATTTAAGCAATATCCAAAGGTGGGGAGGGAGTTATAGGCACAGCCCTGAAAACAAGGGGACCAAGTCTCCCAATTACTTAAGTTCTGTCTTGGTTAGAAGCTTCAACAACTGCATTAGCTCTTTCAAGAAACAGAAAAAGCAAATCAAAACCCTGTTCTATAGGCATTTAATAAATCTACACTGAAGAAATACTATACTTTTGTCTTAAATTGTGCTGAAGTTTGAATACCTTTTCCTCTTGGTATGAACATGTTGTGTACAAGTCTTTGCATGTACACTTACTCTCATTTCTCTTAGGTAAATATGTGGGAGTGGAATGGATGGATCATAGAATAAGTGTATATTTACATTTTTAAGTAACTGCCAAACTTTTTTTCCAAGTGGTTGTACAATTTTAGGTTCGCAGCAGTGTACGAGAGTTCCATTTCCTGTACATCCTTGCCACTAGTTGGTATGGTCAGTCTTTCCCGTTTGTAGTCATTTGAATAAGTTTATAATGGTCTCATTGTGGTTCTAGTTAGCATTTTCATTCAACAACCCTTCATGCTAAAAACTCTCAATAAATTAGGTATTGATGGGACATACCTCAAAATAATAAGAGCCATCTATGACAAACCCACAGCCAAAATCATACTGAATGGGCAAAAACTGGAAGCATTCCCTTTGAAAACTGGCACAAGACAGGGATGCCCTCTTTCACCACTCCTATTCAACGTAGTGTTGGAAGTTCTGGCCAGGGCAATTAGGCAGGAGAAGGAAATAAAGGGTATTCAATTAGGAAAAGAGGAAGTCAAATTGTCCCTGTTTGCAGACGACATGATTGTATATCTAGAAAACCCCATCGTCTCAGCCCAAAATCTCCTTAAGCTGATCAGCAACTTCAGCAAAGTCTCAGGATACAAAATCAATGTACAAAAATCACAAGCATTCTTATACACCAATAACAGACAAACAGAGAGCCAAATCATGAGTGAACTCCCATTCACAATTGCTTCAAAGAGAATAAAATACTTAGGAATCCAACTTACAAGGGACATGAAGGACCTCTTCAAGGAGAACTACAAACCACTGCTCAATGAAATAAAAGAGGATACAAACAAATGGAAGAACATTCCATGCTCATGGGTAGGAAGAATCAATATCATGAAAATGGCCATACTGCCCAAGGTAATTTATAGATTCAATGCCATCCCCATCAAGCTACCAATGACTTTCTTCACAGAATTGGAAAAAACTACTTTAAAGTGCATATGGAACCAAAAAAGAGCCCGCATCACCAAGTCAATCCTAAGCCAAAAGAACAAAGCTGGAGGCATCATTCTACCTGACTTCAAACTATACTACAAGGCTACAGTAACCAAAACAGCATGGTACTGGTACCAAAACAGAGATATAGATCAATGGAACAGAACAGAGCCCTCAGAAATAACGCCGCATATCTACAACCATCTGATCTTTGACAAACCTGAGAAAAACAAGCAATGGGGAAAGGATTCCCTATTTAATAAATGGTGCTGGGAAAACTGGCTAGCCATAAGTAGAAAGCTGAAACTGGATCCCTTCCTTACACCTTATACAAAAATCAATTCATGATGGATTAAAGACTTAAACGTTAGACCTAAAACCATAAAAACCCTAGAAGAAAACCTAGGCATTACCATTCAGGACATAGGCATGGGCAAGGACTTCATGTCTAAAACACCAAAAGCAATGGCAACAAAAGCCAAAATTGACAAATGGGATCGAATTAAACTAAAGAGCTTCTGCACAGCAAAAGAAACTACCATCAGAGTGAACAGGCAACCTACAAAATGGGAGAAAATTTTCGCAACCTACTCATCTGACAAAGGGCTAATATCCAGAATCTATAATGAACTCAAACAAATTTACAAGAAAAAAACAAACAACCCCATCACAAAGTGGGTGAAGGATATGAACAGACACTTCTCAAAAGAAGGCATTTTCCTAATGACTAATGATATGCCCCTTTTCTTGTGCTTATTTGCCTCTATATATTCTTTGGTGTGTTTGTTCAGATCTTTTGCCTATTTCTAAAAATTGGGGTTTAAATCTTTTTAAACTGAGCTTTGAGAGTTTATATATTCTCGATACAACTTGTTTATCAGATTCATGGTTTGTAATTATTTTTTCCCAATCTGTGACTTGCCATTTCATTACCATAGGAATATTTTAAGAAGGGTAGATGTTTGTAATTTTGATGAAGTCCAGTTTATCAATGTGATCTTGCCCAACCCAAGGTAATAGATTTCATTTATGCTTTCTTCTATATGTTTTATAGTTGTTGGTTTTACATTTAGGTTTATGATGCATATTAAGTTAAACATTTTATATATCATGAGGAATGGATTGAAGTTTATTTATTTATTTGCACATGAATATCTAAATGTTCCAGCACCATTTGTTGAAAATACTATCCTTTTGCCATTGAATTGTCTTTACACTTTTGTCAAAAAGTAGCTGTCCCTATATGTGTGGGTCTATTTCTGGACTCTTTCTCTATTCTGTTCTATTTATCAATTTGTCAGTTTTTATGATAATACCACAACAACTTGATTACTGTAGCTTTATAATATGTCTTGAAGTGAGGTAGTATTAGTCCTCCAACTGTGTTCTTTTTCAAAATTGCTTAAGCATTCTAGGTTCTTTGCATTTTCATATGAACCTCAGAATAAGTTTACTGATTTCTATGAAAAAAAGTATGCTGGAATTTTTACTGGGATTGCATTGGATCTGTAGTACATCAATTTGGGAAGAATTGACACCTTACAATATTGATATTTTTCAACCCATGAACTTGATCTATCTCTTCATTTATTTAGGTCTCCTTTAATTTTTTTAAGCAATGTTTTGTAATTGTCTCTGTACTTCTTTAGAGGTATCCCACAAATTTTGATATGTTGTAGTTTCATTTTTATTCACTTAAAAATACTTTGTAATTTTCCCCTTGATTCTTTGACCCATCAGTTGTTTGGAGTTGTGTTATATAGTTTCCAAATATCAGAGATTTCCCAAATATTATTCTGTTATTTATTTCAAATTTAATTCCACTGTGATGAGATGACAGATTTTTTATGAATTTACTCCAAATATGACCCTTCTTGGTAAAAGTTCTATGAAAACTTGAAAAGGATGTGTATTCTGCTGTTGAGTGGCATATTCTATAAATGTCACTTGTTGATAATATTGTTCAAATCTTCCCTTTCTCTACTGGCTTTTTTCTACCTGTTTTATCAATTATTGATAGAGGAGTCTTGAAGTATCTGACTATAATTGTGGATTGGCTATTTCTTCTTCATCTTCTATCAGTTTTTGCTTCATGCATTTTTTAAAATAAAAGCTTTACTTTGGAATAATTTTAGATTTACAGAAATGTTGCAAAGATAGTACAGGGAGGTTCCTGTATACTTCTCATCAGGTTTCCCTAATGTTAACAACTTATATTACCATGGTATGTTTGTCAAAACTAAGAAATCAACACTGGTACCTTAATATTAATTAAACTTCAGACTGTGTTCAAATTTTACTAGTTTTTCTCACAATGTTCTTTTTCTGTTCTAAGATCCAGTTCAGGATACACATGGTATTTAGTCACAATTCTTCCTCAGTCTCCTCTGGTCTTCTCAGTCCTACCTTATTTTGATGACTTTGACAGTTTTGAGGACTTCTGATGAAATATTTGGTAGAATGTCCTTCAACTTGGGTTTGTCTGATTTTTAAAAAAATATATATACTGGTTATTTTTTGTTGGGCATTGTATTAGTCAGGATTCTCCAGAGAAACAGAACCAATAGGATATATTAAGTATATGTAACAGGATACTTCTTATGGGAGTTGGCTTGTACAATTATGGAGGTCAAGAAGCCCCATGAAATGCTATCTATAAGCTGGAGAACAGGAAAACTGATGGTGTAATTCATTCAGCGTTCAAATGCCTGAGAACCTGGGGGTGAGAAATAAGTTCTTATGCCAGTGGTGCATTGGAATAAGTCCTGGACTCTGAAGGCCAGAGACCCAGGAGATCTGATGTCCAAAAGCAGGAGAAAATGGATGTCCCAGCTCAAGGAGACAGAGAATTTGCCCTTCCTCCACATTTTTGTTCTGTCTGATCCCTAATTGGATTGGATGATGCCACTCACATTGGCGAGGGCAGATCTTTACTCAGTCTACTGATTCAAATACTGATCTCTTCCAAAAACACCATCAATAGAAATAATGTTTCACCAGCTATGTGGATATCCCTTAACCCAGTCAAGCTGACACATACAATTTATCATCATAGGCATAAATTCTCAATTAAGATAGGAAAAGTTTCAATAACAACTGTATTCCTCAAGGAATGATGCCAGGGCAAAGAAAGTCACAGTAAGAAATGCAGTGTATGTCCTTTGCATTGGCTTCCACTTCAGTAGTACTTGTATAACCTTTCAAGTTTGAGCTCCTTGTAAGAAAGGCAGTAGTTGAAAAACATGTAAGCTGCCAACAGCATAGAAACCCTGAGAGTGCTCCCTTTCTTCACTTTGACATACTTGTAATACCAGTTGTGGCTGTATTGAAATGCCCCAACAGTGCCTTTAGGGATGAAATCCCACATCAGTATCCAGCATGTCATCCCTCTATTTTGACATCCATTGAGTACAATTCTTTTCCTAAACTGGTAGAACTGACACCATCTTGGAGTCTTGGATGTCCACTGTCCTAATGTTTTTGTTATGATTAGCCTGGAGTTATGGGTTTTGGGGGAAAATACCACAGAGATGAAGTACCCTTCTTGTCACATTGTATCAGAGGTTACATCCTATCAGCATGGCATCACTGGTGATCTTAACTTTTGTCTTTGGTTAAGATTATATTTGCCAGGTTTCTGTACTTTAAAGTTACATTTCTACATATAAAAAAACTCTTTCAATATCCAATTCTTTGGAAGCAAGTTACTAAGTCTTGCCAACACTGAAGTGAGTGGGGAAATTAGACCTTTCAGCAGACAGAGCTAGGATATATATACTAACCCAAGTAAACACACATACATATTATCATTTCTGTATTTATCTATATACAGTCATGTGCTGCTTAATGATGGGGAAACATTCTGAGGAATGCATCATTAGGCAATTTAGTCATTGTGTAAGCATCATAGTGTGCTTTCACAAACCTGCTACACACCTAGGCTATCTGGTGTAGCCTATGGCTCCTAGGCTGCAAATCTGTGCAGCATATTACTGTACTGAATACTGTAGGCAATTATAACACAATGGTAAATATTTGTATATTTAAACCTATCTAATATAGAAAAGGTACAGTAAAATATGGTATAAAAGATAAAAAATGGAAAACCTGTATAGGGCACTTACCATGAGTGGAGCTTGCAGGACTGGAAGTTGCTATGGGTGAGTCAGTGAGTGAGTGGTGGGTGAATGTGAAGGCTGAGGACATTACCGTACACTTTTGTAGACTTTATAAACACTGTACATTTAGGCTATACTAAATATATAAAAATATTTTGTTCAATAATAAATTAGCTGTAGCTTACTGTAACTTTTTTTTTTTTCTTTTTTTGAGACAGGGTCTTGCTCTGCCATCCAGGCTGGAGTGCAGTGGTGCAATCTCGGCTCACTGCAACCACTGCCTACTGAGTTCAAGCGATTCTCCTGCCTCAGCCTCCCAAGTAGCTGGGATTACAGGCACCTGCCATCATGCCCAGCTAATTTTTCTATTCTTAGTAGAGACGGGGGTCTCACCATGTTGGCCAGGCTGGTTTTGAACTCCTGACCTCAGGTGATCCGCCCACCTCGGCCTCCCAAAGTGTTGGGATTACAGGCATGAGCCACCGTGCCCGGCAAGCTTACTTAACTTTTTAACTTTGTACACTTTTAAATTTTTAAAAACTTGCTTCTTTTGTAATAACACTTAGCTTAAAACACAAACACATTGTACAGCTATACAAAAATATTTTCTTTCTTTACATCCTTATTCTACAAACTTTTTTCTATTTTAAAAATTATTCATTTACTTTAAATTTATTTTTATTTTTTATCTTTTTTGGACAGGGTCTTACTCTGTCACCCAGGCTGGAGTGCCATGGTGCCATCTCAGCTCATTGCACCCTCTACCTCCCAGGCTCAAGCGATCCTCCCACCTCAGCCTCTCAATTACCTGGGACCACAAGTGCTGCCACTGTGCCCAGCTAACTTTTTTGTATTTTTTTGTAGAGACCGGGTTTAGCCATGTTGCTCAGGCTGGTCTCAAACTCCTAGGCTTACATGATCCACCCGCCTCAGCCTCCCAAAGTGTTGGACTACAGGCATGAGCCACAACGCCTGGCTAATTTCTTTATTACTTTTTAAGCTTTTGTTGTTGTTGTTAAAAACTAAGACACAAACACTTACATTAGCCTAGGTCTACACAGGGTCAAGATCTTCAATATCACTGTCTTCTCCCTCCACATTTTGTTCCACTGGGGCAATAACACGCATGGAACCATCACCTATGATAACAATGCCTTCTTCTAGATACCTCCTGAAGGACCTAACGGAAACTGTTTTACAGTTAACTTAAAAAAAAATAAGTGGAAGGAGTATGCTCTAAAATAATGATTAAAAGTATAGTATTGTAAATACATAGACCAGTAACATCATTGTTTATTATCATTATCAAGTATGTACTGTACATAATTGTATGAACTATATTTTTATATGACTGGCAGTGCAGTAGTTTTTTTTTTAATTTTTATTTTTTATTATACTTTAAGTTCTGGGATACATGTGCAGAACATGCAGGTTTGTTACATAGGTATACATGTGCCATGGTTGTTTGCTGCACCCATCAACTAGTCATCTAGATTAGGTATTTGTCCTAATGTTATCCCTCCCCTTGCCCCCAACCCCCCGACAGGCCCTGGTGTGTGATGTTCCCCTCCCTGTGCCCATATGTCCTCATTGTTCAACTCCCACTTATGAGTGAGAACATGCAGTGTTTGGCTTTCTGTTCCTGTGTTAGTTTGCTGAGAATGATGGTTTCCAGCTTCATCCACGTCCCTGCGAAGGACATGAACTCATCCTTTTTTATGGCTGCATGGTATTCCATGGTGTATATGTGCCACATTTTCTTTATCCAGTCTATAATTGATGGGCATTTTGGTTGGTTCCAAGTCTTTGCTATTGTGAATAGTGCTGCAATAAACATATGTGTGCATGTGTCTTTACAGTAGAATAATTTATAATCCTTGGGGTATATACCCAGCAATGGGATTGCTGGGTCAAACCGTATTTCTGGTTCTAGATCCTTGAGGAATTGCCACACTGTCTTCCACAATGGTTGAACTAATTTACACTCCCACCAACAGTGTAAAAGTGTTCTAATTCGCCACATCCTCTCCAGCATCTGTTGTTTCCTGACTTTTTAATGATCACCATTCTAACTGACGTGAGATGGTATCTCATTGTGGTTTTGATTTGCATTTCTCTAATGACCGGTGATGATGAGCTTTTTAAATATGTTTGTTGGCTGCATAAATGTCTTCTTTTGAAAAGTGTCTGTTCATATCCTTTGCCCACTTTTTGATGGGGTTGTTTTTTTCTTGTAAATTTGTTTAAGTTCCCTGTAGATTCTGGATATTGGCCCTTTGTTAGATGGATAGATTGCAAACATTTTCTCTCATTCTGTAGGTTGTCTGTTCACTCTGATGATAGTTTCTTTTGCTGTGCAGAAGCTCTTTAGTTTAATTAGATCCCATTTGTCAATTTTGGCTTTTGTGCAGTTGCTTTTGATGTTTTAATCATGAAATCTTTGCCCATGCCTATGTCCTGAATGGTATTGCCTAGGTTTTCTCCTAGAGTTTTTATGGTTTTAGGTCTTACGTTTAAGTTTTTAATCCATCTTGGGTTAATTTTTGTATAAAGTGTAAGCAAGGGATGCAGTTTCAGTTTTTTGCATATGGCTTAGCCAGTTTTCCCAACACCATTTGTTAAATAGGGAATCCTTTCTCCATTGGTTGTTTTTGTCAGGTTTGTCAAAGTTCAGATGGTTGTAGATGTGTGGCATTATTTCTGAGGCCTCTGTTCTGTTCCATTGGTTATGTATCTGTTTTGGTACCAGTACCATGCTGTTTTGGTTACTATAGCCTTGTAGTATAGTTTGAAGTCAGGTGGTATGATGCCTCCAGCTTTGTTCTTTTTGCTTCAGATTGTCTTGGCTATATGGGCCCTTTTTTGGTTCCATATGAAATTTAAAGTAGTTTTTTCTAATTCTGTGAAGAAGGTCATGGTAGCTTGATGGGAATAGCATTGAATCTATAAATTACTTTGGGCAGTATGGCCATTTTTGTTATATTGATTCTTCCTATCCATGAGCATGGGATGTTTTTCCATTTGTGTCCTCTCTGATTTCCTTGAGCAGCATTTTGTAGTTCTCCTTGAAGAGGTCCTTCACATTCCTTGTAAGTTGTGTTCCTAGGTATTTTATTTTCTCTGTAGCAATTGTGAATGGGAGTTCACTCATGATTTGGCTTTCTGTTTGTCTAT
The DNA here is from genome assembly GCF_000001405.40 of Homo sapiens. Taxonomy (NCBI): domain Eukaryota; kingdom Metazoa; phylum Chordata; class Mammalia; order Primates; family Hominidae; genus Homo; species Homo sapiens. Next base: position 46,794,276 of record NC_000003.12, on the reverse strand, counting down.
TATTGGTGTATAGGAATGCTTGTGATTTTTGCACATTAATTTTGTATCCCAAGATTTTGCTGAAGTTGCTTATCAGGTTAAGGAGTTTTGGGGCTGAGACGATAGGGTTTTTTAAATAGAAAATCATGTCATCTGCAAACAGAGACAATTTGACTTCCTCTCTTCCTATTTGAATCACTTTATTTCTTTCTCTTGCCTGATTGCCCTGGCAAGAACTTCCAATACTATGTTGAATAGGAGTGGTGAGAGAAGGCATCCTTGTCTTGTGCCAGTTTTCAAAGGGAATGCTTCCAGCTTTTGCCCATTCAGTATGATATTGACTATGGGTTTGTCATAAATAGCTTTTATTATTTTGAGATGTGTTCCATAATACCTAGTTTATTGAGTGTTTTTTTAGCATGAAAGGATGTTGAATTTTATCAAAGGCCTTTTCTGCATCTATTGAGATAACTATGTGGTTTTTGTCATTGGTTCTGTTTATGTGATGGATTACGTTTATTGATTTGCATATGTTGAACCAGCTTTGCATCCCAGGTATGAAGCCACTTGATTGTGGTGGATAAGATTTTATTGTGCTGCTGGATTTGGTTTGCCAGTATTTTATTTAGGATTTTCACATTGACGTTCATCAGGGATATTGGCCTGAAATTTTCTTTTCTTGTTGTGTCTCTGCCAGGTTTTGGTATCAGGATGATGCTGGCCTCATAAAATGAGTTAGGGTGGAGTCCCTCTTTTTCTATTGTTAGGAATGGTTTCAGAAAGAATGGTACCAGTTCCTCTTTGTACCTCTGGTAGAATTCGACTGTGAATCCACCTGGTCCTGGCCTTTTTTTTTGTTGGTGGGCTATTAATTACTGCCTCAATTTCAGAACTTGTTATTGGTCTATTCAGGGATTCTACTTCTTCCTGGTTTAGTCTTGGGAAGGTGTATGTGTCCAGGAATTTATCCACTTCTTCTAGATTTTCTAGTTTATTTGCATAGAGGTGTTTATGTGGGATCAGTGGTGATATCCCCTTTATTATTTTTATTGTGTGTATTTGATTCTTCTCTATTTTCTTCTTTATTAGTCTGGCTAATGGTCTATCTATTTTGTTAATCTTTTCAAAAAACCAGCTCCTGGATTCATTGATTTTTTGAAGAATTTTTCGTATCTCTATCTCCTTCAGTTCTGCTCTGATTTTAGTTATTTCTTGTCTTCTGCTAGTTTTTGAATTTGTTTGCTCTTGCTTCTCTAGTTCTTTTAATTGTGATGTTAGGGTGTTTATTTTAGATCTTTCCCCGCTTTCTCATGTGGGCATTTTAGTGCTTTGAATTTCCCTCTAAACACTCCTTTAGCTGTGTCCCAGAGATTCTGGTACATTGTGTCTTTGTTCTCATTGGTTTTAAAGAACTTATTTATTTCTGCCTTAATTTTGTGATGTACCCAGTAGTCATTTAGGAGCAGGTTGTTCAGTTTCCATGTAGTTGTGCGGTTTTGAGTGAGTTTCTTAATCCTAAGTTCTAATTTGATTGCATTGTGGTTTGAGAGACTGTTTGTTATGATTTCCATTCTTTTGCATTTGCTGAGGAGTGTTTTACTTCCAACTATGTGGTCAATTTTAGAATAAGTGCTATGTGGTGCTGAGAAGAATGTGTATTTTGTTGATTTGGGGTAGAGAGTTCTGTAAATGTCTATTAGGTCTGCTTGGTCCAGAGCTGAGTTCAAGTCCTGAATATCCTTGTTAATTTTCTCTCATTGATCTGTCTAATATTGACAGTGGGGTGTTAAAGTCTCCCACTATTATTGTGTGGGAGTCTAAGTCTCTTTATAGGTCTCTAAGAACTTGCTTTATGAATCTGGGTGCTCCTGTATTGGGTGCATATATATTTAGGATAGTTAGCGCTTCTTGTTGCATTGATCCCTTTACCATTATGTAATGCCCTTCTTTTTCTTTTTTGATCTTTGTTGGTTTAAAGTCTGTTTTATCAGAGACTAGGATTGAAATCTTTTCTTTTTTTTGCTCTCCATTTGCTTGGTAAATATTCCTCCATCCCTTTATTTTTTAGCCTATGCATGTCTTTGCACGTGAGATGCGTCTCCTGAATACAGCACACCAATGGGTGTTGACTCTTTATCCAATTTGCCAGTCTGTGTCTTTTAATTGGGGCATTTAGCCCATTTACATTTAAGGTTAATATTGTTTAAGTGTGAATTCGATCCTGTCATTATGATGCTAGCTGGTTATTTTGCCCGTTAGTTGATGCAGTTTCTTCATAGTGTCGACGGTCTTTACATTTTGGTATGTTTTTGCAGTGGCTGGTACTGGTTTTTCCTTTCCATATTTAGTGCTTCCTTCAGGAGCTCTTGTAAGGCAGGCCTGGTGGTGACAAAATCCCTCAGCATTTGCTTGTCTGTAAAGGATTTTATTTCTCCTTAGCTTATGAAGCTTAGTTTGGCTGGATATGAAATTCTGGCTTGAAAATTCTATTCTTTAAGAATGTCGAACATTGGCCCCGACTCTCTTCTGGCTTGTAGAGTTTCTGCCGAGAGATCCACTGTTAGTTTGATGGACTTCCCTTTGTGGGTAACCTGACCTTTCTCTCTGGCTGCCCTTAACATTTTTTCCTTCATTTCAACCTTGGTGAATCTGAAGATTATGTGTCTTGGGGTTCCTCTTCTCAAGGAGTGTCTTTGTGTTGTTGTCTGTATTTCCTGAGTTTGAATGTCAGCCTGTCTTGCTAGGTTGGGGAAATTCTCCTGGATAATATCCTAAAGTGCGTTTTCCAACTGGTTCCATTCTCCCCATCACTTTCAATTACGTCAATCAAATGTAGGTTTGGTCTTTTTAACATAGTCTCATTTTTCTTAGAGGCTTTGTTAGTTCCTTTTCATTCTTTTTTCTCTAATCTTGTCTTCACACTTTATTTCATTAAGTTGCTCTTCAATCTCTGATATCCTTTCTTCTGCTTGATCGATTCAGCTATTGAAACTTGTGTATGCTTCACGAAGTTCTCGTGCTGTGTTTTTCAGCTCCATCAGGTGATTTATGTTCTTTCTAAACTGGTTATTCTAGTTAGCAGTTCCTGTAACCTTTTTTCAAGTTCTTTACTTCCTTGCATTGGGTTAGAACATGCTCCTTTAGCTTGGAGGAGTTTGTTATTACCCACCTTCTGAAGCCTACTTCTGTCAATTCGTCAAACTCATTCTCTGTCCAGTTTTGTTCCCTTGCTGGCGAGGAGTTGTGATACTTTGGAGGAGAAGAGGCATTCTGGTTTTTGGAATTTTCAGCCTTTTTGTGCTGGTTTTTCCTCATCTTTGTAGATTTATCTACCTTTGGTCTTTGATGTTAGTGACCTTCGGATGGGGTTTTTGAGTGGGCATCCTTTTTGTTGATGTTGATGCTATTGCTTTCTGTTTGTTAGCTTTCCTTCTAACAGTCAGGCCCCTCTTCTGCAGTTCTGCTGGAGTTTGCTGGAAGTCCACTCTAGACCCTGTTTGCCTGGGTATCACCAGCGGAGGCTGCAGAACAGCAAAGATTGTTGCCTGCTTTTTCCTCTGGAAGCTTCATCCCAGAGGGGCACCCACCAGATGCCAGCCAGAGCTCTCCTGTATGAGGTGTCTGTCGACCCCTGCTGGGAGGTGACTCCCAGTCAGGAGGCATGGGGGTCAGGGACCCACTTGAGGAGGCAGTCTGTCCATTAACAGAGCTCAAGAGCTGTGCTGGGAGATCTGCTGCTCTCAGAGCTGGCAGGCAGGAATGTTTAAGTCTACTGAAGCTGGCAGTGCAGTAGTTTTATTTACACCAGCATTAATACGAACGGGTGAGTTATGCATTGCGCTATGATGTTACGATGGCTATGACATCACTAGGCAATAGGAATTTTTCAGCTCTATTATAATTTTATGGGATCACTGTCATATATATGGTCCATCCTTGACCAAATGGTTGCTCTGCAGTACATGACAGTATTCATTTTTTCTACTCCACTGTACATGTAAAGCAGTTTCAGAATTGTAACCTGTACCTCTGTGAGAAAAACTTTACAAACTAGTGTTAACTCTGTAGAGATTCCAGTCAAATACCATTTTTCCAAATTTACTTAAGTCGGTTACCTTTTCCCACATCCCCTTCAGTAAGATTATGTCAACATTTGTAATATAGTTAGATTATTTCATCACAGTCTGTGTTTCAGACCAAGACCTCCTGACTTCTTGGTTGAATTTTAAAATGTTCCCACTTTCAAATTTGTTCTTTGTGGATGTACAGTTCTATGCGTAGAGCCTGTGTATCAAACACCCTGTACCATGTAGCACAGTGTTATCACTCTAAAAATTTCCCTATGCCATCCTTTTTTATAGTCAACCACACATAGCCACCAACCCCTGGAAACTACTGATCTATTTTTCATTTCTATCTTTTAAAAATTAGCAGACTCTATATTTGGGCAGTTTTAGTTTTTCAGAAAAAATGAGTGAAAGTACAGAGTTCACATATATTCTTTTAACCTCCCCATCCACTTTCCCCTTTTATTAACATTTTGCATTAGTGTGGTACATTTGTTACGATTGATGAGTGAATATTGACACATTATTGACTAAGCTCATAGAGTTTACTCTTTGTTTGGTATATTCTATAACTTTAGACATATGTATAATAAAATGTATCCACAATTAGAGTATCACGTTGTATAGTTTCACTGCCTTAAAAATACCCTGTCTTCCCTATCCATCTCACCTTCCCTCTTCCCCACTCCCCGAATCCTCACAACAACTGATCTTTTTTATTGTCTTCATAGTTTTGCCCTTTCCAGAATGTCATATGGTAGGAATCATGCAGTATGTAGCCTTTTCAGATTGGTGTCTTTAACTTAGCAATGTGCATTTAAAGTTCCTCCATGTCTTTTCATGGCTTGATAGCTCTTTTTAAAATTGCTGAATAATATTCTGTTGTATGGCTATCCTACAGTTTGCTTATTTATTTACCTATTGAAGTATATCTTGGTTCCTTCCAAGTTTTGTCAATTATTAAAAAAATGCTATAAACATGTGTGTGTAGGTTTTTGTTTGGACATAAGCTTCCAACTCACCTGATTAAAAAGACTGAGTGCAATTGCCAGATCATATGGCAAAATATATTTAGTTTTATAAGAAACTGCTGGAGGAGGAGCCAAGATGGCCGAATAGGAACAGCTCCGGTCTACAGCTCCCAGCGTGAGCGACGCAGAAGACGGGTGATTTCTGCATTTCCATCTGAGGTACCGGGTTCATCTCACTAGGGAGTGCCAGACAGTGGGCGCAGGCCAGTGTGTGTGCGCACCGTCCGCGAGCCGAAGCAGGGCGAGGCATTGCCTCACCTGGGAAGCGCAAGGAGTCAGGGAGTTCCCTTTCCGAGTCAAAGAAAGGGGTGACGGACGCACCTGGAAAATCGGGTCACTCCCACCCGAATATTGCGCTTTTCAGACCGGCTTAAGAAACGGCGCACCACGAGACTATATCCCACACCTGGCTCAGAGGGTCCTACGCCCACGGAATCTCGCTGATTGCTAGCACAGCAGTCTGAGATCAAACTGCAAGGTGGCAACGAGGCTGGGGGAGGGGCGCCCACCATTGCCCAGGCTTGCTTAGGTAAACAAAGCAGCCGGGAAGCTCGAACTGGGTGGAGCCCACCACAGCTCAAGGAGGCCTGCCTGCCTCTGTAGGCTCCACCTCTGGGGGCAGGGCACAGACAAACAAAAAGACAGCAGTAACCTCTGCAGACTTAAATGTCCCTGTCCGACAGCTTTGAAGAGAGCAGTGGTTCTCCCAGCACGCAGCTGGAGATCTGAGAACGGGCAGACTGCCTCCTCAAGTGGGTCCCTGACCCCTGACCCCCGAGCAGCCTAACTGGGAGGCACCCCCCAGCAGGGGCACACTGACACCTCACACGGCAGGGTATTCCAACAGACCTGCAGCTGAGGGTCCTGTCTGTTAGAAGGAAAACTAACAACCAGAAAGGACATCTGCACCGAAAACCCATCTGTACATCACCATCATCAAAGACCAAAAGTAGATAAAACCACAAAGATGGGGAAAAAACAGAACAGAAAAACTGGAAACTCTAAAACGCAGAGCGCCTCTCCTCCTCCAAAGGAACGCAGTTCCTCACCAGCAACAGAACAAAGCTGGATGGAGAATGATTTTGACGAGCTGAGAGAAGAAGGCTTCAGACGATCAAATTACTCTGAGCTACGGGAGGACATTCAAACCAAAGGCAAAGAAGTTGAAAACTTTGAAAAAAATTTAGAAGAATGTATAACTAGAATAACCAATACAGAGAAGTGCTTAAAGGAACTGATGGAGCTGAAAACCAAGGCTCGAGAACTACGTGAAGAATGCAGAAGCCTCAGGAGCCGATGCGATCAACTGGAAGAAAGGGTATCAGCAATGGAAGATGAAATGAATGAAATGAAGCGAGAAGGGAAGTTTAGAGAAAAAAGAATAAAAAGAAATGAGCAAAGCCTCCAAGAAATATGGGACTATGTGAAAAGACCAAATCTACGTCTGATTGGTGTACCTGAAAGTGATGTGGAGAATGGAACCAAGTTGGAAAACACTCTGCAGGATATTATCCAGGAGAACTTCCCCAATCTAGCAAGGCAGGCCAACGTTCAGATTCAGGAAATACAGAGAACGCCACAAAGATACTCCTCGAGAAGAGCAACTCCAAGACACATAATTGTCAGATTCACCAAAGTTGAAATGAAGGAAAAAATGTTAAGGGCAGCCAGAGAGAAAGGTCGGGTTACCCTCAAAGGAAAGCCCATCAGACTAACAGCGGATCTCTCGGCAGAAACCCTACAAGCCAGAAGAGAGTGGGGGCCAATATTCAACATTCTTAAAGAAAAGAATTTTCAACCCAGAATTTCATATCCAGCCAAACTAAGCTTCATAAGTGAAGGAGAAATAAAATACTTTATAGACAAGCAAATGCTGAGAGATTTTGTCACCACCAGGCCTGCCCTAAAAGAGCTCCTGAAGGAAGCGCTAAACATGGAAAGGAACAACCGGTACCAGCCGCTGCAAAATCATGCCAAAATGTAAAGACCATCGAGACTAGGAAGAAACTGCATCAACTAATGAGCAAAATCACCAGCTAACATCATAATGACAGGATCAAATTCACACATAACAATATTAACTTTAAATATAAATGGACTAAATTCTGCAATTAAAAGACGCAGACTGGCAAGTTGGATAAAGAGTCAAGACCCATCAGTGTGCTGTATTCAGGAAACCCATCTCACGTGCAGAGACACACATAGGCTCAAAATAAAAGGATGGAGGAAGATCTACCAAGCCAATGGAAAACAAAAAAAGGCAGGGGTTGCAATCCTAGTCTCTGATAAAACAGACTTTAAACCAACAAAGATCAAAAGAGACAAAGAAGGCCATTACATAATGGTAAAGGGATCAATTCAACAAGAGGAGCTCACTATCCTAAATATTTATGCACCCAATACAGGAGCACCCAGATTCATAAAGCAAGTCCTCAGTGACCTACAGAGAGACTTAGACTCCCACACATTAATAATGGGAGACTTTAACACCCCACTGTCAACATTAGACAGATCAACGAGACAGAAAGTCAACAAGGATACCCAGGAATTGAACTCAGCTCTGCACCAAGCAGACCTAATAGACATCTACAGAACTCTCCACCCCAAATCAACAGAATATACATTTTTTTCAGCACCACACCACACCTATTCCAAAATTGACCACATAGTTGGAAGTAAAGCTCTCCTCAGCAAATGTAAAAGAACAGAAATTATAACAAACTATCTCTCAGACCACAGTGCAATCAAACTAGAACTCAGGATTAAGAATCTCACTCAAAGCCGCTCAACTACATGGAAACTGAACAACCTGCTCCTGAATGACTACTGGGTTCATAACGAAATGAAGGCAGAAATAAAGATGTTCTTTGAAACCAACGAGAACAAAGACACAACATACCAGAATCTCTGGTACACATTCAAAGCAGTGTGTAGAGGGAAATTTATAGCACTAAATGCCTACAAGAGAAAGCAGGAAGGATCCAAAATTGACACCCTAACATCACAATTAAAAGAACTAGAAAAGCAAGAGCAAACACATTCAAAAGCTAGCAGAAGGCAAGAAATAACTAAAATCAGAGCAGAACTGAAGGACATAGAGACACAAAAAACCCTTCAAAAAATCAATGAATCCAGGAGCTGGTTTTTTGAAAGGATCAACAAAATTGATAGACCGCTAGCAAGACTAATAAAGAAAAAAAGAGAGAAGAATCAAATAGACACAATAAAAAATGATAAAGGGGATATCACCACCAATCCCACAGAAATACAAACTACCATCAGAGAATACTACAAACACCTCTACGCAAATAAACTAGAAAATCTAGAAGAAATGGATACATTCCTCGACACATACACTCTCCCAAGACTAAACCAGGAAGAAGTTGAATCTCTGAATAGACCAATAACAGGCTCTGAAATTGTGGCAATAATCAATAGTTTACCAACCAAAAAGAGTCCAGGACCAGATGGATTCACAGCCGAATTCTACCAGAGGTACAAGGAGGAACTGGTACCATTCCTTCTGAAACTATTCCAATCAATAGAAAAAGAGGGAATCCTCCCTAACTCATTTTATGAGGCCAGCATCATCCTGATACCAAAGCCGGGCAGAGACACAACCAAAAAAGAGAATTTTAGACCAATATCCTTGATGAACATTGATGCAAAAATCCTCAATAAAATACTGGCAAACCGAATCCAGCAGCACATCAAAAAGCTTATCCACCATGATCAAGTGGGCTTCATCCCTGGGATGCAAGGCTGGTTCAATATACGCAAATCAATAAATGTAATCCAGCATATAAACAGAGCCAAAGACAAAAACCACATGATTATCTCAATAGATGCAGAAAAAGCCTTTGACAAAATTCAACAACCCTTCATGCTAAAAACTCTCAATAAATTAGGTATTGATGGGACGTATTTCAAAATAATAAGAGCTATCTATGACAAACCCACAGCCAATATCATACTGAATGGGCAAAAACTGGAAGCATTCCCTTTGAAAACTGGCACAAGACAGGGATGCCCTCTCTCACCGCTCCTATTCAACATAGTGTTGGAAGTTCTGGCCAGGGCAATCAGGCAGGAGAAGGAAATAAAGGGTATTCAATTAGGAAAAGAGGAAGTCAAATTGTCCCTGTTTGCAGACGACATGATTGTTTATCTAGAAAACCCCATCGTCTCAGCCCAAAATCTCCTTAAGCTGATCAGCAACTTCAGCAAAGTCTCAGGATACAAAATCAATGTACAAAAATCACAAGCATTCTTATACACCAACAACACACAAACAGAGAGCCAAATCATGGGTGAACTCCCATTCACAATTGCTTCAAAGAGAATAAAATACCTAGGAATCCAACTTACAAGGGATGTGAAGGACCTCTTCAAGGAGAACTACAAACCACTGCTCAAGGAAATAAAAGAGGACACAAACAAATGGAAGAACATTCCATGCTCATGGGTAGGAAGAATCAATATCGTGAAAATGGCCATACTGCCCAAGGTAATTTACAGATTCAATGCCATCCCCATCAAGCTACCAATGACTTTCTTCACAGAATTGGAAAAAACTACTTTAAAGTTCATATGGAAGCAAAAAAGAGCCCGCATTGCCAAGTCAATCCTAAGCCAAAAGAACAAAGCTGGAGGCATCACACTACCTGACTTCAAACTATACTACAAGGCTACAGTAACCAAAACAGCATGGTACTGGTACCAAAACAGAGATATAGATCAATGGAACAGAACAGAGCCCTCAGAAATAATGCCGCATATCTACAACTATCTGATCTTTGACAAACCTGAGAAAAACAAGCAATGGGGAAAGGATTCCCTATTTAATAAATGGTGCTGGGAAAACTGGCTAGCCATATGTAGAAAGCTGAAACTGGATCCCTTCCTTACACCTTATACAAAAATCAATTCAAGATGGATTAAAGATTTAAACGTTAGACCTAAAACCATAAAAACCCTAGAAGAAAACCTAGGCATTACCATTCAGGACATAGGCGTGGGCAAGGACTTCATGTCCAAAACACCAAAAGCAATGGCAACAAAAGCCAAAATTGACAAATGGGATCGAATTAAACTAAAGAGCTTCTGCACAGCAAAAGAAACTACCATCAGAGTGAACAGGCAACCTACAACATGGGAGAAAATTTTCGCAACCTACTCATCTGACAAAGGGCTAATATCCAGAATCTACAATGAACTCAAACAAATTTACAAGAAAAAAAACAAACAACCCCATCAAAAAGTGGGCGAAGGACATGAACAGACACTTCTCAAAAGAAGACATTTATGCAGCCAAAAAACACATGAAGAAATGCTCATCATCACTGGCCATCAGAGAAATGCAAATCAAAACCACTATGAGATATCATCTCACACCAGTTAGAATGGCAATCATTAAAAAGTCAGGAAACAACGGGTGCTGGAGAGGATGTGGAGAAATAGGAACACTTCTACACTGTTGGTGGGACTGTAAACTAGTTCAACCATTGTGGAAGTCAGTGTGGCGATTCCTCAGGGATCTAGAACTAGAAATACCATTTGACCCAGCCATCCCATTACTGGGTATATACCCAAAGGACTATAAATCATGCTGCTATAAAGACACATGCACACGTATGTTTATTGCGGCACTATTCACAATAGCAAAGACTTGGAACCAACCCAAATGTCCAACAATGATAGACTGGATTAAGAAAATGTGGCACATATACACCATGGAATACTATGCAGCCATAAAAAATGATGAGTTCATATCCTTTGTAGGGACATGGATGAAATTGGAAACCATCATTCTCAGTAAACTATCGCAAGAACAAAAAACCAAACACCGCATATTCTCACTCATAGGTGGGAATTGAACAATGAGATCACATGGACACAGGAAGGGGAATATCACACTCTGGGGACTGTGGTGGGGTCGGGGGAGGGGGGAGGGATAGCATTGGGAGATATACCTAATGCTAGATGACACATTAGTGGGTGCAGCGCACCAGCATGGCACATGTATACATATGTAACTAACCTGCACAATGTGCACATGTACCCTAAAACTTAGAGTATAATAAAAAAAAAAAAAAAAAAAAAAGAAACTGCCAAACTGTCTTCCAAAGTGGTTATACCAGTTTGTGTTCACACCATTAATAAATGAAGCTTCTTGCTGTTCTACATCTTTGACAGTATTTGGTGTTGTATTTTGGATTTTAGCCATTCTAATAGGTGTATAGTGGTATCTCATTATTGTTTTAATTTGCATTTCTCTAATGATATATGATATGGAGCATCTTTTCATATATTTATTTTCTATTTGTGCATTTTCCTTGGTGAGGTGTGTGTTCAGATCTTTTGTCTGTTTTGAAATCTACTTAAAAATTGTAAATCTAGTTGTTTTCTTATTGTTGAGTTTTAAGAGTTCTTTGTATATTTTGGATGCCAGTCCTTTATCAGATATGAGCTTTGCAAATATTTTCTTCAAGTCTATGGCTTCTTGTCTTTTCATTCTCTGAACAATGTGTTTTGCAGAGCAAACATTTTTCATTTTAATGAGATCCAACTTACCATATTTTTTTTCTTTCATGGGGTCATGCTTTTGGTGTATCTAAAAAGTCATTGTCAAACCCAAGGTCCCTAGATTTTTTCCTATGTTATCTTCTAGGAGTTTTATAGTTTTGCATCTGTGATACATTTTGAGCTAATTTTTGTGAAAGATGCAAGGTCTGTGACTGGATTCTGCCCTCCCCCATGTTCTCCTTGTGTTGGCACGTGGATATGGATTCCAGCACTATTTATTGAAAAGACTATCCTTTCTTACTTGAATTGCCTTTGTTCCTTTGTTAAAAATCTGTTGTTTATATTATTTCTATGAGTCTATTTCTGGGCTTACTATTCTGCTTTATTGATCTATTTGTCTATTCATTCACCAGCATCACACTGTCTTGATTGATGTAGCTTTGTAGTAAGTTTTGAAGTTGAGTGGTGTTGATCCTGACTTTGATCTCCTTCAATATCGTGTTGGACATTCTGGGTCTTGTGACTCTCCATATAAATTTTAGAATCAGTTTGCCACTACAAAATAACTTGGAAGGATTTTGGTTGGAATTGCATCAAATCTGTAGGTCAAGTTGAGAAGAACTGACTTCTTGACAATGTACAATTCATATATGTACATGGAGCATCTCTCTGTTTTTAGATCTTTGTTTTTAACATGTATTTCTTTCATCAAAGTTTTGTCGTTTTCCTCATATGCATCTTGTAGATATTGTGTTAGATTTATACTTAAGTATTTGATTTTTGGGGGTGCTAATGTAAATGGTATTACATTTTAAATTTCAAATTTTGGCCGGGCGTGGTGGCTCACACCTATAATCTTAGCACTTTGGGAGGCCGAGGTGGGCAGATTGCCTGAGGTCAGGAGTTTGAGACCAGCTGGGCCAACATGGTGAAACCCCGTCTCTACTAAAAATAAAAAATCAGTCGAGTGTGGCAGCGGGCACCTATAATCCCAGCTACTTGGGAGGCTGAACCAGGAGAATCACTTGAACCAAGGAGGCGGAGGTTGCAGTGAGCCAAGATTGCGCCATTGCACTCCAGCCTGGACGTCAAGAGTGAGACTCCATCTCAAAAAAAAAAAAAAAATTCATATTCCAATTGTTTATGGCTAGTATAAAAGAAAGAAATTGACTTTTAAAAAATTTCTTTTTTCATTTCTTTGGGTCTTTTTTCAGGCCCAAAGAGACACGAGTATGACTTTTGTTTATTAGCCTTATATCCTGCAACCTTGCTATAGTTCAGGAGCTTTTTTGTTGATATTTTGGGATTTCCATTACAGACACTCATGACATCTGTGAACAAAGACAGTTTTATTTCTTCCTTCCCAATTTGTATATTTTTCATGTCATTTCTTTTCTTGTTGCATTTACCAGGACTCCCAGAGGGATGTATAATAAGAATGGTGAGAGTGGACCTCTTTGACTCATTCTTGATCTTAGTGGGAAAGCATCTAGTTTGTCACCATTAAATATGATGTTTGCTGTAGGTCTTTTAAAAAATAGATGTTCCTTATCAAGTTGAATAAGAATCTCTTCTATTCCCAGCTTTCTGAGAAACTTAAAATCATAAATGAATATTAGATTTTGTCAAATGACTTTCCTACATCTAGTGACATAACTATGAGATTTTTCTTCTTTAGCCTGTCAATGTGATGGATTACATTAACTGATTTTCTGATTTTTCATACCTGGGATAAATCCCACGTAGTCATGGTGTATCATCTTTGTCCACATTATTATATTAGGTTTGCTAATATCTGTTGATTATTTTTGCATCTATGTTCATGAGAGATATTGGTCTGTAGTTTTCCTTTCTTATAATGTCTTTGGTTTGGATATTAGGGTAATGCTGGCCTCATAGAATGGGTTAGGGAGTATTCCCTCTGTTTCTATTTTCTAGGAGAGATTATACCAATTACAGTTGGTTTAATTTCTTCCTTAAGTATTTGGTAAAATTATCTTATTAACCCATCTGGGCCTGATGCTATTTTGGAAGTTTATTACTTTTTAATTAAATTTATTTAACAGAGCTATGGTTAAAATATGATTTGTTCCCACCAAAACTCATGTTGAGGCTTGGTTGAGGCTGCCCAATATGGCAGTGTGGGGAGGTGGTTCCTTTAAGAGGTGATTAGGTCATTAAGATGGATTGATGTGTTTCTCATAACACTGTGTTAGTTCTCTTGGGAATGGATTAGCTCCCATGAGAGTAGGTTGTTATAAAGCGAGGTTGTCTCTCATGTTTTGCCCACTTTGCACACTCCTGCTTCTCCGCCATATTATGATTCAGCATGAGGCCTTCACAGAGGCTGTCCAGATGGGGCTGCCCAATCTTGGACCTTCTAGCCTCCAGAATTATAAGCTAAATAAACCTCTTTCCTTTATACATTACCCACTCTCAGATATTTTGTTATAGCAACAGAAAATGGACTAAGACAGGAAATTAGTACTGAGACTGGAGTGTTACTATACAGATACCTGAAAACGTGAAAGCAGCTTTGAAACTGGGTAATGGGTTGTAGCTGGAAGAATTAGGAGGAACAGGCTAGAAAAAGCCTGTATTCCCATGAATGGAGTACTAAGGGTGATTTTTTGGTGAGGGTCCAGTAAATGGGAAATGAGACTAAGGAAAGTTGGGAACTTTCTAGATATTGGTTAAGTGGTCATGACCAGAATGCTGATAGAAATATGACCAGTAAAAGCCATTCTGATGAGTTCTTTGATGGAAATGTAGAATAGCTTACTGGAAACTTGAGTAAAGGCCACCCTTGTTATATAGTAGCAAAAAACCTGGCTGCATTGTGTCCATGCCCTTGAGCTTTGTGGAAAGCTGAATGTAAGAGTGATGAAATAGCAATCTCATAGAAGACATTTCTAAGCAGCAAAGGACTTATTTTTGACTTCTAATATTTATTATGTATTATGTATTCTGGATATGAAGTCTCAAAAACAGTGAGGCCTCCAATTTTGTTATTCTTTTTCAAAATTGTTTTGGTTGTTCTGAGTCCCTTGTGTTTCTTTTTCTTTTCTTTTTTTTTGCTGTCAGCTTTATTGAGAGATAACTGACAAAAAAAATTGTATATATCCAAGGTGTACAACATAATGATTTGATGTACATATAAATTATAAAATGAATGCCACAATCAAATTAATTAACACATCTATACACATAATTACCATTTTGGGTATGTGTGTAGTGACAACTCTTTCTTAGTAAATTTTAAGTAAACAATAGAGTATTATTAACTATAGTCACCATGCTGTACATTAGATCTACAGAGCTTATAAACCTTATAACTGAATTTTAACCAACGTCTTCTCATTTATCTGGGGCACCCTCAGCCCCTGGCAATTACCATTGTACTTTCTGCCTCTATGAGTTTGACTTTTTCAGATTCCACATATGAGTGAGATTATACAATATTTGTCTTTCTGTGCCTGGCTTATTTCATAGCATAATGTCTTCCAGGTTTATCCATGTTGTCACAAAGGACAGGATTTCCTTATTTATTTATTTTTTTGATAGGATAGTACTCTGTCACCCAGGCCGGAGTGCAGTGGTGCGATCACAGCTTATGGCAGCCTCATCCTCCTGGGCTCAAACAATCCTCCCACCTCAGCCTCCCAAGTAGCTGGGATCACAGGCATGCACCACCACCTTCAGCTAATTTTTAAATTTTTTATAGAGACAGGGTTTCACCATGTTGCCCAGGCTGGGCTTGAACTCCTGGACTCAAGCAATCTTCCCAAAGTGCTGGGATTACAGTGTGAGCCACCATGCTTGGCCATGTATTTCCTTCTTTTTTATGACTGAATAATACTCCATTGCATATGAGTCTGTGTGTATTTCAATGTATATATGGGCCTATAAAATATACACAAATATACACATATAACGTATAAATATAATATATGTAATATGTAAAATGTGTATATGTGTGTATGTTTGTGTGGGTGTGTGAATGATACATTTTCTTTATCCATTCATCCATTGATGTACACTTAGGTTGTTTTCATATCTTGACTGTTGTAAATAATGCTGCAATGAACATGGGACTGCAAATATCTCTTCAAGGTACTGATTTCATTTCTTTCTGATGTATATTTAGAATTAGGATTGCTAAATCACATGGTAGTTCTAGCTTTAATTTTTTGAGGAGCCTCCATACTCTTTCATATGGCTGTACCAGTTTACATTCCCACCAACAGTGTCCTAGGGTGTCTTTTCCTCAGCTCCCTTGCCAACACCTGTTATCTCTTATTCTTTTGATAATAGCCAGCCTAACGGGTATGGAGTAATAGCTCATTGTGGTTTTGACTTGCAACTTCCTGATGAGCAGTGATGCTTAACACCTTTTCATTTCCTTATTGGCCACGTGGAAACATATCTGCTCAGGTCTTTTAACTAACATTTCCCCCACCCTCGGCCCCTGGCAATTGCCATTGTACTTTCTGCCTCTATGAGTTTGACTATTTTTAATTGTATTATTATTATTATTATTAAAATAGAGATAGGGTCTTCCTATGTTGCCCAGGCTTGTCTCAAACTCCTATCCTCAAGCGATCCCCCTGCCTTGGCCTCCCAAAGTACTGGGATTACAGGCATGAGCCACTGCACCTGGTTTTGCTGATTTTTAAAATTGGGTTATTTTTTAAACTGTGGAGTTTTATGAGTTCCTTATATATTTTGGATATTAACCCCTTATCAGATATATGGTTTGCACGTATTTTCTCCCATTCCACAGGTTGCCTTTTCATATAGTGATTATTTCCTTTGCTGTGCAAAAGCTTTTTAGTTTGATGTAGTCCTACTTGTTTATTTTTGCTTTTGTTGCCTGTGCTTTTGTTGTCATATGCAAAAAATCATTGCCAAGACCAGTGTCAAGGAGCTTTTTCCCTAATTTTTTTTCTTAGGAGTTTATGGTTTCAGGTCTTACATTTAAGTCTTTAATCAATTTCTAGTTGATTTTTGTATATGATTTAAGATAAAGGTCTAATTTTATTCTTTTGCATGTCAACACCCAGTTTTCCCAACACAATTTATCAAAGACATTATCCTTTTCCCATTGAGTGTTCTTGGCATCCTCGTCAAAGATTAGTTGACTCTATATGAGTGGGTTTATATCTTGGCTCTCTGTTCTTTTCCATTTGTCTATGTGTTTGTTTTTATGCCAGTACCAAACTGTTTTGATTACTATAGCTTTGTAATATAGTCTGAAATAAGGATGTGTGATGCCTCCAGCTTTGTTTTTTCTTTCTCGTGATTGCTTTGGTTATTCAATGTCTTTTGTGGTTCACATGACTTTTCAGATTGCTTTTTCTATTGCTTTGAAAAAAATGACATTGGAATTTTGATAGGGATTGCACTGAATCTGTAGATCACTTTGGGTAGTACGGACATTTCAACAATACTATTTTTTCCAATCCATGAACACAGAATATCTTTCAATTTATTTATGTCTTTTCCAATTTCTTTTATCAATGTTTTCTTTTATCTATAATTTTCCATATATAGATCTTTTACTTTGTTAATTTGTTCCCAAGTGTTTTATTATTTTTGGTGCTATTGTAAGTGGGATTGTTTTCTTTCTTTTTTTTTTTTTTTAAGATGGAGTCTTGCTCTGTCGCCCAGGCTGGAGTGCAGTGGCGCGGTCTCGGCTCACTGCAAGCTCTGCCTCCTGGGTTCACACCATTCTCCTGCCTCAGCCTCCCAAGTAGCTGGGACTACAGGTGTCCCCCACCATGCCCGGCTAATTTTTTGTATTTTTAGTAGAGACGGGTTTCACCATGTTAGCCAGGATGGTTTCGATCTCCTGACCTTGTGATCCACCCGCCTCAGCCTCCCAAAGTGCTGGGATTACAGGCGTGAGCCACCACGCCTGGCTGGATTGTTTTCTTAATTTCTTTTTTGGATAGCTTGTTGTTAGAGTGTAGAAAAATAACTGATTTTTGCATGTTGATTTTATATCCTTCAACTTTACTGAATTCCTTTACTGGTTCTAATCATTTTCTTGTGGCATCGTTAGGGTTTTCTATATGTAAGATTATTTCTTTTCCAACATAGAAAATTAATTACCCCCTTTCCAATTTGGATGCCTTCTATTCCTTTGTCTTGCCTAATTGCTCCAGCTAAGACTTCCAGTACTATGTTAAATAGAAGTGGCAAGAGTGGGCAATCTTGTCTTATTCCTGATCCTAGAGGAATAAGACAGCTTTTCACATTGAGTATGATGTTAACTTGTCATATATGGACTCTATTATGTTGCGGTACATTCCTTCTATGCCTAATTTGTTTTTTTGTTTTGTTTTGTTTTGCTTTTTGAGATAGAGTTTTGCTCTATCACCAAGGCTGGAGTACAGTGGTGTGATTATAGCTCACTATAACCTCAAACTCCTGGACTCAGGAGATCCTCTTGCTTCAGCCTCTTGAGTAGCTAGGACTACAGGCACATGCCACCATGCCCGGCTAGGTAAAAATTTTTGAAGGAGAAATAAAATACTTTACAGACAAGCAAATGCTGAGAGATTTTGTCACCACCAGGCCTGCCCTAAAAGAGTTCCTGAAGGAAGCACTAAACATGGAAAGGAACAACCGGTACTAGCCGCTGCAAAATCATGCCAAAATGTAAAGACCATCGAGACTAGGAAGAAACTGCATCAACTAACGAGCAAAATCAGCTCGTTATAATGACAGCTAACATCATAATGACAGGATCAAATTCACACATAACAATATTAACTTTAAATGTAAATGGACTAAATGCTCCAATTAAAAGACACAGGCTGGCAAATTGGATAGAGTCAAGACCCATCAGTGTGCTGTATTCAGGAAACCCATCTCACGTGCAGAGACACACATAGGCTCAAAATAAAAGGATGGAGGAAGATCTACCAAGCAAATGGAAAACAAAAAAAGGCAGGGGTTGCAATCCTAGTCTCTGATAAAACAGACTTTAAACCAACAAAGATCAAAAGAGACAAAGAAGGCCATTACATAATGGTAAAGGGATCAATTCAACAAGAATAGCTCACTATCCTAAATATATATGCACCCAATACAGGAGCACCCAGATTCATAAAGCAAGTCCTCAGTGACCTAGAAAGAGACTTAGACTCCCACACATTAATAATGGGAGACTTTAACACCCACTGTCAACATTAGACAGATCAACGAGACAGAAAGTTAACAAGGATACCCAGGAATTGAACTCAAGTCTGCACCAAGCGGACCTAATAGACATCTACAGAACTCTCCACCCCAAATCAACAGAATATACATTTTTTTTCAGCACCACACCACACGTATTCCAAAATTGACCACATAGTTGGAAGTAAAGCTCTCCTCAGCAAATGTAAAAGAACAGAAATTATAACAAACGATCTCTCAGGCCACAGTGCAATCAAACTAGAACTCAGGATTAAGAAACTCACTCAAAACCGCTCAACTACATGGAAACTGAACAACCTGCTCCTGAATGACTACTGCGTACATAACGAAATGAAGGCAGAAATAAAGATGTTCTTTGAAACCAACGAGAACAAAGACACAACATACCAGAATCTCTGGGACACATTCAAAACAGTGTGTAGAGGGAAATTTATAGCACTAAATGCCCACAAGAGAAAGCAGGAAAGATCCAAAATTGACACCCTAACATCACAATTAAAAGAACTAGAAAAGCAAGAGCAAACACATTCAAAAGCTAGCAGAAGGCAAGAAATAACTAAAATCAGAGCAGAACTGAAGGAAATAGAGACACAAAAAACCCTTCAAAAAATTAATGAATCCAGGAGCTGGTTTTTTGAAAGGATCAACAAAATTGATAAATCGCTAGCAAGACTAATAAAGAAAAAAAGAGAGAAGAATCAAATAGATGCAATAAAAAATGATAAAGGGGATATCACCACCGATCCCACAGAAATACAAACTACCATCAGAGAATACTACAAACAACTCTATGCCAATAAACTAGAAAATCTAGAAGAAATGGATAAATTCCTCGACACATACACTCTCCCAAGACTAAACCAGGAAGAAGTTGAATCTCTGAATAGACCAATAACAGGAGCTGAAATTGTGGCAATAATCAATAGCTTACCAACCAAAAAGAGTCCAAGACCAGATGGATTCACAGCCGAATTCTACCAGAGGTACAAGGAGGAACTGGTACCATTCCTTCTGAAACTATTCCAATCAATAGAAAAAGAGGGAATCCTCCCTAACTCATTTTATGAGGCCAGCATCATCCTGATACCAAAGCCGGGCAGAGACACAACCAAAAAAGAGAATTTTAGACCAATATCCTTGATGAACATTGATGCAAAAATCCTCAATAAAATACTGGCAAACCGAATCCAGCAGCACATCAAAAAGCTTACCCACCATGATCAAGTGGGCTTCATCCCTGGGATGCAAGGCTGGTTCAATATACACAAATCAATAAATGTAATCCAGCATATAAACAGAACCAAAGACAAAAACCACATGATTATCTCAATAGATGCAGAAAAGGCCTTTGACAAAATTCAACAACCCTTCATGCTAAAAACTCTCAATAAATTAGGTATTGATGGGACATATCTCAAAATAATAAGAGCTATCTATGACAAACGCACAGCCAAAATCATACTGAATGGGCAAAAACTGGAAGCATTCCCTTTGAAAACTGGCACAAGACAGGGATGCCCTCTCTCACCACTCCTATTCAACATAGTGTTGGAAGTTCTGGCCAGGGCAATTAGGCAGGAGAAGGAAATAAAGGGCATTCAGTTAGGAAAAGAGGAAGTCAAATTATCCCTGTTTGCAGACGACATGATTGTATATCTAGAAAACCCCATCGTCTCAGCCCAAAATCTCCTTAAGCTGATCAGCAACTTCAGCAAAGTCTCAGGATACAAAATCAATGTACAAAAATCACAAGCGTTCTTATACACCAATAACAGACAAACAGAGAGCTAAATCATGAGTGAACTCCCATTCACAATTGCTTCAAAGAGAATAAAATACCTAGGAATCCAACTTACAAGGGACATGAAGGACCTCTTCAAGGAGAACTACAAACCACTGCTCAATGAAATAAAAGAGGATACAAACAAATGGAAGAACATTCCATGCTCATGGGTAGGAAGAATCAATATCATGAAAATGGCCATACTGCCCAAGGTAATTTATAGATTCAATGCCATCCCCATCAAGCTACCAATGACTTTCTTCACAGAATTGGAAAAAACTACTTTAAAGTGCATATGGAACCAAAAAAGAGCCCGCATCACCAAGTCAATCCTAAGCCAAAAGAACAAAGCTGGAGGCATCATTCTACCTGACTTCAAACTATACTACAAGGCTACAGTAACCAAAACAGCATGGTACTGGTACCAAAACAGAGATATAGATCAATGGAACAGAACAGAGCCCTCAGAAATAACGCCGCATATCTACAACCATCTGATCTTTGACAAACCTGAGAAAAACAAGCAATGGGGAAAGGATTCCCTATTTAATAAATGGTGCTGGGAAAACTGGCTAGCCATAAGTAGAAAGCTGAAACTGGATCCCTTCCTTACACCTTATACAAAAATCAATTCATGATGGATTAAAGACTTAAACGTTAGACCTAAAACCATAAAAACCCTAGAAGAAAACCTAGGCATTACCATTCAGGACATAGGCATGGGCAAGGACTTCATGTCTAAAACACCAAAAGCAATGGCAACAAAAGCCAAAATTGACAAATGGGATCGAATTAAACTAAAGAGCTTCTGCACAGCAAAAGAAACTACCATCAGAGTGAACAGGCAACCTACAAAATGGGAGAAAATTTTCGCAACCTACTCATCTGACAAAGGGCTAATATCCAGAATCTACAATGAACTTACACAAATTTACAAGAAAAAAACAAACAATCCCATCACAAAGTGGGCGAAGGACATGAACAGACACTTCTCAAAAGAAGACATTTATGCAGCCAAAAAACACATGAAAAAATGCTCACCATCACTGGCCATCAGAGAAATGTAAATCAAAACCACAATGAGATACCAGAGATACCATCTCACACCAGTTAGAATGGCAATCATTAAAAAGTCAGGAAACAACAGGTGCTGGAGAGGATGTGGAGAAATAGGGACAGTTTTACACTGTTGGTGGGACTGTAAACTAGTTCAACCATTGTGGAAGTCAGTGTGGCGATTCCTCAGGGATCTAGAACTAGAAATACCATTTGACCCAGCCATCCCATTACTGGGTATATACCCAAAGGGCTATAAATCATGCTGCTATAAAGGCACATGCACACGTATGTTTATTGCAGCACTATTCACAATAGCAAAGACTTGGAACCAACCCAAATGTCCAACAATGATAGACTGGATTAAGAAAATGTGGCACATATACACCACAGAATACTATGCAGCCATAAAAAATGATGAGTTCATATCCTTTGTAGGGACATGGATGAAATTGGAAACCATCATTCTCAGTAAACTATCGCAAGAACAAAAAACCAAACACCACATGTTCTCACTCATAGGTGGGAATCGAACAATGAGAACACATGGACACAGGAAGGGGAACATCACACTCTGGGGACTGTTGTGGGGTGGGGGGAGGGATAGCATTGGGAGATATACCTAATGCTAGATGACGAGTTAGTGGGTGCAGTGCACCAGCATGGCACATGTATACATATGTAACTAACCTGCACATTGTGCACATGTACCCTAAAAGTTAAAGTATAATAATAATAATAAAAAAAATTTTTTTTAGAGATGGGACCTTGCTATGTTGTCCAGGCTGGTCTCAAACTCCTGACCTCAAACAATCATACTGCCTTGGCCTCCTAAAGCACTGGGAGTATAGGCATGCACCATCATGCCTGGCTCCCCTAATTTGTTGGGAGGATGTTTTTTAAAAATAATGAAAAGATTTTCAATTTTGTCAAATGCTTTTTCTGCATCTATTGAAATGATCATATGATTTTCATCCTTAATTCTGTTAATATGGTGTATCACATTTATTAATTTGCATATGTTGGACCATCCTTGCATTCCAGGACTAAATCTTACTTGATCATGGTATATGATTCTTTTTAATGTGCTCTTGAATTTGGCTTGCTGGTATTTTGCTGAGGGTTTTTGAAGCTATGTTCAGCAAAGATATTGACCTGTAATTTTTTTCCTATAGTGTCTTTATCTGGTTTTGGTATGAGGTAATTCTGGCCTCATAAAATGAGTTTTGGGAATATTCCCTCCTCTTCAATTTTTTTGGGAGAGTTTTAGAAAAATTGGCATTAATTCTTCTTTAAATGCTTGGCAGAATTCACATGTGAAGCCGTCTGGCACTAGGCTGTTTCTTTATTGGGACTTTTGCTGATGGATTCAATCTCTGTACTCAGTCTGTTCAGATTTTCTATTTCTTCATGATTCAGTCTTGTTTAGTTGTATGTTTCTAGGAATTTATCCATTTTTTCTAGGTTATCCAATTCATTGGCATATAATTGTTCATAGTCTCTTACAGTCCTCAGTATTTCTGTGGTATCAGTTGTAGTGTCTCTTCTTTTATTTATAATTTTATGTATTTGAGTCCTCTCAGTTTTTTCTTGGTTATTCTACTAATAGCTAAAGGTTTGTCAATTTTGTTTATCTTTACAAAAAATCACCTCTTAGTTTTGTTGATCTTTTCTATTATCTTTCTAGTCTCTGTTTCATTTATTTCTGCTCTCTAATCTTATTTCCTTCTTTGTGCTGATTTGGGGCATAGTTTGTTCTTTTTCTAGTTTTTTAAAGTGTAAAGTTAGGTTGTTTATTTGAGTTTTTTTTCCCTAATGTAGACATTTATTGCTACAAACTTCCCTCTTAGAACTGCTTTTGCTGCATTCCACACATTTGTATGTTGTGTTTCAATTTTCATTTGTCTCACTTATTGATTTCTGTTTTGATTTATTCTTGACCTATTGGCTATGTAGAATCCACATATTTCTGAAATTTCTAAAATTTCTCTTGTTAATGATATTTATTTATTTATTTATTTTGAGATAGGGTCTCACTCTGTCACCCAGGCTGGAGTGCAGTGGCTTGATCTTGGCTCACTGCAACTTCTGCCCCCCACGTTCAAGCAATTCTCCTGTCTCAGCCTCCCTAGTAGCTGGAATTAGAGGCATGTGCTGCCATGCCTGGCTAATTTTTATATTTTTAGTAGAGACAGGGTTTCGCCCTGCTGGCCAGGCTGGTATCAAACTCCTGACCTCAAGTGATCCACCCACCTCAGCCTCCCAAAGTGTTGGGATTACAGGCGTGAGCCACCGCTCCCAGCCTTGACATTTAGTTTCATATCTTTGTGGTCAGAAAATACATTTGATATAATTAAAATCTTCTTCTGAAATTTGTTAAGAACTGTTTTGTGATCCAATATATAATCTATCTTGGGTAATGTTCTGTGTGTGCTTGAGAATAATGTGTATTCTGCTGCTGTTGAATGGAATATTCTGTATTTGTCTGTTGGATCTATTTGGTCTGTTTGGTTTGTAGTATTATTCAAGACCACAGTTGCTTTATTGTTTTTCTGTGTGTATAATCTATCTACTATTGGCAGTGGGGTATTGAAGTTCCCTACTATTATTGTGTTGCTGTCTATTTTCCCCTCTATTTTGTTAATATTGCTTTATACAATTAAGTGCTCTAAATACTGGGGCACATACATACATAGATAGAAATAAAATATACATAATGTATATATTTTTCAATTGTTATACTCTCTTAATGAATTGGTCCCTTTATCATTATGTAGTGACCTTTGTCTCTTGAGGCAGTTTTTGAATGCAATTCTATTTTGTCTGATGTAAGTATAGCTACTTGTACTCTCTTTTGGTTACCATTTGCATGGAATATCTTTTTCCATTTCTTCACTTTTCAGCTTATGTGTGTCCTTAAGACTGAAATGAGTATCTTGTAGGTAGCATATTGTTGGATCTTGTTTTTAAATTTGTTCAGCCATTCTATTTGTTGATTGGAGAATTTAATTCATTTACATTTAGGGTAATTGTTGATAGGTAAGGACTTATTATTGCCATTTTGTTAATTGTTTTCTATTTTTTAGTTCCTTTTTTCCTGTCTTGCTGTCTTCCTTTGTGATTTGTTGATTTTTTTGTAATGGTATGCTTTCATTTCCTTTCTATTTATTTTTTGCAGGTCTAGTAGAGGTTTTTCTTTGTGGTTACTATGAGGTTTATATAAAATATTTTAAAGTTATAACATTCTATCTTAACCTAATAACAATTTAATTTCAATTTTATACAAAACTATACACTTTTGCTTCTCCCCCATCTCCACATTTTATGCTATGTCACACTTTACATCTTTTAATGTTATGTATCCATTAACAAATTATTGTAACTACAGTTATTTTTAATCTTTTTGTCTTTTACTTTATATTCTAGATTTCAAAGTGATTTATACACCATCATTATAATATATAGATTTGATGTTATACTTACCTTTACCAGTGAGTTTTATATTTTCATGTTCTCACATTGTTACTTAACATCCTTCTATTTCAACTTGAAGAACTTCTTATCCTTTTTCTTTTTTCTTTTCTTTCTTTCTTTCTTTCTTTCTTTCTTTTTTTTTTTTTTTTTGAGACAGAGTCTCACTCTGTCGGCTAGGCTGGAGTGCAGTGGCATGAACTCGGCTTACTGCAACCTCTGCCTCCTGGGCTCAAGCAATTCTCCTGCTTCAGCCTCCCGAGTAGCTGGGATTACAGGGTTGTGCCACCAAGCCCAGCTAATTTTTGTATTTTTAGTAGAGATGGGGTTTCACCATGTTGGCCAGGCTGGTCTTGAACTCCTGACCTCAGGTAATCCAACCGCCTCAGCCTCCCAAAGTGCTGGGATTACAGGCGTGAACCACCGTGCTTGGCCTCCTTTTTCTTTTTTCTTTTCATTCTATTTTTTTGTTGTTGTTTATTTTTTAAAGACAGCGTCTTGCTTTGTCACCCACACTGAAGTGCAGTGGTATAATCATAGCTCATTGCAGCCTTGACCTTCCAGCTCAAGCAATCTTTCCATCTCAGCCTCCTGAGTAGCTGGGATCACAGATGTGTACCACCACACCTGATTAATTTTTAATTTTTTGTGTAGAGGTGGAGTCTCCCTATGTTGCTAGCCTGGTCTTGAACTCCTGGGCTCAAGCAATCCTCCTGCCTCAGCCTCCCAAAGTGCTGTGATTACAGGTGTGAGTCACTGGGCCCAGCCTTGTAAGGCAGATTTGCGGTGATGAACTCCCTCAGCTTTTGTTTGTCTGTGAATGTCTTTATTTCTCCTTCATTTCTGAATTACAGCTTTGCTGGCAATAGTATTCTTGGTTGGCAGCTTTTTTTTTCTTTTAGCACTTTAAATCTTTCACCCACCCTCCCCTAGCCTATAGCTTTTTACTGAAAAGTCTACTGATATCCTTATGAGGGTTCTCTCATGCTGTGGTTTGAATGTGTCCCCACAAAAGCATGTGTTAGTAACTTAATCCCCAGTGCAACAGTGTTAAGAAGTGTGACCTTTGAGAGGTCATTAGGCTATGAGGACTCCACTTTCATGAATGGATTAATGCTGATTATGAAAGGGTTAGAGGCTTCTAGTTTGATCTCTTTTGCTCTCTTGCCATATGATGCCTTCTGCCATGTTAGGATGTAGCAGAACAACCTGCCCAGCTGCCAAAGCACCTTGATGTTGAAACTCCCAGCCTCTAGAACTGTGGTGGAAATAAATTTCTTTTCTTTATAAATTACCCAGTCTGTGGTATTCTGTTATAGCACACAAATGGACTAAAAGACTTTGTGATTAATCTCTTTTCTCTTATGCTTTCATGATTTTTTGTCTTAGGCGTTTGATAATTTGACTATACAATCAAGCCTTCAAATTTGTGATTTCTGCATCCATGGATTCAACCAACCACAGATTGAAAATATTAAAAAATAAATAAAATAATAATGCAACAATAAAAGCTAATACAAAAATACAATATAACAACCATTTACATAGCATTTACATTGTATTAGGTATCATAAGTAATCCTGAGATAATTTAAAGTATACGGAAAGTTGTGCATAGGTTACATGTGAATACTATGCATTTTATTTAAGGTATTTGAGCATTCATGGATTCTGGTATCTGTGGATGGTCTGGAACCAATCTTCCATGGAGACAGAAGGACCACTGTAGTGTGTCTCAGGATATTCTTCTTTTGGTTGCTCTTGCTTGGGATCCTTTAGGCATCAGGAATCATTAATTAAACTACATTTAATTAAACATTCTGCCTCTTTCTCTTTTTCTTCTTCTTTTGGAACTCCCATAATTCATAAATACATTACCTTGATGGTACCCCATAGATCTCTTATTTTTTATTTTTTAATTTTTTTAAGATGGAGTCTTACTCTGTCACCCAGGCTGCAGTGCAGTGGTGCAATCTTGGCTCACTGCAACCTCCACCTCCTGGGTTCAAGTGATTCTCCTACCTCAGCCTTCTGAGTAGCTGAGACTACAGGTGTGTGCCACCATGCCTGGCTAATACTTATATTTTTAGTAGAGATGGGGTTTCACTATGTTGGTCAGGCTGGTCTCGAACTCCTGACCTCAAGTGATCCACCTGCCTCGGCCTCCCAAAGTGCTGGAATTACAGATGTGAGCCACTGCACTAAGCCCCTTTATTCTTTTTACTTCTATTGTATTTTTATTTCTCTAGTGGCTAATTTCAAATGACCTATCACTGAGTTCACGGATATTTTTCTTCTATATGATCTCTTCTGCTGTTAAAATTTTTTATTAGGCTGGATGCAGTGGCTCATGCCTGTAATCCCAGCACTTTGGGAGGCTGAGGCGGGCAGATCACGAGGTCAGGAGATCAAGACCATCCTGGCTAACACGGTGAAGCCCCATCTCTACTAAAAATACAAAAATTAGCCTGGCGTGGTGGTGGGCACTGGTAGTCCCAGCTACTCACGAGGCTGAGGCAGGAGAATGGTGTGAACCTGGGAGGCGGAGCTTGCAGTGAGCCGAGATAGTGCCATGCATTCCGGCCTGGGTGAAAGAGCGAGACTCTGTCCAAAAAAAAAAAAAAATTTTATTGACTTTTCAGCTCTGTCATTGTGTTCTTCAGTTCCAGGACTTTTTATTGTTTTAATTTCTTTATTAAATGTCTAATTTTGTTCATGCATGATTTTGTTTAGTTGTCTATCTGTGTTCTCTTGCATCTCATTGAGCATCTTTAAGATGGTTGTTTTAAATTATTTGTCAGGCAATTCGTAGAGCTCCATTTTTGTGGGCTCAGCTACTGGAGCTTTATTAGTTTCCTTTGCTTGTGTCATGTTAGCCTGACACTTTGTTATCCATGCAGAATTTTCTGTAGAATTCTGTAAAAATTTCTCTAAAATTCTGTAGAATTTTCTACATACAAGCTTCATCTTTGAATAGAGAGAGTTTTATTTCTTCCTTTTTAATCTAGATGATTTTCATTTATTTTTCTTGTCTATTGACCTTGCTAGGCCTGCCAGTACAACGTTGAATCGAAGTGCTGAAAGCAGACATCCTTGACTTTTTCCTGATCTTAGGGTGAAAGCATCCATTCTTTCATTATTAAGTATGATTTTACCTGTGGGGATTTCATAGATGCCTTTTTATAAAGTTCAGGAAATTTCCTTCTATTCCTATTTTGTTGAATGTTTTATCATGAAAGGGCATTAGATCTTTTCACATGCTTTTTCTTCATCTATTGAGATAATTATGTCTTTTAAAATCCTATTAATGTGGTATATTATATTGATTGATTCTTGGATGTTATACTAAAGTTGCATTCCTAGGATAAAGTCCACTGGTCATGGTGTTGATAGTGTATAACCTTTTATATTTATTGTTGCATTCAGTTTGCTATTATTTTATTGAGAATGTCTACATCTAAATTCATTCTTAAGAAATACTGGTCTATATGTTATTATTATTATTATTATTTTTTGAGATGGAGTTTCACTCTTGTCACCCAGGCTGGAGTGCAATGGCATGATCTTGGCTCACTCCACCTCCCGGGTTCAAGTGATTCTCCTGCCTCAGCCTCCTGAGTAGCTGGGATTACAGGCACGTGCCACCATGCCCAGCAAATTTTTGCATTTTTAGTAGAGGTGGGGTTTCACCATATTGGTCAGGCTGGTCTTGAACTCCTGACCTCAGGTGATCCACCAGCCCTGGCCTCCCAAAGTGCTGGGATTATAGATGTGAGCCACCATGCCTGGCCTGGTCTATATTTTATTTCCTTTCATTTTTATTTTTTCCTTTCTGTTCCTCAGACTCAATAATTTTTTTTTTTTTTTTGAGACAGGTTCTGGCTCCATTGCCCAGGCTGGAGTACAGTGGCACAATCTCAGCTCACTGTAACCTCTACCTCTTGGACTTAAGTCATCCTCCCACCTCAGCTTCCCAAGTAGCTGGGACTACAGGAGCATCCCACCACGCCTGGCTAATTTTTTTATTTTTTGTGGAGACAGGGTTTCATCATGTTGCCTAGGCTGCTCTCAAACTCCTGGGCTCAAGTGATCCTCCTGCCTTGACCTCCCAAAGGGCTGGGATTATAGGTGTGAGCCACCATGCCCAGCTCACAGTTGCTTTGAAATGTCTGAATCCTTAAACTTCTGGCTCCCCAGTGGGAAAAAAGGGAAAAAAGAAATACAAACAAATAAGCAGGTGTGGTTCCTTTAAATCCCCTGAAAGCTGTGTCAGCCTGTGGCAGTTGAATCAATGGTGGCTAGCCTGTGTGCCTACACCTCAGTGATCAAAAGCAGCAATAAGTTACAGAACACTGATTCCTGTTACTTGGAGGAGAAGGTTGTGATTGCCCATTCTGGCTCCAGTAAGCTGCACCAGGAACATGGGCATAGTTGGCTGCCATGAGGCTAGGAGTAAGGGGTGTTTAAAGCTTAAATTGGTAGAAACTAACTAATCTACTAGCCAAGTTTTCTCCTTGAAGCTGTAAGGGTTCAAATAGACTCCAGACTCTAGTTACTTCAAACAGTTCCTGCCAATACAATTGTCATCTAGGTAAGGAGTTATATTCCTGGAATTTCCTACTCTGCCATCTTCCCTGACATAACTCCCTATATTTTTTATTTTTAAAGGATACTTGAGTTGCATATAGAATTCTTGGTTGACAGTCTTTTTCTTTCAGCACTTTAAATGTGTCACCCAACTGCCTTCAGACTCCATACTTTCTGATGAGAAGTCAGCTCATAATCTTATTGGGGATTCCGTGTATGTAATGCATTGCTTCCTTGTTGCTGCTTTGAAGAGTCTCTCTTTGTCATTGTCTTGCAACTCTTTGCTTATAAAATTTTGAAATGTGCATATTTTCAAGTTTATTTTATTTGGAATTCATTGATGTGTAGATTCATGTTTTTCATCAAATTTGAGACATGGTAGGCAATTATTTCTTTAGATATCTTTTCTTCCCCCTTTCTCTCCTCTTTGCACAGAACTTCCATTATATGTATGTTGACATACTTAATGGAGTCCCACAGGTTTTTGAGGCCCTGTTTATTTTTCATCATTATTTTACTTTTCTGTCTTCCAGAGTAGATAATCTCAAGTGACCTATCTTTAAGTTCACTGATTCTTCTGCCAGCTCATGTTTACTTCTGAGCTCCTCCTGTGAATTTT
Source organism: Homo sapiens (assembly GCF_000001405.40). Classification (NCBI taxonomy): domain Eukaryota; kingdom Metazoa; phylum Chordata; class Mammalia; order Primates; family Hominidae; genus Homo; species Homo sapiens. The sequence goes on along the minus strand of NC_000003.12, from coordinate 46,763,953 downwards.
CATTTCAGTGTTTGTAATTTCCAACTCTAGATTTTCTATTTAAAAAAATCATTTCTCTTTGGTAATATTTTTATTTTGCGAGATGGCATTTTCATACTTTCCTTACTTCTGTAGACAGCATACTTTAGTTCCTCAAACACATTTAAAATAGCTTACTTAAATTGTTTGTCTAGTAAGTTCAACTTCTGGGCTTCCTAGTGGCAGTTTCTTTTGACTTTTTTTCCCTGTTTTCCCACCCTTGGTACAGGCCATATTTTTTTGTTTCTTTGCATGTTACATAATTTTTTTAACAGAAACAGTTTAAATACTATATGTTGTAAGTATGGGAATCACATTCTCACCTTCCTCAGGTTTTGTTATTGTTTTGTTTTGTTATTGTTGCTATTTGTTGTTGCTGCTGCTGTTTGTTTGGTTAGTGACTTTTCTAAACTAACTCTGTAAGCCTCTTCTTTGTCATATATGGCCATGAAATCTCTGCTTGTTAGCTTTAGTGCTCAGCTAATAATTAGAGATTTTCTTAAGTGCCTTAAATCAACAAATTTTCCAGCCTGTGCTAAGGAGCTCTGTTTGTTGGGGCATGTCTACAACACTTCAGTTTGCCCTAGCATTCTTAGTTTTCATTTCTGACATGCATAGACATGTCAGAAGGCTAGCTGGAGGTGAGAGATTAGGGTCTTCTCAGGTCTTTCCTAAATATACATACAGTTCCAACATCTATGTCATATCTGAGTCTAGTACTGATTATTGCTTTTTCTTAGACTGTGTTTTTTTTTTTTGCCTTGTGATTTGCCTTGTAATTTTTGTTGAAAGTTAGACATTCTCCATTTCTGTTACTGTATCAGGAGATAACTAATATAAATATTTTCTATGCTTGGAGAAAAACACAGGCTTCCTTCTGCTTGGTGGTTATTACGGAGATTTGTGATACTCTAATCGGGAGTGGGCTGTGCTTTAATTTGTTGTTGTAGCTACCAGAGTTGAATTTTTTTGTGGCTATGGGCACCAGAGATTTAAAAGTCTGTCAGTAATACCTTGTTTTTGCCTCCTCCACTTGGCTTTTGGTCTTCTCTTTGTGCTGTTATCCTGGAGAACTTTGTAGCTCTTGCAGCTGAATGTGATACTATACCACTTCACGTTTAGGATAAAAAACTTATGACATATTTCTTTTTTCTTTCTTTTTCTTTTTCTTTTTTTTCAATTAGCTTTCTCAGGTTGAAAACAACATATTTCCCAGGCGCAGTGGCTCACGCCTGTAATCCCAGCACTTTGGGAGGCCGAAGCAGTGGATCACCTGAGGTCAGCCTGGCCAACCTGGTGAAACCCCGTCTCTACTAAAATACAAAAAATTAGCCGGGCATGGTGGTGGGCACCTGTAATCCCAGCTACTCGGGAGGTTGAAGCAGAAGAATTGCTTGAACCCGGGAGGCGGAGGTTGCAGTGAGCCGAGATTGTGCCATTGCACTCCAGCCTGGGCAACAAGAGCGAAACTCTGTCTCAAAAAAAAAACACAAAAACAAACAAACAAAAAACGCAAAAAAAACCCCAACCACACACACACACACACACACACACACACACACACACACACACACACACACACACAATGTATTTATATTTCTCTCTCTCCCGATCTTTGTGCTACTGTCATACATCTTCTTGCATACGTGTTACAAACCTCACTGTACATTGTTATTTTTGTTTAAATAGTCAATTCAATTATCTTTCAAAGATATTTACATAAAAGAAAAGTATCTTACATATTTCCCGTGCAGTTGTCTTTCCCAGCACTCTTCATTTCTTTATGTAAATCCAGATTTACGTCTGGTTTAGTGTTCCTTCTGTCTGAATGACTTTAACTTTTTTATAGTGCAGATCTGCTGGTGATAGTCTTTCATCTTATGCATGCCTGAAAAAAATCTGTATTTTGCCTTCATTTTTGAAATAAAATTCTAGAAGTTTTTTTCTTCTAGCACTTAAAAAATGGTGCTTATCTGTCTTCCTGCTTGTACAGCTTCTGATGAGAAATCTACTGTCATCCTTATCTTTATTCTTCTGTACTTACTTTATCACTGGTTTTAAGCAAGTTGATTAAGTTGTGCTTTGGTTTAGTTTTACACACACACACACACACACACACACACACATACTTGTTATATATATATATATATACACACACACATATATATACTTTTTTTTTCGATGGAGTCTCTCTCTGTTGTCCAAGCTGGAGTGCAGTGGCGCGATCTTGGCACACTGCAACCTCCGCCTCCCGGGTTTAAGCAATTCTCCTGCTTCAGCCTCCCAAGTAGCTGGAACTACAGGTGCATGCCACCACATCCAGCTAGTTTTCATGTTTTTAATAGAGACAGACTTTCACCATGTTGGCCAGGCTGTTCTCAAACGCTTGACCTCAGGTGATCTGCCCACGTCAGCCTCCCAATGTGCTGGGATTACAGGCGTGAGCCACCACTCCTGGCCTGGTTTAGTTTTCTTCATGTTTCTTTCTTTGGTGTTCATTGAGCTTACTAGATTTGTGGGCTTATAGTTTTTATCAAATTAAAAACGTTTGAACATTATTTCTTTAAATATTTTTGTCCAAATACTCACACATTAGGACACAGCTCACTGATGTTCTCTCTCTCTCTCTCTTTTTTTCTTTTAACACTCTCTGTTTCATTTTGAATTTTTTTTTTCTTTTTTGAGATGCAGTTTCCCTCTTGTTGCCCAGGCTGGAGTGCAACGGCGCAATCTCGGCTCACCGCAACCTCTGCCTCCTGGGTTCAAGCAATTCTCCTGACTCAGCCTCCCGAGTAGCTGGGGTTACAGGCATGCACCACCATGCCTGGCTAATTTTTGTGTTGGTCAGGCTGGTCTGGAACTCCCAGCCTCAGGTGATCTGCCCTCCTCGGCCTCCCAAAGTGCTGGGATTACAGGCATGGGCCACTGCGCCCGGTCAAATTTTTTTTAATTGTTAGGTTTTCAAGTTTACTAATCTTTTCTTCCACAAAGTTTAATATGTTACTAATCCCGTGAGTGTGTTTCTGACATACATGGTAGTTTTCATTTTTAGAAGTTTGATTTGGGTCATTTTTCATCTTAGATATCTCTCCTGAACTTTTTGAATATATATGTATATGTATAACTTAAAGTTATAATGACTGTTTTAATGCCCTTGCCTGTGCATTTAACATCTGTGTCAGTTTGGAGAGGATAAGATTAATTGATGATTCCCCTCATAATCAGTTGTATTTTCATGCTTCTTGCATGTTGGGTATTCTTTGATTGGATACTGGACATAGTGACTTTTACCTTGTTGGCTGTTTGATATTTTCATATTCTCATAAATATTCTTGAGCTTTGTTTGGGGATGCATTTAAATTACTTGGAAACTGTTTGATCTTTTCAGATCTTGCTTTTAAGATTTTTTAAGCAGGACAATTCTCAGTCTAGGCCTAATTATTCCCCATTGCTGAGGCAAGACCTTCCTGGATACTCTACCCAGTGCTCTGTGAATCTTGAGTTTCTTTGTCCAACTAATGGAAGCAGGCTCTATTCTTGGCCCTGTGTGAGCACCAGGCATTGTTACTTCTAATTCTTTTCAGTGGTTATTTCTCTAGCTTCAGGTCGTTTCCTCACAGACATGCACTGACCAATACTCAGTTTAATACTCAAGGGGGAGTATTTGTGTTGCTATAAAGGAATACCTGAGGCTGGATAATTTATAAGAAAAAGAGGTTTATTTGGCTCATGGTTCTCTAGGCTGTAAAGAAGCATGGTGCCAGCATCTGCTTCTCATGAGAGCTTCATGCTTCTTTTTCTCATGGCAGAAGGCAAAAGGGAGCTAGTATGTAGAGATCATATGGCAAGAGAGGAAGCAAGAGAGGGGACATGGATGTGCCAGGCTCTTTTTAACAACCGGCTCTCTTGGCAACTAATATAGTGAGAACTCACTCACTCCTCCTCTTCCAGGAAGGGTATTAATCTATTCATGAGAGATCCACCCCTATGACCCTGACACATACCATTAGGCCCCACTTCCAACACTGGGGATCAAATTTCAACATGAGATGTGGAGGGGACAAACATCCAAACTACAGCAGGGAGCCTCTGCAGATCTTTGTGTTCTTTCTTTGTGCCACTCTCCTCTGCAGTATTTTATCAGCACAGCCGCTTCCATGTTCCTGGCCTCTCAGCAATACCTGCTCACATCCAGGAGCCTGCTGGATTCTGCCTACGTTCTCCTTCTCTGTACTGTGGCCTGGAAATTCTCTCAAGTCATAAACCTGAGGCAGTCACAGGGCTTACACCATTTGTTTCCCATCTATTAGGGATTCTATTTTTTTTGGTGGGTGTCCAGTATCTTAAAAACTATTGTTTCAGATGTTTGTCCATTTTTGGTTGTTTCAGGTGGGAAGGTCAGTCTTTTTATATTCCACGGCTAGAAGGAGAAGTCAGCATTTAATAACTTACTTTCTTTCTTTCTTTCTTTCTTTCTTTCTTTTTCTGTCTTTCTTTCTTTCTCTTTCTTTTCTTTCTTTCTCTCTCTCTTTTCTTTTTCTTTTCTTTTCTTCTTTTTTTTTTTTTCCGGGTCTTGCTCTGTTACCCAGGCTGGAGTGCAGTGGTACAATCATACCTTACTATAACCTCAACCTCCTAGGCTCAAGTGATCCTCTTGCCTCAGCCTCCTGAGTAGCTAGGACTACAGGCATGCACTACTATCCTCAGCTAATTTATTTTATTTGATTCAGAGACAGGGTCTCACTATGTTGCCTAGGCTGGTCTCAAACTCCTGGGCTCAAGCAATCCTGCCTCAGCTGCCCAAAGTGTTGGGATTACAGGCATGAGCCACAGTGCCCAGCCAATATTCCTTTATAATTAAAAATATCTATCATAGGTAATTTAAAAATATCTCTTTAAGTTGCTTTCCCTTTTTCATTCTGTATTTGCTTTTTTTCTTTTATTTTAATCTTACTAGAATGTTGTTTAATTTATTAGGCTTTTCAAATAACAAAATTCTGATGGTGCTAATTCTCTCCACAATTTTTTCTCTATTTTATTGATTTCCTTTTTTTTAAGAGAGAGGGTGTCACTCTATCACCCAGGCTGAAGTGCAGCAGCCTGATCATAGCTCACTGTATCCTTGAACTCCTGGGCACAAACGATTCTCCTGTCTCATCCTCCCAAGTAGCTGGGACTATAGGTGCACGCCACCACACCTGCTGGTTTTTTTATTTCTAGTAGAGACAGGGTCTTACTATGTTGCCAGGATAGTCTTGAACTCCTGGGCTCAAGCAATTCTCCGACCTCAGCCTCCCAAAGTGTTGGGATTACAGGCCTGAGACATTGTGCCTGGCTACTTTATTGATTTCTGCCTCCTTTTTCCATTATTTTCTCCTTCGTCGCAAATTCTTTCTTTGAGTTTACTCCATTGATCCTTTTCACTTTCTGAGTTGGATGTTTATCTCATTTGCTATCAGTCTTTCTTTTCTGATCTTGTCAAAGCTGTAAATTACTTTCTGGGACTGGTCTATCTGCATCACATATGCTTTGATATGTAGTGTTTTCATTGGCAGTCACCTCTAAATGTTCATTATTTCCCTCATGATTTTCTTTTTATAGAAGAACCACTTAGAAGGGTTTTGTTTTTGTTTCAGAAAGATGGGATTTTTTGATATGTTAAAAATTGATTTTAATATTATTGACTTGTGACTCAAGAACAGAATCTATATACCAATCATTCCCTGGAGTTTGTTGTTCTCTGTGGCATCGTTTCTGAATGTTCCCTTAGTGGTCATTGAGCAAGTGTTCTCTGTTGGTAGTTGTAAAATTTATTATATAGCTAAGGTGAAGATTATTAATAGTCAAATCTTCTTTATCTTTGCTTAATTTTGTCTGTGTAATCCAGCAGTTTCTTAAGGGTAACATATCAAAAACTCCAGTCTCCCATTAATTGGTCACCTGTTTCTTTGAGTATTATAGGCTTTTTTCTGCATCTTCTTGGTCATTTCTTATTTATACTTTATATAATAAGATTCCTTTTTGTCCCTTTATCATGATCTTGCCTTAAATACTATGATCTAAGAAGAAAATTGCTATACTACTTACTTTGTGTTTCAGATTTGCTTGGGATTTCTTTTTCTATCCCCCTTTTTCAATTTATCTGTATCTTTTTGTTTTAAATTTGTCTCTCCATATAGTATATTTCTGGATGATATCTTTTTTCTCTAATTGTAAAGTATTTGTTTTGTTTGTTTTTTTCCAACACATTTACATGTAACACAATTGCTATTGTATTAGGATTGATTAGAGCCATCTTGTTTTGTGTTTTCTATTTATCATACTTTGTTCTGTTTTGTTTTGTTTTAAAGAGATGGCATTTCAATATGTTGTCCAGGCTGTACGCAAACCCCGGGGCTGCAGTGATCCTTCAGCCGCAGCCTTCGGAGTAGCTGGAACCCCAGGCTGCAGGAAAGCAGGCTCTTTCTGTTTTGCTTGAAACCTTCCACTGGGTAGACTGTATTTTTTGCTGCTTTGAAGGGTATCCAGTGATTAGATTACACTCAACTTGGGCCGGGTGCGGTGGCTCACCCCTATAGTCCCAGCACTTTGGGAGGCCGAGGCGGGAGGATCACGTGAGGTCAGGAGTTTGAGACCAGCCTGGGCAACATGGTGAAACCCCGTCTCTACTAAAAATATAAAAATTAGCCGCTCGTGGTGGCCCGCGCTTGGGATCCCAGCTACTTGGGAGGCTGAGGCAGGTGAATTGCTTGAACCTGGGAGGTGGAGGCTGCAGTGAGCTGAGATCATGCCACTGCACTCCAGCCTGGGCGAAAGAGTGAAACTCCATAGAAAAAAAAAATTACACTCAACTGGATAATCCAGGAAAATCTCTATCTTAAGGTTCACAGGACGAATTACATATTGAAAGCCACTTCCTTCACAGCACTACCCGGATTAGTTTTTGCTGAGTGACCGGGGCTCGCGAGAGCCGCCTCAGGTCTCCGCCGGCACACTGGGGTCCCGCCAACACCACGACCAGGGCGGAGCCGCCGCGAGGGGGCACCACGAGGCGTGCTGACGGTGCCCATGGCGTCCCAGGACGGCCTCCGCAGGGGCCGTGGAGGCACACGCCTGAGCCTCCACCTCCTGATCTGGCTTCAGTTCCTTCAACCCCTGCTCAGTGAGGCTGGGAGTGGACAGGGCGGGGCTGGGCTGCACCCACGTTGGGTGTGGGGTGGCAGTGGGGGCGCTGTGGGAACAGGCAGACGCGGAGGAGGCGCCGCCAGGCCAGCTCCTGTTCGCCGCGGGTCCCCGTCTTCACCAGGTGAGCCATACCGACCCGAGGAGGATTCCAGAATGACCCCGGCAAGCCCAGAAGCCCGGACGTCTCCTGTGCACCCGAAATTCCCCAAAATTCCAGAAACTTCTGTAGCTCCAGGGTCTCCAGCGACCGCAGGGCCTCCAGGATCCTGGGTTACTTCAGCATCTACAGTGGGAGAAGCCTTGGAATCCGACGGAATCTCTGACCTTGGAAGGCAGTTTTCTCAGGGTATTGTTTCTGGTGCTAGATCTGTCCTGGCCTGCGGGGTAGGTCAAAGGGGACACAGCCTGGCTCAGGGAGGTTGAGGGTCAGACCCTGACCTAGATGATTTGAGAGAGAGGATAGATAACCCGCCTCCGCCCTGGGCAGCCTGGTGGGGTGGTGGGAAGGTAGTGGCTTCACTTCCAGTCCCCTCTCTTTACTGAGCCCACCAGCCTGTGGCCACCGTGTTTCAAGGATGATTGGAGGATTGCCAGCCCCAAACAAGAAGTGGCCCTGGCAGGTGAGCCTGCAGACCAGCAACATACACCACTGCGGAGGCTCCCTCATCGACAGGCGCTGGGTGCTCACTGCCGCCCACTGTGTCTTTAGGTGAGTGTTTGGGGCTCAGAGCTTGGGCCCTGATCAGGCTGTGGGACCTGGAGCCAGTCTGTCCCCTTCCCTGAGCTTCCTCTTCCTCATCTGTAAAAGGGGGTGACAGCCCCATAGTTTTTATCCAGTCTGGGTGAGACCTGAGTATTTGCATTTCTAACAAGTTTCCGGGTGTTGCCGCCGCCGCCGATCTGGGGACCACTGGCTAAAGTGGTCAGGGGTCCTGAGGGGATGTGGTTGGGAGGGAGGGAGGTGGCTGCTGGCTGGCATAGGAAGATGGGACCAGGCTTGGAAGCACCTGGAAGGTGTGGAAGGGGAGCATAGACGTCCCCCCAGGATCTCTGTGAAGGCCATCTTTTCTCTCAACAGTAATTTGGAATACAAGGTGAAGCTGGGAGACCCTGACTTGCATGCTGGTTCCAAAGAGGCACTGGTGATCCCAGTTTGAGACATCATTTTTCCTAGCAATTTTGATTTTGCCACTTTGACAAGCGACATTGCCCTTGCTCTGCTCGCCTACTCTGTGAATTATTCCTCACATATCCAGCCTGCGTGCCTCCCCGAAAAGCTTTTTGAAGTGGAAGCTGGGACAGAGTGCTGGGTGACTGGATGGGGCCAAGTGTCAGAGAGTGGTGAGACAGGCAGGATGCTGAGGTGGGACAGTCTGGTGGGCTGGGCTTGGCCTGCAAGCTATTGGGAGAGGCAGGGAGGCCATTTTCTAGCAGGTGGGTGAGGGAGGAGGGTGGAGAAGATGCTGCCAGGAAGTAATTTAACAACTATGTTATGAATTTCTGTCGTCATATTGGGACCTTGGGGCTTGGGGGCCAAGTGTAGTGGGTTCTCTTCAGGGTAAATTTCAGCTCAGGGTGATGAGCTGTCTGCCAATAGGAGCCAACCCCCACTAGAAGGACCTGCCTTGATGGGTTGAACTTCTTCACCCTAGCAGTGTAGGCCAAGCCAGAGCAACCCTGCCAGTGAGGCTGTGGGGACTCCTATCCTTAGGGAGAGGCACTACCTGTCTAAGAGTCTGTGATCCTGCTCTAGAAAGTAAAGATGCTTTACTGATGCACAGGACAGCCTGTCATTTCTGCTGATACTCAGAGTGACAGATACTTGGTTGCCATTTTTCAGGCTGACAAGGCCTTGCCTCTCCCTCTCCTGATCTGTTTTTCCTTTTACTGTCTTGATTTTGCTTCTTGTCCTTTCCTTTCTCCATGTCAACATTAAGCTCGAGTTTCCTTCTATGTCAAGTGGTGACATTGTCCACTGCCCTGACTTCCTTTAATTTGGGCAGTTGTGTTAAACACACCAATCAGGACTCAGAGTGGGCACTGGGGGCTCCTGTTCTATCCCTTTGTGAAGATCCACTCTCTTGTAAATTGTGTCTTTGCAGTTTCAGGACCAATGCCACTTGTTCTTCAGGAGACTGAGCTAAACATTATGCGTCATGAGAAATGTTGTGAGATGCTCAAGAACAAGAATATATCCAAGAGTAAAATGGTCACGAGGGGGACCGTCTGTGGCTATAATGACCAAGGGAAGGATGCCTGTCAGGTCAGTTCATGGGCGTCTTGCTGCCTCAGCATTGCAATTGTCTCCTCAAAGCTTCCTCATTCCCAGCCAGTAGGGCCTGGGTTATCTCCTAGCCCCTCTGTTTACCCTTATTCATGGTAATGGGATGTGAGGACAAGCCACCAAGGCTCTCCTGGGCAGCCTACCTGATCCTTCAGGAGAGAGCAACTGACACAGCCTGGAGTGGGAGGAGGGGTGAATCAGGCAGGTCCCACCAACAATACATGCTCCATGTTTTGAGACCCTTCTGTGTGACAGGCAGTGTACTCAGGTTAGCACTTGACTCATTATTGTCTCAGAGTAGGCACGATTTCATTAGGTATATTCCGTTTTTTGGAACACGCCTTTTTAGTAGGTACATGATTTTGGTTTATTGGAAATTGTCAATTCTCAGATCTCATATTGACAGATACCTAAGGCTAGGAGGGTCTTAGGGGTTCCTGGGGAAGCCCCCTGAGTGCCTAGCTCTGTAGCGCATTGCAGTGCAATTAGCCTGCTCTGATGTGGATCCTATTTCTTTCCTACAGTGACTGTCTTTCTTTTTCCAGGGAGATTCTGGGGGGCCCCTGGTCTGTGAATTAAATGGCACATGGGTCCAGGTGGGGATTGTGAGCTGGGGCATTGGCTGCGGTCGCAAAGGATACCCTGGAGTTTACACAGAAGTTAGTTTCTACAAGAAATGGATTATTGATCACCTGAGACAAGCTTCCTGTTTGAATTCAAAGACTTCCTCATCCTAGTCCTGTGTCTGGTGATGCCCCTGGGCATCCTGGTGACCTCGTGATCAGACCCCATTCCACTCTTCTGCTGTTTCTGAGTCTCACACTTAGGTGTCTCCTCTGACCAACTTCCCACTCCTTCTCAATGCCCTTTCCGCAAATCCCAGTTGGAATCCACGGGCCCTCTGGAGATCCGTACAATAGAGCATGGCAGGGAGACTGGGGCCTGGAAAGTGCCCCTGCCTGGTGCTCTGGTCTAGAGGGCCAGCTGCTCTGCCAGGTGGGCCACGGTGACTCGTCAATATCTGGAGGAACATCTATCAAAGAAGAGACATCATCAACGGTGAAGCAAGCGTTAGATGTGGTTCTGGTTTCAGGGCTCTCACCTGAGACTTTGTGAAACCAGCCAGCTGGGTGATTGCTCACAGAGAGTGAAGGAGGCGTTACCAGGTCCCTGCAGACGTGTGAGGCCTGGGACTTCCACTCTGGCTCAGTTGTCTGGGGCTGGGAGAAGTTCCCCTGCAGCCCAGTGTGGATCCATCTGTGAGTGGACAGCCTCTGCCACACTAGTTCTTTTGGAGCAACCCATTCTTGGCACCCCCTTCCTCAGTGCCCTAGTGGCCACTTTCAGGGACACCACAAGTTGTGTTGAGGCAGTTATGAAGTGTGGAGTTTTCATAAATCAACTGAATAAATGTTTGGAGAGTCTCCTGTTTCTGAAGCTCTGCTCACTGGCGAGTTTGGTTGAATATAACATACTCTATAGAGAACTGGCTTCCCATTTAACTAAGGAAGCTATTTGTGGTTCTTATTAAAATGTAGAAGGACAGGTGAGGCCCTGCTTCCTCAGACATGAGCTCTAGGGATGATTTGAGCCAATGGGTCTTGTTCCCTGTATGCCTGTTATAGCCATCAGCATCTCTGCAGGGAGCTCTGTAGTTGAGCTTAACAGTCTCTACAGTTAGGGATAGGGGATCAAGAGACACTGGAAGTAGGCCCAGGAGTGAAGTTCGGGTGTGAGAAACATTCCTCCTCATCTACTGCTTCTCCTTGCTGCTCCCTCCCACTTGGTTACCAAAGATAGGCGTTCCCACCGGGAGAAGGGCAAGAGAGATTCACTGTAGTATACATAGGTTCTCTCCCCTCATTACAAAGTCTGGTGTCCTGGAGTCTCTCTGTCTAGCTACTGATCAACCCCCTCCCAGCCTCTTGCCCTTTGCCCTTCTAGGGTTGAATGTTTAACCCCCAGGTATGGGTGGGCTTCAGTGGACAGTCTGTATCAGTCCCTTCTGTTGCCTGAGGAAGGCTGAGGCCAAGAGACTGAGAGCTTACATCAAACCCAGTCTCTTAATGAATATAGCACTACCTGCTTTAAGAAACCACTGATTTATTCATAGATTAATAAAACAAATTTAACTTTTTTTCCCTAGAACATCCCATTACAGCGTTCTTGGTCAGCAGGTAGCTTTCTCCATCTCGTGGCTTGCTCTCAGTCCTGTAGTTAATGCTTTACCTGCATCAGAATCCCCTAAGGCTTGTGAAATACAGATTACTGGCCTGCACAGTGGCTTATCCCTATAATCCCAGCTACTTGGGAGACTGAGGCAGGAGGATCCCTTGAGGCCAGGAGCATGTAGCATGTCTCTTAAAAAAAATTAGCTGGGCATGGTGGCCTGTGCCTGTAGTCCCAGCTACTCTGGAGGCTGAGCAGGAAGAAGTCTTGAGCCCAGGAGTTTGAGGCTGCAGAGATATATGATCATGCCACTGCCCTCCAGCCTGGGGGACTGGAGGAAACCTCATCTCTTAAAACAAAATTACAGATTGCTGGTTCCTGGTTCCACCCCTGGAGTTTTCAATCCTGTAGGTCTGGGACGGGGCCTACATTCTCTGTCTTTCAGGTAGAAAGACCTTAAAAGAATGTACGTTTCTAACAAGAATGTACATTTACCTGAAAGACCTAAAGAATGTACATTTCTAAGTTCCTGGCTCATGCTAATACTGCTGGTCTGGAGACCTCACTTTGAGAAGCAATGCTCTGCATTAACAAGAATAGAAAAGGCAACCTCCTGTTGACTGCCTTGGCATGGAAGTGGCACACATCACCTCTATTCATGTGGACCCACTTAGGTGCCAGGCTGGGGAGGGAATGTGGCTCCAAGTCCAGCTGATCACTTCCCAATCTCTGCCATGCCTAGCAGATCCAAAGACAGCATCCTTCTGCAAAAAATCCCTGTGGAAGCCCAAGGCCTGGCACAAGCCACCATTCCTTTTAGCTGCCACGATCTTACTGGTTGTCTGTGGAAGAGGACACATGTCTTTCCTTTGTCTGGTCTCCCCCAAGAGTCCTTGTTTTACAGTAGTCTTAGATCCAGCTCAAATATCACTTTTTCAAAGACATCTTCTCTGATTCCATAGCCTTACAGTTCTTTTCCTTTTTTTGTGCTTTCTCCATCTTTCCAGATTCTCAAACCAAGAGTAATTGTGAAACTCTCCAGTGCGCTGGGACCAGGGAACCAAGGGTGTAGTCAGAGGCTGGGCAACAGGATGCCATTAGTAGTCCAGGGATGCGGTGCACCTTCATCGGCCAGGTTCTCTGGGCATTGTCACCAACTTAAAACCCTTGGGGGTGCTTTCATGGGGCCCGCCACCCTGGGAGCAATCACAGACTCAGGACTCCCAGGTCGTCCTCAAGAACAGGCAGGAGATAGAGGTGAGGGAAATGCGCCAGTTTTGCGGGGAGCTGTCGGGAGTTCCCGGCGCCATCACGTGCTACAGTGCGGTCACGTGTGCAGACGCCAGGCACATGCCGGGCTCTCGGGAACCGTCTCCGCAGCCGCCAGGTGGCACCTCCCCAGCCTCATGGCCGTCTCACGGTCGAGCCTCGATCCCCCAGCCTCATGGCCTTATGATGGCCCCCAGCCTCATGGCCTCGACCCTCCAGCCTCATGGCCGGGCGTGGGGCCCGGAACCTCCAGGCCCTCGGTCCTGAGCCGCCGCGTCCTGCTGCCGCTGCTTTTTCTGCTGCCGCTGAGCTCGGGTGAGGTGGGCGCTCCTCCGCAGCTCTACCTTCCCTCTCCCCGGCCCCAGCCCTGCTCCGCCTCCAGCTCCGTGCCTGGCCTTGGAGGCGGGGGACTGGCCCGGGGTGTGGCTGCCTACTCCTGGGTCGGGGATTTTTGCGGCCCACGCACCCCGCGGTCAGCTCTCCTCTACTACTCGCGCCCAGGACCTCGCCAGGGCGATTCCAGGATCTTAAACTCCTGCCCTCTCTGGCCTCCTCCGTCAGGGCACACCTGTCCTACAGCGCCCTGAACCAGCGGTGCGGGAACCCCTTTCGCTGCCAGTCTGGACACCGTGGCTAATGTCCCTACCACCCGAGCCGCCCTCAGGCCTCTCATAGGCTCCCCCTCCACCCCCCGCTCTGATCTTCTCATGGAGCTGAGCCCCACTGGAGACCCCACTTGGACATGCTCTTTGGCCCAGGAAAATTCTTGGTCCCCATCCACTACAGGAATATTCTAAAATTCACCTTCTTCCCAGATCCTCTATTCCAACCCAGCTTGCCTCCCTAGCAGCCCATCATTCCCTCAGAAAACACAGGCTTTGGGTGCTGTCTTCCTGAACCCAATCCCCAAACCCACAGGGGCCCCTCCAAACTGGACTGCTCAACACCACCCTCACCTACTTCTTTAGGAGTCAGAGAGGCCTGCTTCTGGTGCAGGGCCAGCGGCTCACCTGTGCCCTGCTGTGTGGGCTCTCCCTGTGCGACACTCCCTCCACCATCCTCTCTCATAGGTATCCTCTTGTTTTTGCTTTGCTGATTTTTCTCCCCCATCTCTTGCCCCTTCACTGCGAGACCTCCCAAATGTCTTCACTCCATGCTTCCTGCCAGTGCCTCCTCGCTCTCCACTTAACCCTTAGTTCCTTCCTGGGCTCTCTCCACCCTGATCATCCCTGACCTTTGTACCACCCCCTCCTCTTTCATTTTCTGTGGTCTCCTGATTCTCCTCTACCTCAAGGGTAACTCCCCCTCTCCTCTGTGTCTGTCCCATGCCACCGTGCTCTGTTCATCCCAGACGTGTTGGTGTCCCCTAAGCTGCTCTCTTTTTCCTGCTCCTCCCCTCTTAACTGCTCCCTGGGTGAACTCACTTGAGCTGCCATTTATGTGATGGTGCCTCATAAAACATGTCTGGATGTGCAGCTGCCTCCTGGACATCTCTACCTGAAAGACCTAGGAACATCTCAACCCCTTGGGGTCAATGCTGAGGTCTTCTTCTTCTTGCCAACTGACTTCTCTCATTGTTTCCTAACTAAGTGGATGGCAGCCACTTTTCTCCAAAATCAGAAACTGCGGTGTGATCCTAGACCCACCCATGTGCCTAAGTCCCCCAGACAGCTCACCGTGTCTGTTCTCACAGCCACTTCCTCATTCGGACCTCCTCATTTCTTGCCTTGGTTCTGCAGAGCCTCTGGTGGGATCTCAGTGCCTCAGTCTTGTCATCTTCCTGTCTAATATCTGGGCTGCCTATGCAAGCCTGGCTCAGTCATACCTCTGTTGATCTCCCTTTTCCCAGAGGGTCTCACCCTGGCTTCTTGGCCAGGCTTTCGAGGCCTTCATGACTGATGCCTGACTCTCCTCCCCTGGCTCATCTCTTGCCATCACAGGTCTTGCCCTTCATCCTCTGCAGTCTGGCATACACGACGATGTTTCTCCTGCAAGGAATGTGATGATCACTTTTCATTTCTGTTTACCTTCTCATCTTTAACACCTGGCACAGTAAGCCCTCCTCCCACTGAAGTGGTCTTTTCTGTCCACCACTTCTTCTGGGCTCCCCTGAAGCCTGCCACCCTGTCCCTGCACTGATCTCATGCAGGTGGTTGTGTATTTACCTCTGTCCACCCTGCTGGACACTGTATTCCTTGAGAGTAGGCTCTATTTGACACACCTCTGTCTCCCCAGCCTCTGGCTCCAGGCTGGGAACAGAGTGGGAGATTAGGACCTATTTGGTGAATGAATGAATGAACTAATTTAAAAATGCACCTCTTTGCTGTCATCCTGTCGTGAATGCTTGCTTCATCTCTGTCCCTCTTTTCTCCTCCAGGTTATAAAGAGGACACAACCAATCCAGGTAGGTAGGGTGAGACCCTGCTGCAGGAAAAGCTGAAGCTCTTGGGAGGGTATGTCTGAAGGGAGTCACATAGACAGTGGTGCTGGGTTTGTAGGAAGCAGGCATTTGGTCTAAGGGGTCTGTTTTCTAAAGAACAGCCTGCAGCTACCAGAACATATAGACCTAACAGTCTAGAGGAAAGAGGATCTTGGCCTCCCATAAGAATGCTGAGCCTCTTGGAATTCAGCCCAGGCCTCATCTCAGACCCTTTTGCACACAGAACCTTTTGAGCTCTAAGCCATTCAGTTGCAGATAGAACTTCCTGGGCCTTGTGGCAGTGTCAGTAGAGCCCAGCTCTTCTGGGTTTCCTGTCTTTTTCCTTACACCTTAGGCATGGAGCGTTGGGTTACTCCTGTTCTTCAGTTTATGGGCCTCTATTCTCATCGGTCCTGCCAGAACTCTACCCTAATTCATTATAGAATGGATGACTGATGGATTAAGTTAGTTATCCTTGCTTCTGTCCAAGCTCCACTCCCATTCCCCTTCTCCACCCGCTTAATCTTTCTTGGGGATCTTTCTGTTTGTGTGTGCTCTTGTAAAAATACATATTGCTGTCTTGTGTGCATGTATTTTTAATTTACATAAATGGTATGTTCTCTGTATCTCTTTCGGTTATCCCTTTTAATTCAGCCTCATTAAGACTTTTTAAAATTTGGAAATAATTTTAAACTTACAAAACACTGCAAAAATACAAGTAGTACAAGGAACACGCATACATATATAATTTTTTTCAGAATCAGTGGAGGGTAACATACAGCATGGCTCTTTATTGCTAAATACTTTGGTATGTATTTTCTGAGAATATTCTCTTCCATAACTACAGTGTGCTTAACAACTTCAAAAGTTTACATTCATACCGTACTTTTATCTACTATCCATATTCTAATTTGGTCAGTTCTCTAAACTCCTACTTCAGCAGTGCATGAAGGTGTATAGGTTGCCACAGACCTACCAACCCTTAGTGTGATCCTGCGTTTATGTTTTTTGCCAATCTAATAGATTGAAAAATCACTTATTGATTTAATTTTCATTTTTCTCATTACTGATGAGTTTGATCATGTCTCAATATGTTGTTGGCTTCTTGAGTTTCCTCTTCTAATAAATTGCTTGTCTCTATCCTTTGCCTATTATCTTTTTTTTTCTTGTTGGTTTCCTAAAGTTTCTTGCATAAAGTCTTGTATTCATTTTAGATATTGCAAATATTTCCTCCCTATCTGTCCTCTGTCTGTTAACTTTGCTCCCGGGCCAAAACCTCTCGATTTTGATATAATCACGTTAATCAGTTTATGCTTTATGGTTTGTGTTTGAGGTTTTAAGGAGTCCTTTCCTACCCCATGTCACATGATTTATTTATTTTACAGTTTTACCTTTTACCTTTAGATCTTCAAGTGCTATTAGCAAAGAATCCAGTTTTGGTTTTCTTATTTCTCTTATAGTGAGCGAGTTTTCCCAACACCATGTACTCAACAGTCCTTCTTTTACCCACTGATAGTGGTGGCTCCTTTCTTTACATCAAGTTTGTGCAGCACATGAAACAATCTCAAGCTCTCTATTCTTTTCCATTGTCACTTTCCATTGTCTGTCCTTGTGACAGTACCACATTGTTTTTATTATTATGGCTTTCACATGTGTCTTAATATCTGCTAGGACAAATGACCCTTCTTTGCTGTGCTTCTTCAAAGACTGAACTATTCATAGACCTTTGTTTTTCTGTTTCAGTTTCAGAATAAGTTTATCAAGTTTCTTAAAAATTCTAACTTACAAAATGAATTTATAGATTAATTTTGGAAAAATTACATCTAAAATGTTTAGCTGGTCTTTTTTTTTTTTTTTTTTTTTTTTGAGACAGAATCTTGCACTATTGCCCAGGCTGGAGTTCAGTGGCGTGATCTTGGCTCACTGCAACCTCCGGCCCCTGGGTTCAAGCAATTCTCCTGCCTCAGCTTCCCGAGTAGCTGGGATTACAGGTGCCCGCCACCACGCCCAGCTAATTTTTTTGTATTTTTACTAGAGACGGGGTTTCACTATGTTGGCCAGGCTGGTCTCAAACTCCTGACCTTGTGATCCACTTGCCTGCGCCTCCCAAAGTGCTGGGATTACAGGCGTGAGCCATCGCGCCAGGCCTTAGCTGTTGTTTTAAGAGCAGGGACTGTCTTGCCATTTATGCTGATCATTTTCTGTGTCCTTTATTAGAGTTTTAAATTTATTACCACAGGAGTCTTATGTGGTGTTAGGTAAGTTAATTCCTATGAACTTTTATCATTTTTTCGCTGCTGAAAATGTATGTTACTTCAGTATATTTTCTAGTTGGTTGTGCTGGGATAAAAAAACATTATTGTTTTTAAAAGGAAATTGTTTTATTGAAGTATTATATGCATTCCAAAAAAAATGCACAAATTATGAAGGCCCAGCTGAAGGAATTGTCACACAGTGAGCATACCTGTGTTATCACCACCCAGGTTAAAAAGTAGAATAAGTATGTAGAGAGGCTGAGGTGCGAGGATTGCTTGAGCCCAGGAGTTTGAGACCAGCCCTGGCAACATAGCAAGACTGTCTCTATAAAAATTTTTTTAAAAATTAGCCAGGTGTGGTGGCAACTGCTTGTAGTCCTGGTGACTTGGGAGGCTGAGGTGAGAGGATCGCTTGAGCCTGGGAGGTCAAGGCTGCAGTGAGCTGTGACACTGCACTGCAGCCTGGGTGACAGAGTGAGACCCTGTCCCAAAAAAAAAAAAAAAGGCTAAACCAGCACCCAGCAGCCCCCTTGCGTTCTCTCAATTATTTCCTCTGCCCTCCTTCCACAAAGTGTCCTTATTCCTGGTCTCTGGTGGGATAGGTTCTTTTCTGCCTGTTCTTTAGTGTTGTATGATGTTTGTTGTAAGTTTGGGGTATATCCAACTTTTGTAAAGTTAAGGGTTTTCCATCTATTTCTAGTTTAAGTAAGAGGGGTTTTTTTGTAAGTTATAAATATGTGTTAAATTTTTCAAATGACTTTTTCTGTGTCCGTGGAGGAAAGCACATGGTCTTTCTGTCTTCAGATTGTTAGAACCTTTTATGTGGAGAATCCACTGAGAATTCTTTCAATGTGGAACCACCCTTGCACTCCTGGGCCAATCCTTAATCATCATGGTGCATTGTTTTTTAAAAATACAACATGAGCTACTATTTTATTTAGAATGCGTGCATCTGTGTTTCTTCATACGTTCATACAACCATATAACTTGACTGATAGAACTGTGTGAAAACTGAGTGTGTGACCTGTGAATGAGGGGCCTCTGGGGTCTCCCTGCTGGCACTTTGAATGTTCAATGTGAAAACTTCTGACACAGAAGTCAGGAGCTTTTCTTGACTCTTAGCAGTGTAGGGGACACAGGCCTTCTGCATCTAAGAAATGCAGCAAGCATTATAGCTTTTCAGAAGTGGCGGAGGAACTTCCCCAGATGCAAGAAAATGCATTTCTTGCCTTGGGGCTCCTTCTCTGCTTGCCTTGGGGCTCCTTCTCTGCTTGCCTTTGTTTTGAGGTCCTGGGCTGAAGGCTCCCTGTGACTCAGAATCTCTCTCTCTCCATGTCTCTGCCTTGATGCTTTTTACCTCTGTCACTGTCACTTTCCGTCAAGCTCAGTGCTTTTGGGCAGGCCACTGCCCTTCTCTCACCCTCACTCTCCCCATCTCTGAAATGGGAAGAGGCCCCGAGTTTACAGCTTTGTGCAAATTGGCCCTGTAGGGCATCTAGGTCTCAGTCTTTCTCATCCTCCTCTATGTGGTTCCTGTGTCTCCCTGGCACACTTCTTCCTGAAGTTTGTGGTGAGCCCTGGTGGTCGGAGGATTTGGAAATGACCCGCCATTGGCCCTGGGAGGTGAGCCTCCGGATGGAAAATGAGCACGTGTGTGGAGGGGCCCTCATTGACCCCAGCTGGGTGGTGACTGCGGCCCACTGCATCCAAGGGTGAGTATGGCCCATGTGTGCAGGGCTTGGAGACCTCAAGCTACCATGGGCCCAGCCCAGCTTCCTCATTTCCTGAGTGAAACAGTGTGGGAGGGAGGTAGGGAGTGGGAAGGGCATCTGGGATAAGTGAGAATTGTGCTCGGGGTCTCCTGGGGGCCAGGGACTGAGCTAGGGCGGGAGCCCCTAGCAACAAAGACTGCACCCTAAGCTGAGCAACAGGAAAACCCAGAACACGCCCCCTACCCCATCACGCATGAGAGCATATGTGTACACCAACACTTCCACACCTGCACGCACAACACACAGACCAGGCCACCTTGAATCAATTTGAATGATGAATGAGGAGGCAGTCAGCTCTGAGATCTTCAGTGCCCTCAGGCTGGATTAGGCAGATTGGGTGGAGGCAGGACTCTTGCTAAAGGGGTAGGGCCACGGGGAGGTAGGAGTGTGTTCCTGCTTGGGAGTCTGATACCTACCAGGTGGGGCTCTCTGTTTCCCACAGCACCAAAGAGTACTCAGTGGTGCTTGGCACCTCCAAGCTGCAGCCCATGAACTTCAGCAGGGCCCTCTGGGTCCCTGTGAGGGACATCATTATGCACCCCAAGTACTGGGGCCGGGCCTTCATCATGGGTGACGTTGCCCTTGTCCACCTTCAAACACCTGTCACCTTCAGTGAGTACGTGCAGCCCATCTGCCTCCCGGAGCCCAATTTCAACCTGAAGGTTGGGACGCAGTGTTGGGTGACTGGCTGGAGCCAGGTTAAGCAGCGCTTTTCAGATGAGCAGGATGGGATGGGGGGTGGGTGCAGTACCACCGAGAGCACACTCCTTTCCTTCTGGGGCCTTTCCTGCTGGACCTGGTTCTCTGAATGTGTTGACCACTCCTCATGTGGTGACCATTGTCACTGTTTATGTGGACACCTCATTCAGGCCTGGTAGTGCCTGGGCTGGGCATGACCATCTGTGTCTTATAGAAGCTCAGAGCTGGGCATTCACTCATTCCTTCACTTGACACACTTTGAGTGTCGGCACCCAGCCCTTGGGATTAGAAATGCATGCCCTGCCTGGAGGGAAGTCATGATTGGGTGTGGGTGTGGGCACAGGCTGAGGAGAACAAGGCAAAGTTCTTGTCTGGTGGTCTTGAGATCCAGCTGGGAGGGATCTGGAATGAGCTCTGGGCAGAGGGACTGCCTTGAGGCCCTGGAGGAGGAGCGAGTGTTAACGAAGGTGGGGAGAGCGGCCGTGCCAGCAGAGCTGAGAGTCTGCAGGGAAGCAGCGCGGGGCTGGGCCCCAGATTGGAAGCGGCTGCACTGAGACTTGAGTTATGGCTGGTTTGGTTCAGAAGCAGAAGTTTCCCAAGAAGGGGATCTGGACTCAGAGCCTTCGAGGGCGGGGGCTTTTCAGACAAGGCCTGCACTGCAGGGGGAGGGGCCGGTGAAGGAGGGGAGGGCTTGGAGGTATGACAGGCGGTGGCTGGGCTGAGTCTCCAGGGTGAAGGGGACAGGACCCTGGACAGAGGTCAGGGTTGGGTGGAGTGAGAGGTCACTGCTCACCCTGCTAGGCTCCACAGCCAACTCCATGCTGACCCCAGAGCTGCAGGAGGCTGAGGTGTTTATCATGGACAACAAGAGGTGTGACCGGCATTACAAGAAGTCCTTCTTCCCCCCAGTTGTCCCCCTTGTCCTGGGGGACATGATCTGTGCCACCAATTATGGGGAAAACTTGTGCTATGTGAGTTTCTGGGAGGTTCTGGTAGCTCTGCTTCTGCTGGGAACCACTCCTGGGTGGAGGCAGTTCCCTGGGGCGGGGTTGGCCCGGCCTCCCTCCGTTACCATCACCCAGTAGTGCTCTGCTCCTGTCTTCCTTCCCCTGTGATGCTGACTTTTGCCCTGATTCTGGGGTGTGGGTCCCAACTGAGGAGCCAAAAGAGGACCCCAAGTAGTGAGGTCCTGGAGGAGTGAAAACCCTCCCAGCAGAGCTCAGAGGGTGGGCATGGGTCCACAGGGCCCAGCAGGCCCAGCTGGACCCACAGCCTCCATCACTCCTCTCTTTTTGCCTAGGGGGATTCTGGAGGGCCATTGGCTTGTGAAGTTGAGGGCAGATGGATTCTGGCTGGGGTGTTGTCCTGGGAAAAGGCCTGCGTGAAGGCACAGAATCCAGGTGTGTACACCCGCATCACCAAATACACCAAATGGATCAAGAAGCAAATGAGCAATGGAGCCTTCTCAGGTCCCTGTGCCTCTGCCTGCCTCCTGTTCCTGTGCTGGCTGCTGCAGCCCCAGATGGGCTCCTGACCTCCCTACCTTTTCCTCCTCCTGCCTTGCCTCTGCTGAATGGGGCCAGATGGTTTGACCAAGGTCATGTGTCCATCTTCAAAAAGAGTCAGGGTGGGGAAGAGTAACCCCTGGGAGAATGGGTCTGGCTTTGGCATCCCGGTGAGGAGAAGTGTGGTGGATGACTAGGCCTTGGGTGAGCAGGAGAAGGGAAGTGTGGCCTAGAAGGATTCTGGAATCTGGGACCAGGAGAGCAGGGATTAAACATGTGCAAACTTGAGCTGACTCTTTTCTCTTTTCTGGGGTAGTCCTGGGGGTTGGCCGTGGGTGGGATGGCAGAGCTTCCTGGAATTAAGTCTGCCAGGAGGCTGTCTGGAGTGGGGACTGCTGGTTTTTGCTGTATCATTAGTGCTGGGGTTTAAGGAAAAAGTCTGGGCCTGTGACCTCAGTTTCCTTGTCTGTAAAGTGGGCATGCTGTTAAGGGAACAGTTGAAACATGCAGGCTTTTAGGCTGCAGTAGGAGTGACTCACAATAGTACTCCAAAAGCAGCTTTCTTTTTTTTTAAACCAATTATAAAAGTAGTGCATGTTTATTGTAGAAAATTAGAAAACATAGTCGAGCCTAAAGAAAATAGACGTCCCCTGGAGTCCCACCACATGGAGGCATCCGCTTCTCATTTTGGTATATCTTCTTCTACATTTTTTTCTTAAAAATTATTGCTCATAGGCCAGGCGTGGTGGCTCATGCCTGTAATCCCAGCACTTTGGGAGGCTGAGGCGGGTGGATCACGAGGTCAGGAGATCGAGACCATCCTGGCTAATATGGTGAAACCCCGTCTCTACTAAAAAATACAAAAAATTAGCTGGGCGTGGTGGTGGGCACCTGTAGTCCCAGTTACTCGGGAGGCTGAGGCAGGAGAATGGCTTGAACCTGGGAGGCGGAGCTTGCAGTGAGCCGAGATTGCGCCACTGCATTCCAGCCTGGGTGACAGAGTGAGACTCTGTCTCAAAAAAAAAAAAAAATCTATATATATCTCTAGAGCTATACAGATATATATCTATATATATCTCTAGAGATATATATCTACATATATCTATATATATCTCTAGAGAGATATATATCTACATATATCTCTAGAGAGATATATATCTACATATATCTCTCGAGAGATATATATCTACATATATCTCTAGAGAGATATATATCTACATATATCTCTAGAGAGATATATATCTACATATATCTCTAGAGAGATATATATCTACATATATCTCTAGAGAGATATATATCTACATATATCTCTAGAGAGATATATATCTACATATATGTCTATATATCTGTATATATAGATACATATATCTAGATATATATAGTGGGTTACACCCTATCAATATAAAACATGCCTTTTGTCCTATGTAACATTACTTGTTTTTTCAAAGATCCAGATCAGAGTTCATTCTTAATTTTGGCAGTTCTTCTAATTGATTAAGGTACAATTTTATATTTTGTACTTTTTTTCCTTCAGATTTTCCTCTGGTTTATTTTCTACTCTTTATAGTTTTTAGATTTGAGTATTTAGGTCATTTATTTTCATTCTCTGTTATTCAATAATAAATATCTTTAAGGTTATGAATTTGCCTTCAAATATATATATATATTTCAAAGATATATATATCTAGATATATATATATATCTCATAATCTTCTTTTTTAAGAAAAAAATGTAGAAGAAAATATACCAAAATGAGAAGTGGATGCCTCCATGTGATTATTTTATTGCTCTTTTTGTAACCTCTTGAGTAGTGGGCTTAGTTCATTATTTTAGAGTTCTTTGTGTTCTAGTATTTTCAGTTAATTCCATAAATTTTCCTCTGAGTCCCACTTTAGCCATATTTCACAGGATTTGATACGTACTGGCCTCATTGTCATTCATTTCTGTATTGTTTATAATTTCACAGTATATTTCTTATTTAGTCCAAGAGTTATATAGAAGGGTGTTATTTAATTTCCTGATGGGTAGTTCTTGGGAGGAATGAGGGCTTCTTTTTCTCTATATCACTACAGTCATATGCCACATAATGACATTTCAGTCGATTACAGACCACATATACAAGAGTGGTCCCATAAGATTATAATGGAGCATATATAGAAACCTGATATATGGTAGTTGATAGTGGCATTGCAGACAAGTAAGGGAATGACTGACATTCACTAATGGTGCTGGGACATTTGGTTTTCCTGATGAAAAAATACATATACATAAAAATATATATGTACCATCTAGGCGTGTGTAAGCACAGTCTTATGTTTGCATGGTGATGAAATTGCCTAACAATGCATTTCTCATACTGTATCCCTGTCATTAAGTGATGCACGACTGTGTATGAATTTAATTATTTCTGCATTTTTGAATTTTTTGAGGTTTTATTTGTGGCTTAGTATTTGGTTAGTCTTAGTGAGTGTTGTGCGTCTGAAATGAAAGTGTGTGTTTTCACAAGTGTTCATTGCAGCACTATTCACAATAGCCAAGACATGGAATCAACCTAAAGGCCTATCAATGACACTGGATAAAGAAAATGTGTTACACAAACACCATGGAATACTATGCAGCCATAAAAAAGAAAGAGATACGTCTTTTGCGGGAAAATGGTTGGAGCTGGAGGCCATTATCCTTAGCAAACTAATGCAGGAACAGAAAACCAGATACCACATGTTCTCACTTCTAAGTGGGAGCTAAATGATGAGAACACATGGACACATAGAGGGGAACAACAGCAGCATTGTTCCTGGAGCCTCCTTGGTTTTAGTGATGCAAAGGAGGAGGGAGAGGAGCAGAAAAAATAATTGTTGGATACAAGGCATAGTATCTGGGTGATGAAATAATCTGTACAACAAACCCCTGTGACACAAGTTTACCTAAGTAACAAACCTGCACATGTACTCCTGAACCTAAAATAGTTAAAAGTGTGTGTTTTAGAACGAAGTTTGAGCCATAACTGATTGGATCAGGCTTGTTGATTGTGTTATTCAAATTATCTCAACACCTGACATATTTTACGGCTGCATAATTTGTTGATTTCTAAGAAGTTTACTGCAAAACTTAAGAATT
The DNA here is from genome assembly GCF_000001405.40 of Homo sapiens. Classification (NCBI taxonomy): domain Eukaryota; kingdom Metazoa; phylum Chordata; class Mammalia; order Primates; family Hominidae; genus Homo; species Homo sapiens. The sequence goes on along the minus strand of NC_000003.12, from coordinate 46,739,261 downwards.
TGCCTATTTCTTCTTGCACAATTCTTGCTTTCTATGTTTCAAAGCTGTGTTGTTAGGAATACAGGGTTCATGCCTGCTGTATTATCTTAGTGGGTTACACCCTATCAATATAAAACATGCCTTTTGTCCTATGTAACATTACTTGTTTTTTCAAAGATCCAGATCAGAGTTCATTCTTAATTTTGGCAGTTCTTCTAATTGATTGAGGTACAATTTTATATTTTGTACTTTTTTTCCTTCAGATTTTCCTCTGGTTTATTTTCCACTTTTTATAGTTTTTAGATTTGAGTATTTAGGTCATTTATTTTCATTCTCTGTTATTCAATACTAAATATCTTTAAGGTTATGAATTTGCCTTGGGCACACCCAGTAAGGTTTTTAAATAACGTATTGCTCTAATTATTAGTATTATTTTATTAGTAGTTTATAGCTATTCCGTCTCTCAAGGACAGAGTGAGTTGGAGAAGACTCTCCCACTGCAAGAGAGATTTTCCAGCTTCTCATGTGTTGCTGATTGATTTTGTTTCATATGTTTGATGTTATTTTATTGATGGACAGAACTTTATGATGTTACATATTGCAATTTGTGCCTTTTTCAACACAAAATAGCTTTCTTTTTCTGTTTAAATAATTTGTCTTGAATCATTTTTAGAGATTCACATTGCCATTGCCACTTTTGCTTGCATATAAATATATTTTTGCCTATCTTTTAAAAATTTAATTAATTTCTAATTTTTAAAATTAATATTTTTTGAGACAGGGTCTCATTCTGTTGCCCAGTCTGGAGTGCAGTGGCGTGATCTCAGCTCACCACAATCTCAGCCTCCCGGGTAGCTGGGACCACAGGTGCATGCCACCACACCTGGCTAATTTTTTAAATTTTTTCTAAAGACGAGGTCTCACTATGTTGGCTAGGCTGGTGTCGAACTCCTGGGCTCAAGCCATCCACCCACCCCAGCCTCCCAAAGTTCTGGGATTGCAGGTGTGAGCCACCAAGCCCAGCCACATCTTTTTACTTTCACCTTATTTATGCCACTTTGTTTTTGGTGTGTCTTTAATAAGTAGTATGTGGATGGGTTTTTTTCTACCCAACATGAAGATCTTTTTATTTTAAAAGTAGAATTCTATGCATTCACATTGGTTGTGATAACAGATATGCCTGATCTTTATTCAGTTATCCTGTTTTGTTTTATTGATTGGTTGTTTCCCCCAAAGAATTATTTTCTGCAAAGGCAGAAGAGTGATAGCGTTTCTCTTCTCTGAAGTTTCTCTTTTCTTTCTCCCTCTTTCCCTTTCTATGTCTTTCCCCCTGGAGGGAATTTGATTGTACAGATAATAATTTCCTTGATTTTCTACCATATAGCTCTAAAATTAGTTTGTTTTGCCTGTTTTTTAATTTCATACAGTACACAGACTGTATCTGACTTTTGTATCTGAATTGTCTCACTCAGAATAGGGTTATGAGCGTCACCTTCCAGCTAGGTGTAGCAGCAGCTCATCCATTCTCACTGCCGCTGAAGATTCCGCGTAGCTGTTGCACCTTGGATGGCAGTTGGGTAGTTTCCAGCTGGGACCCTTCCCAGCAGCACTGCTAGTGAACAGTCTCTTGCACCTGTCCTGCTGCATCTGTGCAGTTTCTAGGGCATGAAGCCAGGAGTAGAACTGTGGGTTGTGGGGTAGGCACACTTTCTGCTCTGCTAAATGATTCCAAACAGTCATTTATAGTGGTCATGTCAGTTTATCTCCCCAGCAGTGTGTGAACAACCTCGTCACTCCGTGTCCTTGGCAGCACTGGCTGCAGGGTGGAGCAGGAGCTTCCTGCATGGACAGTGTGAGGAGCCTGGGATCCTTGGGAAGGGAGACCTCGGGGGAGTGGTGACGAGGTGTCCCCAGATGTCATTCATTCTGCTGATTTGTGAAGACCCAAGTCTGCAAGTGGCTTCCTCTTAGGAAGCCACCCTGCCAGGTTAAACATACCTAGATTTCCTCAACCCAGGAGCTCTTTCCTTTGAAAATACAGACCTTGGGCTGGGCATAGTGGCTCATGCCTGTAATCCCTGGAGCTTGAGACCAGGGCAGCACAGTGAGACCTTGTCTCTCAAAAAATTAAAAAAAATTAGCCAGGCATGATGGTGCACACCTGTGGTCCTAGCTACTCGGGAGGCTAAGGTAGGAGGATTGCTTGAGCCTGGGAGGTGGAGGCTGCAGTGAGCTATGATCTCACCACCATCACACTCCAGCGTGGTGACAGAATGAGACCCTGTCTGGAAAAAAAAAAAAAAAGAAAAGTAAAGAAAATACAGACCCTGAGGGAAAAAAGAAACCTCCAGTTCCACCTCAATCACATCACATACTACAAGAACTAGTTATCTCCCTCTCAGTGCCTCAGTTTCCACACCTCCAGGGAGGCGTGAGAGGGGGTTCACAAAGGAGCCTGGGCTGGGCACTAGGGTGCTTCATGGGCCAGGTACCAGGCACTGTCACGAGCCAGGCACATCGTACTGTCACAGGCTCAGAACTACACACTGGGGGCACCATCAAGGCCAAGGCTGGACATAGGGTACACTGCAGAGAGCTGGGCCTAGGAGGCACTGTCACGGGCCGAGCACCGGGAGTACCACTCCAGGGAGGTTCCTGACAGCAGCATCACCTTGTGGCCCTGGCAGGGCCTTGCCATGACCACACTGCCTCCTTCTCAGAGTCCTGTGACTGCCACAGCCAGGTAGGCCTCCAACCTTGGGGCGGATGCCTACTCCCCACAGTCATGAACACACAAAGCATGAGTTCTAGAATCTTGGCATAGTAGAGGTGCCCCATCCCCTCTGCCTCCACATCCGTTAGAAGGAGCATTGAGGAGTAGATACCCACTTGCCATGGCCTGTGGGCCGGGGGATCTTCAAAGCCTTACATCTCCGCTTTCCTCTGCCAGATTAGATTATCAGCCGTCTATTGAAGGTAAGGCTTCAGGGGCATGGGACGGAGGCTGGAGGGGTCTGTTTGCCGGGTGCCTGTGTCGGGCTGTCCTCATGCCTGAAGGGCCTTGGTGTGTCCATGTCCTGGTGGGTGGTACATCCTCAGCAGACTGGGGACCCAAACGGTGTCAGGGCGGTTCCAATTTCAAGGGTGACCATGACAGGAGGGAAGAGCCTTATTAAAAATGGGGGAACGCAGTGGGCACAGTGGCTCACGCCTGTAATCCCAGCACCGTGGGAGGCCAAGGAGGGCGGATCACTTGAGACTAGCCTGGCCAACATGGCAAAACCCTGTCTCTACTAAAAATACAAAAATTGGGCATGGTGGTGCACATCTGTAATCCCAGCTACTCAGGAGGTTGAGGCACGAAAACAGCTTGAACCTGGGAAGTGGAAGTTGCAGTGAGCTGAGATCACACCACCGCACACCAGCCTGGGTGACAAAGTGAGACTCCATCTCAAAAAAAAAAAAAAAAAAAAGGAACAGACTAACACTAACACTAACACTAACATCCATGGAACGAGTGAGCTTGTTTGGGAGGCACAGTCATAGGAGACCCCATCTTGCGATGATGAGGAAGTGAGGCTTAGTGCCCACTCTGTATCAGCGCGGCTGAGACTGAGTGAGGTCGCAACACCCTGTGAGGCGAGCTTCACCAGCATCCCATTTCACAGTGAGAAACTGAGACTCACAGAGCTTCAGTGGTTTGCGAGTGCTGTAGCCAGAATTCAATACCTGTGTTCAATAGACTCTTTGGGGGTGAAAAAAGGATGACATGCAAATTCGTGAAGCGTTCCATATTTAAAAAAAAAAGATTAAAATTTTTTTAGAGACAGGGTCTTGCTCTGTCACCCAGGCTGGAATGGAGGGTGCAATCCTAGTTCACTGTAGCCTTGAACTCCTGGGCTCAAGTGATCCTCCCGCCTCAGTCTCCTGAGTAGCTGGGACTACAGGTGTGCACCACCACACCTGATTAATTTTGCTTTTGTAGAAATAAGATCTCGCTATGTTGCTCAGGCTGGCCTTGAACTCCTGGCCTCAAGCCATCCTCCCTCCTGGGCTTTCCAAAGCTCTGTGATTACTGGTGTGACTTTCTCCCTTTCTTATCCTTTATGATGTTTAGTTAGTAAATACCTGTAGCAATCCAGACTGGGCCTGTTTAAAATCTCCATCTCACACCTGGTTCAGTGCAGCCTGCTCTCTTCTCACCCCTGCTGCTGGGGCCAGTGAGAGTCAAGGAGGGAATGGACACACATCTCTACTCACTTCCCTACACGGTCACAAGGACTGCACCTCCAGGGGCATGGGTGGCCCCTAGAGCAGTGCAGTGTGACATTACTCTTCACTGGGGACAGGCAGCCTGGCCGACTTGTGCCCCATCACCTATCCCCTGGCTGACAGCTCGCCCCTGTGGTGATTCTCTCTTCTGCTTCTCTCCCCCAACCATCTGTTTGTGTAAACTACGGGCAAGGATGAGTCCTGGGTGATGGCTTACAACAAGCCCAGGAGGAGTTGTCTGGTCCTCATTGTTTGGGAACTCTAGAATGTGGGGTACCTGCTGACCCTGGCCTTTGGTTGCCTTTTTTTTTTTTTTTTTTTTTTTTTGAGATAGAGTCTGGCTCCGTCGCCCAGCCTGGAGTGCTGTGGCACGATCTCGGCTCACTGCAACCTCCACCTCCCAGGTTCAAGCGATTCTCCTGCCTCAGCCTCCTGAGCAGCTGGGATTACAGGCACGTGCCACCACGCCAGGCTAATTTTTGTATTTTTAGTAGAGATGGGGTTTCATCATATTGGCCATGCAGGTCTTGAACTCCTGACCTCAAGCGATCCCCCCACCTTGGCCTCCCAAAGTGCTGCAATTATAGGTGTGAGCCACTGCGCCCGGCTGGTTGCCAGTTTTGAGGCAGTGGGAAAAGCCCCTTCTCACATGTGCATGTGGCAGTGGCTGCTTATGACAGGGCTGGAAGGCAGCTCTCTCTGTCTCAAATCTGCTGTGTCCAGGGGTGTGAGGGTTGCCCTTTGCTGCCTGAGATCCTCTTTCCTCAGGGCCCTGGCTCCGGGCCTGCGGTCAGACCAACGTGTCCTGCAGGGTGGTGAAGGGGAAGCTGGTAGAGGTAGGCAAGTGGCCATGGCAGGTGAGCATCCTTTTCCTGGGCACGTACATCTGCAGTGGCTCCCTCATCCACCACCAGTGGGTCCTCACGGCTGCGCACTGCTTGCAGAGGTCAGTCAGCGGGGGCTGGGGACTTTGCTTTCTGGCCTGGGGAGTCCCTGGTGAATCTAGGGATCTGGGAGCAGGGGGCCTGGCTGGGTGGTCCTGAGCTCAGGGCCTGTCTCCTCCTTTACTTATGGCCTTACCATTGGCGACCTGCCTCCTACCCATGGTCCTGCAGATTCAAGGACCTCAGCCTGTACTCCGTGATGGTGGGAGTCCACCAGCGCCCAGAAAATAGCACTCAGCTCCCGCTCACTCGCATGGTGATTCATAAGGATTTCAGCAATCTCATGTCTCAGGACATTGCCCTCCTAAAGCTCAGGGACTCCATCTCGTGGTCCCCCTTCGTCCAGCCTGTCTGCCTCCCTAACATCAAATTCAAGCCATCCATTGGAAGCATGTGCTGGGTAATCGGCTGGGGAACTACAGGGAAAAAAGGTGAGTGAAGGCTGGCAGAGGTTACAAGACACTCGCCTCCTCAGAACACAGCCCCATCACGGGCTCCTTCATTCATTCCTTTATTCACTCATTCACTCAGGCAGCAAACATTTCCTGACCTCTTAATACAAAGATGTACCCAGTGCTCTAGTGTAAAAGACACATGTGACCTGCATGGACCTCAGTTCCCAAAGTGAAGTTAAATGAAATGCCAAGTGCTTACCCTGCAGCATGGCAGGAAGTGAATTCTTGGTTATTAATGGAGTTCCCATTAATGGCATGAGGGCCACGATCTCAGGACATACTGAGGTATTGAGGTTTCTCTATCCATCTTGTGTACTGGTTATCCTGAGGTACCCCCAAATTCCTGGAGGTCCGGCCCCTGTTGGTGCTCTCCTTGGGTCCTAGAATCTGGGAGGCTTTGTGGGGGCCTGCTTTCCAGGGGGTGCCGTCTTGGGGCTCTAGGGTCTTGGCACCTTGCCGGTGGCCATGGGGCAGAACTGAACTCTTCACCCTCATGGAACCTGAATTCCTGGAGAAATCCCCTCTTGTCCTATTTGTCCTTTGGTGCCTGGATATCACTCCAAGCCCCTTGGGACACTTTTGTGTAGTCTTTTTTAATGAGCTGGGCTGTTTCAAAAGTTAGGCTGTGGGCTGGGGCCTTTATCAATCACCATCCCAGGAAATGGCCCTCCCTCCCACCTTAGCAAACGTGGACAACTCTGTGATGGGGATGTGCCGAAAAGCAGAGGGGATGACAAGGCTGGCTCTCTGTTTCCTCAGTGACCCCAAGTACCCCCTACAGTCTTCAGGAGGAACCAAGAGGTGGAGGTTGCAGTGAGCCGAGACTGTGCTACTGCACTCCAGCCTGGGTGACAGAGTGAGACTGTCTCAAAAAAAAAAAAAGACACATGCCACGTATGTTTATTGCAGCACTATTTACAATAGCAAAGACATAGAACCAACCTAAATAGCCCCATCAATGATAGACTGGATAAAGAAAACGTAGTACATATACACCATGGAATACTATGCAGCCATAAAAAGAATGAGATTGTGTCCTTTGCAGGGACATGGATAAAGCTGGAAGCCATGATCTTCAGCAAACTAACACAGGAACAGAAAACCTAACCACCGTATGTTCTCACTCATAAGTGGGAGTTGCACAATGAGAACACATGGACACAGGGAGGGGAACAACACACACCAAGGTCTGTCGGAGGGTAGGGGGCAAGGGGAGGGAGAGCATTAGGACAAATACCTAATGCATGTAGGGCTTAAAACCTAGATCATGGGTTGATAGGTGCAGCAAACCACCATGGCACACCATACCTATGTAACAAACCTGCACGTTCTGCACATGTATCCGAAACTTAAAGTAAAATAAAAAAAGAAAAGAAAAAAGAAAAGAAAAGAAAAGAAAAGAAAATCTCCTTCCCCTGGGCTTCCATTTAGCCTGTAAAATAAGGGTAAAATACTCTTGTCCCTGTCCACAGTGAAGGTAGTGATGGCAGTCCTTCTCAGGTTAGTTTACCACTTCTGGGCATCAGCTACATGCCCAGATGTGGGCCATGTGCGGGCAGAACCTGTTTTGCATAAGTGACATTCATTCTGCCAGCACAGAATGAATACTTCTGCCACCTGCCACTTGCACCTTCTATTCAACATTGGTTTTGAGATTTATTCATATGGATACGTGCAGGTTTTATGCATTAAATGCTCTACAATATTCTCTTTTGTGAATATGCCGCAATTTACCCAAGCTCTTGTTTATTAACATTGAGGGAGTTTCCAATTTTTTCATATCAGAAACTCTGCTGCTACTCTAAGTATTCTCACACACACCTCCCTATTTACATGTTCCACAATTTCTCAGCAAGATGTATCTGCACAGGAGTGCTGGGTCATAGGCTATGTTTACCTTCATCTTTAATAGTCATGGTCAAATTGTTTTCCAAAGTGATCGTATTAATTTATATTCTAACAGTAGTATTTGAGAGTTCCTTGCTCCATTTCTTGCCAGCGTTTGGTATTGTCAGACTATAAAATGTTTTCCATTCCAATGGACGGGAAATAGCACCCGTTGCGGTTGTAATGTGCACGTCCCCAGTTACTAATGCGGTTGTGCAGTTCACATGTTAATTCACCATTTGTGATTCCTCTTCTATGAGCACTTATTCATATACTTTGGATATTTTACTATTGTTTTCCTTTTTCTTTTTTTATTTTTTAATATTCTGGATACAAGTTCTATGTTCATTGTGTATACTGCAAAATCTTCTCCCAGTTTCCCATGTATCTTTTTATTATGTTTGTACTGTACTTTGCTGAACAGCAATTTAGGTTTCATTTTAGTCAAATATATCATGTCTCTGATTTATGCTTTTTGTGTCTTATTTAATCATTCCTTTTCCCAAGGTCATAAAGACATTCTCCTATATTTTTTTCCTCAGAATTTGGAAATTACGGTTTTCACGTATTGAAACCATGTGGCATTCATTTTGGGAATGGTGTAAGATAGGAATCTATTTTTATTTATCTTCTCATGTGGACTACCAATTTTCCTAATGCTATTTATTGAAAAAGTCATTTCCTGCACTGGCTGTCACTACCTCTCTCATATATCAAGGTTGTGTAAACACAAGGGATAGTTTTTTTCAGTTGGACACTTACATAATTTATTTTTGTTCTTTCTTCCTTCTCAATACAAATTTTTGAGGCTACATATTTCCCTCTAAGTATGGCTTTAGTTTCATGCCACAATATTTTATAAAATTTCTATTTTGATTTTATTTTGACCTATGCATGGTTTTTTTGTTGTTGTTATTGATTTCCAGCTCAGTTTCCTTGTCTTAAAATTAGTTCTAAAGTGGTATCAATTATATGGAATATGCTGAGAAGGTTTACTCTTTCTAGTTTTGTGTTTAAAGAATTTAAGATCATAAAATCAGTTTTGATTTGAACTTTAAATTCATCTCTTAAATTTTCACTGTTGTGATTCCATCATCACTAGTTTATTTTAAAATATGTTCTGTGATTTTGAAAAAAAAGCACACATTTTGTTTAAAAAGTAATACGTAAGTGCAAAATTAGAAAATGAGACTCTCCTATAATCAAACTACCTAGAAATTTCTACACTAAATTGTTTGGTTTATATTCCTAACATGTCTTTCTATACATATAAAATTCTACATTAGTTTTTTTTTTTTTCTGGTTTTGATTTTTTTTGTTGTTGTTGTTTTTGAGACGAGGTTTTGCTCTTGTTGCCCAGGATGGAGTGCAATGGCACAACCTCAGCTCACTGCACTTCTGCCTCCCGGGTTCAAGTGATTCTCCTGCCTCAGCCTCCCAGGTAGCTGAGATTACAGGCATGCGCCACCACGCCCAACTAATTTGTATTTTTAGTAGAGATGGGGTTTCACCATGTTGGTCAGGTTGGTCTCGAACTCCTGACCTCAGGTGATCCACCCACCTCGGCCTCCAAAAGTGCTGGGATTACAGGTGTAAGCCACCGTGCCCGGCCTCTGGTTATGATTTTTAATAAAGGACTGTTATATAATTTTATTCTCCAACTTTTAAATTTTTACTTAAAATATATCTTGGACTCCTTTCTAGGTCTATACATATAAATATATTCCATCTTCCTTGAATAATAATTTTCTCATATGGCTATGCCACAATCTACTTAACCATTCTTCTATTGACAGATATTTGAGCTCATTTCAGTATTTTTTTACTATACCAGAATAAAAAAAAATTGAATACCTTTTCACATTTGTTCAAACATTTAGCTACAATAATTTTTTAGAAGTGTAATTACAAAATCAGTTGTATATATATTTAAAATTTCAATAGATATTTGCAAATTAGCCTCCCAAAGATTTGATCCATTTATATTAACACCAACAGTAGATAAATGACTTTTCCTGCATCATCACCAGAACTAGGTATTATTTTTATTTTAACTTTTGTCTTTTTGGTAGACTAAAACTTGTATCATATTTTTGTTGTTATTTCATGACATTGAGAAATTCTGTAAATTGCTTGTTTAATAGGATAAGTAGGAAGTTTCAATAAAGATATCAAAATACAATAAGTATCAGAATTCAAAGAGTTGTGTGACTGATATTTGGCTACATGTCTGTATCAAAGGGTCCAGAGGGTAGGGTTGGAGGTGATTTTGTGAGGAGAATTTCTCTGGAGAGAACTGCATCTATGAGCTCACCTTTCTCCCTTTAAGGGGATAGGGATGAGCAGGCTGGGGGTGCCCGTTCCACACTGCAAGTCTACTGGGAGTGGTACCCGCAGGATCACTCAGAAAGCCTGATGCGTACCCCTCAAGGTAGGGGGAGAGTCAGCTCTAAATCCCTCCAGGCTCAGAGAGCTCACAGTGGCCTGGAGGGGAGGGGTGGGGGCGGTTAAGACAGTTCTTTCCCTCTCACTCTGCTGCTGTTACCTTGGCAGGTTAGGAAGATCAGGTTAGTAAGATGGGGTAGGAGGAGTGGAAGCTACAGGGAGGGAAGCCTCCTACTTGCTAAAGCCCTGATGGCAATGGGGAGTTTTACTTTAAATCAAGTCTAACATTGTGATTATTATATGGAAATGAATATTCTGATTTCTGAAGTGAGATGTTCATATGACACTTGGTATAATCATGGCAATTACGATTACGTTAACCACAGTGGGCAAAATGTTCTGGTTCTGCCCAAGTTTTTACCAGGGGTCAAGGAAAAAACCTCACCTTCTAAATCAATTTTAAAAGAACAAAGGAAGTCCAAATAAAATGCTTGCTTCATTTAATGTACCATTTACACTTTTCCACGTCCTTTGCCCATGTTCTTCTATTAAACTACTTTTGTTTTTGTTGATTTACAAAAACTCTGGATATTCTATTCTGTAGTAACTAGTGGTAAAGGAGCATTATGTCTCTTTCAGCTTAATTTCAAATGGCTCATAAGCATTTATATATATATGTGTATATGTATACATACATTTGGAGACATAAAACATATGGTAAAACATCAAAATTAGTGAATCTGGGTAAAATATTATACTTGCAACTTTTCTGAAAGTCTCAAATTATTTCAGAATACAAATTTACCCCAAAACTTTGGGTTACTGGAAGTTTTAACCCATTGTAAAATGCTTTACAATATTTTACCCTATTTGTACCTCATTTACCCTTTTTTTCTGGTGTAGGTTTTTTTTCCCATAAGGTTATGTAAAATTTTTATGTGTTTGTATCTATCGTTATTTTCCTCCATGATTTTAGGTTTTTTTTTCCTATCTTGGCCGGGCGCAGTGGCTCACGACTGTAATCCCAGCACTTTGGGAGGCCGAGGTGGGCGGATCACGAGGTCAGGAGATCGAGACCATCCTGGCTAACACGGTGAAACCCCGTGTCTACTAAAAATCCCCCCAAAAAAATTAACCGGGCGTGGTGGTGGGCCCCTGTAGTCCCAGGTACTCGGGAGGCTGAGGCAGGAGAATGGCCTGAACCTGGGAGGCGGAGCTTGCAGTGAGCCGAGATCGCGCCACTGCACTGCAGCCTGGGCGACAGAGCGAGACTCAAACAACAACAACAATGACAACAACAAAGAAATACCTTTCCTGTCCTAAGATTATAAAATTATTTACTCATCATTTTCTAATTCTTTTCTTTAAATACTTTAAATTTTGATTCATCTGGATGATTGAGAGAGGAAGTTCAGTATTATTTTTCTCCAAATGGGTAGCCTGTTATATAAAAATATTTTGTTGAATACTTGTTTTTTTGGCTATGAATTAGAAATGCCCCCTTTATTGTATTCTAAATTCCCACCCTATTTTGTTGTCTTCCTACCATTTACATCTCTATGCTGCCACCACTCTGAAAATTATTGTAGCTTTAGAATTCTTTTTTATGTGGTAATGCAAGTCCTCCTTCATTCTCCATCTTTTAAAGAATTTACCTGCTGTTCTCCCACGTTCCTTTTCACAGTCTTAGAATAAAGTTGTCAAAAAGAAAGTCACATGGGGATTTTGGTGGAAATTGATAGATCCTTTTAGGGAAATAAAGACTTTTTATTTTGCACTATTTCTTTATGTCTATAGAGCAGGAGTTTGTAGCTTTCTCCATGTATTTACTGCATGCTGCTTCCTGAGTCTATTCCTAAATGTTATATATTATGTCCTTATTGTGAGTGGTGTATATATATTTTTAATTAATTAATTATTTTCAGACAGAGTCTCGTTCTGTGGCCCCAGGCTAGAGTGCAGTGGCGTGATCTCGGCACACTGCAACCTCCGATTACCGGGTTCACGCCATTCTCCTGTCTCAGTCTCCCAAGTACCTGGGATTACAGATGTGTGCCACCATGCCCAGCTAATTTTTGGTATTTTTATTAGAGATGGGGTTTCACCATGTTGGTCAGGCTGGTCTCGAACTCCTGACCTCAGGTGATCCGCCCTCCTCAGCCTCCCAAAATGCTGGGATTACAGGCATGAGCAACAGTGCCCAGACTGGTATATTTTCTTTTGTTGTATTTTCTGTTTTTTTATTTTAGATTTTTGTGTATTTACTTTGTAATAAGCAACCTTCCTGGACCTAGCTGATTCTCTTCAATTGAGTGGACCACAGACACATCACCTGCCAATGTGTATGTGCATGACGTGAAGAATCTGTTCAGGGAATCGACTGCACATTGAGTTAGAGCATACAGTCAGAAAACACATTTATAAAGCTGAGCGTTCTTTCCTAAAATAAAATCCTGTAAGTCTTCCTCTTATTTCTTTCTTTTGTGTAATTGCAAATATTCAGAACCGTATTCCAGAAAAATTATTATTTCCCATGAGACAGTGTGTCATTTAGTTTTAGGTGTATCTCTTGTAAACAATACAAAGCTGGATGCTATTATTTTTCAACACATCTGAGAGATTGTTCTTTAATCTATTTACCAAGAAGACTGGGGATTTTTTTTGTTCCCTCACCTTACATTTTGGTTTGATTTTTTTTTCTTCACTCTACTTTTATCCTCTAGCGGTTTAGAAGTTACGTATGTACATTTCCTTCTGCTATTGGTCACCTTGTATTTTCCACATATATATTTAAAATTGAATTGTCACGTAGTTAATCAGTGTCTACAGCCTCCTTAGCAGGGGGCCAGAGACTTCCTGCATTTTTGCTTTCTTCATTTCCATCCTCCAGACTCCCCCTCTTGTTGAAGATATCTGGGAGTTCAGCTTGCTTGACTCTTTTATTATATCGAAGAATTTTTAGTGGACTCTTGAGCTTTCTAGGCCTATGCTCATATGAGTTGTAATTAGTAACGATTTCACCTCTTTTATTTGTGTTTTACTTTTTTATTGTTTTGAGTCCCCCTCTCTCCCCAAAACAACCTAGAGTCATGGCTGTGTTTTCTCTTGCTGCCCACTTTGATGGGAAGTGCTTCTTACACTTCACCCTGAAGCATGCCATGGTGGTGATTTGGCCTGTCATCTGTTGAGGGGAGAGCCATTCCTTTCTGTTTGACCACAGCATTTGATTTCAGGAAAGAACATTCTCCTTTATACACATGTTTTCTGACTCTCTGCTCTAACTCAGGATGCAGAGTCTGTTCCCTAAACAGATTCCTCATGTCCATGCGCCCTGCATTCCAAGATCATTCCTCCCTGCTTATGGTGTACTTTTGTTTCATTCATCTGTTGGATTCAGATTCATAATATCTTTTTGTGGAGCACACTTTAATTTATTTATTCACTCAACAGACACCGTATGCTGGGCTCTGGGCCAGACATGGATAACACTGGGCTTAAGAAAGGTCTGGGCCCGGGGAACAAATGGTACCACGTGGCACAGTCCACACAGCACAATGCACACAACCTTTTTACTTTTTCCTCCAGGGACGCTGGGCTCCACTTTAAGGTATGTAGAGAGAAAGACACCCCTTTGTCAAGTGATAGTATCAGGACGATGCTTCACTTGAAAAATATTTGTTCATGTTCTGGAACATTTGAAATAACACAAATTATCTCCTTCTTGAACGCTGGATAGCAGTTGCCTGTGAAACCACATAAGCCTGTTTTCCTTTGAGTGGTTGCTCTTGGGGAATATTTTAAGTTGTTTCACCCATAGTTATTGGACTTGTCGGGCTTTCTGTCACTCTTTAAATTTGTTTAAATGATTTCTGTTTCATAGAAAAAGGTCATTTCATCCAGAGTGTAAATCCACAAAGAGGAAATTGTCAACAGTCTTGAGATTCTGATAAAGTATATTTTCCCTGGATGTGTTCTAGTTTATTTTCTACTCAAATCATGAAGTGTTTCCATTTTTCCTTCTCTTTCTGTTTTTCTTGGTAAGAGTCACAAGGTGCTTATCTGTTTTGTTGTTCTTGTTGTTGTTTTGTCTGAAACAGGGTCTCACTCTGTTGCCCAGGCTGGAGTACAGTGGTGTGATCATAGCTCACTGTTACCTTGAACTCATGGCCTCAAGAAATCCTTCTGCCTCAGCCTCCTGAGAAGCTGGGACTACAGGCGTGTGCCACTATGCCCAGCTAATTTTTTAAATTTTTTTTAGAGACAGGATTTCACTATGTTTTGCCCAGGCTGGTCTGGAACTCCTGAGCTCAAGTAATCCTCCTGCCTTAGTCTCCCAAAGTGCTGGGATAACAGACGTGAGCCACTGTGCCCAGCCTTGTTGTTTTTTAAGAATAAGCTATTGATTTTTATTTCTCAAGTCTATGATTTTTCTGCTTTGTAACACATGAACTATCCTCTTTTTGTCTTTATTAATTCCTTTTCAAGTGTCTTGAGCTGAATGTGCAGTGATAATTGATGATAATAACAAATAATTTATTTTTATTCTCTCTTGCTTGATATTAACAGTACTTTAGACCAGGACAATCTGTGTGCAGTTTAGGCCCACATCCTGTGCAATACGTGATGCTCTCTTTACTCTACATTCTAATTGTAGATTTCGTTTTTACTTTAACGTTTTGAAAGTTATTTTTTTCCTGTTGATGGAGTGACTCACATTTTGTTACTAAACTCTGGTTTTATTTCACTGAGGTGAGAGAATGCTTACCTACAGCGGATCTCTCTCTCTCTCTTCTTTTCTCATGTTCTTACTTTCTCTGGGCCCCTAGAGTCCCATCAGTCCTATCTCAGGCAAGGGCCCTCACACTATCATTGCTGGTGTGATTATCACTGGCTTCATTTTCTCCTGCATCTTCCATTTGCCCTTCCCCGCAAAAGAACATCAACTGAAATCTGTCTAATATGTGTAATTAGGCCAGGCGCGGTGGCTTAGGCCTGTAATCCCAGCACTTTGGGAGGCCAAGGTGGGTGGATCACCTGAGGTCAGGAGTTCGAGACCAGCCTGGCCAACATGACAAAACCCCATCTCTACTAAAAATACAAAAATTAGCTGGGCGTGGTGGCACGCGCCTGTAGTCCCAGTTGCTCGGGAGGCTGAGACAGGAGAATCACTTGAACCCAGGAGGTGGAGGTTGCAGTGAGCCAAGATCGCACCACAGCACTCCAGCCTGCGTGACAGAACAAGACTCCATCTCAAATAATCATAATCATAATGATAATAAAGTGAAATTAAAGATATCTGTGTCTTTGAAGAATGCATAGTGCTGCTGTGTGTGTTTTAGTTGGTATAAATTATATTGTGCTGCATATCTCCTCCTGTAGTTGTTTACTGAGGCATCTGAATTTGTTAAGGTATTCACATTAAATGGTTTTATTCTTTCAAATAATTGCCCCCACATATCCTATGTCAAATTTTCCTTTCTTCCCCAAACGTCATTTTGGGCAGAGCTCATAATTTTGAGTCACTTTCAGTTATGAAATGCCTTGTGCCATTAGAAGTTTCTATTTAAATTTAAACCTCACTTCAGGAGCCCCCCACTCTCTGGTGCTCCTGGGGATGGGGTTCCCTGCCCTGCTAGGAGATCAGGAAGCTGGCCTGGTGTAATCTCCATGGTGAGGCCATGGAAGCCTCACATCTCCCCCAACTCACTCTGCTTGTTATTTTCTTTTCTTATTTTTTTTTGAGACAGAGTCTTGCTCTGTCCCCCAGGCTGGAGTACAGTGGCGCGATCTTGGCTCACTGCAAGCTCTGCCTCCCGGGTTCACGCCATTCTCCCTCCTCAGCCTCCCGAGTAGCTGGGACTACAGGCGCCCGCCATCACGCCCAGCTAATTTTTTGTATTTTTAGTAGAGACAGGGTTTCACCGTGTCAGCCAGAATGCTCTCGATCTCCTGACCTCGTGATCCACCCGTCTCGGCCTCCCAAAGTGCTGGGATTACAGGCATGAGCCACCGCGCCCGGTCTGCTTGTTATTTTCAAGAGGTCCTTAGATATGTTCAATATTGACCTCTGGTTTGTTTTAGACAGAGCCCTATCTTAATTCATCAGTCTTCATTGAGATTTGGTGTCCTTTACTGAACAGATAACCTTAGTTTTGATGTAATCAGGCCTGACACATTTCTTCAGGTTTGTGAGTTTTGTTTTGTTCGCTTGTTTTTGTTTTGTTATTTTGAGACAGAGTCTTGCTCTGTTACCCAGGCTACAGCGCAGTGGCGTGGTATGGTTCACTGCAGCCTCAACCTCCTGGGCTCAAGTGATCCTCCCACCTCAGCCTCCTGAGTAGCTGGAACTAATTTTTAAATTTTTTGTAGTCATGGGGTGTCACTATGTTGCCTAGCCTGATCTTGAACTCCTGGGCTCAAGAGATCCTCCCACCCCAGCCTCCCAAAGTGCTGGGATTACCCGTGTGAGCCACTGCACCCAGCAGTTTGTGGGTTTTGAATCTTATTTTTAAAAATATGCTTCATCCCAAGTCATAAAAACATGGTCCTATATGCATTTTGGTTTTGGTTTTATTTTTTATTTTAGAGACAGGGTCTGGCTCTGTTGCCCAGGCTGGAGGGCAGCGGCATGATCATGGCTCACGACAGCCCGGAAATCCTGCTCTCAAGCGATCCTCCCACCTTAGCCTCCAGAGTAGCTGGGACTAAGGTGTGTGCCACCATGCCTGCCTAATTTCATTTTTGTGAAGACAGGGTCTCACTATGTTGACCAGGCTGGTCTTGAACTCCTGGGCTCGAGTGATCCTCCCACCTTGGCCTCCCAGAGTGTTGGGATTACAGGTGTGAGCCACTGTGCTGGTCTTATATGTTTTAATTAGCTTTATCATTTTTACTTTTCACATTCAGAGTTTTAATTCCTCTGAAGTTTTGTTACGGTAGGATACAACTTCGCTTTTCTCCTTCTGGTGAGCCAATGTTGCCACCATCTACCGCAGAGCCCTCATTTCCCGCAGACGTGATGCTTTGTGTGACATGTGTCAAGTGTCCTCCTGGATAGGCATCAGGTTACGGGCTCTCCGCGACCCCCACTGGGCTATTTTTTTTGTTTCTATGCCAGTACCCCACTATTTCTATAATTATAGCTTTCTCATCTTTAATTATATTTCTATAATTATAGCTTTAAAATATGTGTAACTATCTGGTAGGTCAAATCTGCCCCCAACCTGACTCTCCAATTTTCTCCCCTTTCTCAAAACCATCCTAGAATTTAAGGACTATTATCCTTCAATATCAATTTTAGAATCAGATTGTCAAGTTCCTGAGAAAACCCTGCTGGCGTTTTAATTGGAATTGCTTTGAGAGACTAATGTAAGGAGAACTGACATTGTTATGATTTTTAATTGCTTTTACTCTGTATTGAATAGACAAAAGGATATTTATAAAACATATATGGAGAATAAAGAATAACATTAGCAACATCCACGTACCCATCAGCAAGCCTAAGAAAGAGTGCCCTTATGGGCATGTTAAAGTTTCCCCGTGGCCATTCCTGTATCTCAAGCCTCAAAGGCTCTGACTGCTCCCAGTTATTTTGCTGGCTGACATTTGCTCATGGTGCCTCAACTTCCTTGTGTGGTGTGCAATGTTTTGAGGAGGGAGGACATGCTCCTTAGAGTGTTAATTATACGACTACTCTGAGGTGTGGCTTGAAAGATAGGTTCCTCCAGACAGAATCTACATTTGCTTCAGCCAGGTGCCTGCAGGTATGACCAACCCAGCATCACTTTATTTACTTACTTATTTTTAACTTTTAAGTTCAGGGGTACAAGCGCAGGTTTGTTACACAGGTAAACTTGTGTCATGGGGCTTTGTTGTACAGATTATTTCATCACCCAAGTTTTGAGCCTAGTACCTATTAGTTGTTTTTCTTGATCCTCTCCCTCCTCCTACCCTCCCCCATCAAGTAGGCTCCAGTGTCTGTTCCCTTTGTGTTTATGAGTTCTCATCATTTAGCTCCCACTTACAAGTGAGAACATGTGGTGTTTGGTTTTCTGTTCCTACATTAGGTTGCTAAGGATAATGGCCTCCAGCTGCAACCATGTCCCTGCAAAGGACATGATCATGTTCTTTTTTATGGCTGCGTAGTATTCCATGGTATATATGTACCACATGTTCTTTATCCAGTCTATCCTTGATGGGCATTTAGGCTAATTCCATGTCTTTGCTATTGTGAATATCCCAGCACCACTTTAAACCACATCCATCCTTGGTTCAGGTTTTTTGAACCACCCAGACAGTGTGAAGTCATGTTGTGAGTTCATACGAGAGTGTTTCCAGTTCACCCTCACTGTGAGGGTGTGGTCATTTTTTGAAGGCATAACTTTTTGCAGGGGTCTACTCTGAGGCTCCTCCCCTTAGTTAGGCCCTGGGTTTTGTCTTTTGTCTCCTGAGCCCATGAACAAGGCTATGAAAACTGAAGCTCAGTTTTGCTGGGTTTGACAAAGGGCCTTGGAACAAAAGCTGTCTTCTGGGCTCTACTGACCTCTATATTCTAACCCTCATTTAGGTTTTGGACTTTGAAGAGTCTTTATTTTCTTGCTAGCTTACCCATGCATTTAAAATCATAATTTTAAAAAAAGTCTCACATTTGTAGGTATCTTTAGCAATAAATTTGGTTAGGGTATCTTGTCTTCCATACTGCAGGAAGCCAAATGCTGAGAATTGACATTTTCACATTGCTTTAAGTTATCTCAGCTTTGAACAACAGTATATCTATACATTGATGTAGGTCTTTTTTTTATATTCTTAGGCACAGTTTATTACTTTTTTCCTTAAGAGTCTTTTGCATTCTTCATTAGATTATGTCCTGTAAATCTTGGTGTGCATTATGTTTTAAAAATAAATGTAATTGAGTGGTTTTTCTGATTTATAAAATTTTCTGACATTACAGAAGAGTGTAAAGAAAGTTTTAAAAAATCATAAGAAACCCACTATCAGCAGCAATAACAGCTATGACCTTTTGTTGTATGTCATTGTAAACAGTATTCTTATCTGTAAACCCATGTTTGTACAAAAAGAGGAGAACTGGTTTGCATTTCAAACAGCTCACTCTGCAAGCAGGATTTCAGGAAAGTAAAAGACCACCAAGATTTAAGGGGAAGGCAGAGGAGGGGATGGGATGGGGAGTTAGGGTCAGAATTAGCAGGAAAATGAAGACAGAGGCTGGCGTGGTCCAGTGCAGAGCTTATGTGTCACAGAGCTCATCCTGAGGGGCGGGCTCAGGCCAGGGATGCCCTCCTGCTGCCATCCTTATGCCCTCCCTCCTTTTCTCTACAGGTTGACTCTGGAAGCTCCCTTGTCTGCCAAATGGACAAGACCTGGATTCAGATAGGAGTGGTAAGCTGGAGCTTTAGTTGTGGCCAGCGCCACTTCCCAGGTATCTACACCAGCACTGCCCACTTCAACCAGTGGATCAGGACTGAGGTTGCTAACATAAGGTTCATCAGTAGGGCTGGCCCTGCCTTCCTGAGCCCAGTTTTCCTCACTGGCTACATTCTACTGGGCTCCTTGAGCTCCCTGTGGCTCCTGTGAGCGGTGTTTCAAGGACAGTCCCTCCCAGAGGCTGCTTCTCCCTCCCCTCTGTTCTACCCTCAGAAGTGGAGACGAGAGGTTGCCCAGGATGGCAGGGCAGAGTGAGGGGGAGGGTCCGAGAGCCACTGTTACTTTCTGTTGTTCAATGAAGATGCTTTTGAACTTTGAGCCACTCAAGTGATCATCTTGCTTCCTGACTTCGGCCAGAGCCCTTCACAACCTTCCTAACCCCCAAGCAGTCCTGGCTGTTCTCTCAAGCTGAGCCTTCTCTGATAGCTTTATGCCATGTCTGTCTTGTGCTTGTTGTGTGACCCTGGGAGACTGTTCCCCTCCCTCTTCTTCCAAATGTGGGACTGCAGCTCCTTCTTAGTCATCCCAGCAATCCAGTAATCCCCAGGTCCCCATGGCCCTCCCCTGGGTATGTGACAGACACTTTCCCTCAGGCCTTCCTGCGAGGCCTGGCCTCTTCCCAAGTAACTCACCATGGCCAGATCACAGACCCACAACCATGGACCATGTTTCAGAACCCACTAGCTTCTCCCTACCCTTCATATCCTTCCATGGGTCTGCAGAGCCTGACCAATTCCTCCTCCCTCTTTGGCAGAGGTAGGTGATGTGGGGATAGGGCAGAGTGCCTGCCTGGGTAATGAATGTGTGAGATCACTATGCCCTGAGCTCCTGAGCTGCCTTGGTGACCTCCATTAGACTCTACAGCACGAGCAAGGCTACTGGAGGTAGCCAAGCTGAGGACAGAGCCTTGCCCCTGTGTGAGGAATGAGGGGCTGCTCAGACCTGGTGGTCCTCAGGTGCTGAGCAACCAGCCACCCCTATCCCTTAGGGCACCTGAAGGGTGTGATTTACTGTCTTTTCAGAGATTGGAGCATGGATTGGCCAGCTCAAGTGTGTATCCCAAGACCACAAGCCTGGACACATGTTAGAATATCCTGGCTTGATTTAACTTTCACCGTACCTTAGAAAAAAATATTTTCTTGTAGAGATGGGGGTGCTATGTTGCCCAGGCTGGACTCGAACTCCTGGGCTCAAGTGATCCTTCTGCCTCAGTTTCCTGAGTAGCTGAGAGTAGCTGGGACAGGTGCATGCCACAATGCTGGATCACCTTATCTTCTATTAGGCTAGAATTTTCCAACAGCTTTGAGTACCCCACATGACTTTTTAAATGTATTACCCTCCTGTGTCACTGAACCATCAATGTGTTCCCCAAATTGTAACATGCAAAGTGACCTCCTCATCCCACAGTGGCGCAATGGTAAGCACCAGTGTTCCTCTGTGGAGGGACCCTTTGCCTGCACTCTCTTTCCTAAGCAGATGGATCTGTGGGGCAAGGGCATCTGCTGAATGGGGTGGGGGTGGGGTGTAGTTGCTTAGAATGAAGCAGTCTTTCAAAATCATTATTTAAAACACATCTATCTGCTTAATTTCAGTTCCTTGGGCAAAGCCCCACTGGAGGGGCTGGAGGGAAAGTAGGGTCACTTGGAGATCCTGGATGCCAGCCCCTGAGGTTTGGTCTTCATCTCACTGCGGGAGGGGTGACACCATGAGCCAGTCCAGGGCAATGGGCTGCGAGGGTGAGGAGGTCTGAGAATCGGCCGAGATTAAGTTGAGGGACTCCAGGAGACTGCTTGGACCAGCGGAGTGAGGAGAGGGAGGGGCCAAGGAGGGAAGTCAGCCGGGGCGTACCCAGCCCGGGAGGTATAAGGGAGGGCTGTCACTAGGGGCGCCCTTGCGGGTCAGACACCACGAGCGCCGTGGCGGGTGGCCCCTGGGGGGCGCCACGCAGGCGGGGCACTAGGAGCATCCCCACCCAGCTCACCAGAGGCCGCGGCATGCGGCCAACAGGGGGCGCCGTCGTGGGGGCGGCACTGGGAGCGCCTTCCGGAGAGACGCAGTCGGCTGCCACCCCGGGATGGGTCGCTGGTGCCAGACCGTCGCGCGCGGGCAGCGCCCCCGGACGTCTGCCCCCTCCCGCGCCGGTGCCCTGCTGCTGCTGCTTCTGTTGCTGAGGTCTGCAGGTGAGTCCCTCCCGATCCCTACCCCACCCGCCTGACGCGGCCCTCGCCTTCCACCTCTAATCCGCTCGACGTCCTCCGCAGGTTGCTGGGGCGCAGGGGAAGCCCCGGGGGCGCTGTCCACTGCTGATCCCGCCGACCAGAGCGTCCAGTGTGTCCCCAAGGCCACCTGTCCTTCCAGCCGGCCTCGCCTTCTCTGGCAGACCCCGACCACCCAGACACTGCCCTCGACCACCATGGAGACCCAATTCCCAGTTTCTGAAGGCAAAGTCGACCCATACCGCTGTGAGTACCAGGGGTGTAGACTCCGTGGGGCAAGGAGGGTGACAGAGGAGTCTTAAGGACCTTGGCTGGGGCTAGGGGAGCAGAAGGGACGGGGGCGAGCAGGATAGAGGAGCGCCTCCTTCTACAGGTGTTCATTGAGCACTAAACACCTGTGGGTCAGGCCTGGTCCTGTCTGGAGGCCCAGAGCTCTGGGTGTCTTGTCCTCACAGGCCTCCCCTCCTGCTGAGGTAGGGGGCAGGAAAGTCAGAGGGGCCTGGGGCCGGCTGTGTGTTCCCGCCTCGCCTGAGCTGGCTGTGGGGCAGGTGGCCTCTCACCCTGCTCCAGGCCCTGACACCCATCATGCCTCTGACCCAGGCTCCCAGCCAGGGACCTCTGGGATCTCCAGCACAGCTTTCAGGGCCAGGCTGTGTGAGCCTTCCTGTGGTGTCTCCAGGGTGCACACGTAAGACGTTCTCTTGCCCAGTGGCTTTCAGGCATGTTTAACAGACCCACATAAGACTGGGACTCAGCACATAGCATTTAACTGCCACAGAAAGTCACCCAAACAGGACTTCCAGTACCCTGTGCTGTGCATGCCGATGTTTTCTTGCCTATGTTATCCTTTAAAAAGGCTGGTCACGGCCCACTTACATTTACAATCCACGAATCCATTTGGAAAACACTAGGAATGGGACTCCTGAGATGTTGGATATGTGCATCTTCAATCTAGAGAAATTGTTTTCCAAAGCGGCTGCAGCAGTGAGCACTCCCACCAGCCGTGGGTAGGCATTCTGGGTGATAATCCTCACTGACACTCGGTGTCACAGATGTTGCGTTTTTGCCAGGCGGATGGTACAGAGCAGAATCTCATCATGATTGAAATCTGCATTTTCAGGCTGGAGGTAGTGGGTCATGCTTATAATCCCAGCGCTTTTGGAGGCTGAGGCAGTAAGATCACTTGAGGTCAGGAGTTTGAGACCTGCCTGGGCAACATAGTGGGACTCTATCTCTCCAAAAAATTAAAAAATAAAAAAATTAGCTGGGTGTGGTTGTGTGTGCCTGTAGTCCCAGCTATTCAGGAGGCTGAGGTGGGAAGATCATTTGAGCCTAGGAGTTTGAGGTTACAGTGAACAATGATCATACCACTGCACTCCAGCCTGGGTGACAGAGCAAGACCTCATCAGAGGAGGAGGAAAAGGGAAGAGAGAAGAAGAGGAAAGAAGAAGAAGCAGTCTGCATTTCCCTGCAGACTAAGGGCGGAGCAGCTTCTGTGGTCATTGGCTACTGGGATTTTCTCCTTGGACTATGCCCATTTTTCTGTTGGGGCATCCACTTTCCTCTCACTGAGCCACAGAAAGGGGTTCCCAGAGGAGGGAGAGAGCTCTGCCTTGGCTGAAGTAGGGGACATGGTGAGGGTGGAACCAGGTGGAAATGAGAACAAGTTAGTGAAGGATCTGATTGGAGCTGAGAGTGTGTTGGTGACGGCAGAGGGGCCAGTGGTACACTGGGCTGGTCGGCTGGGGATGCTCTAGGGCCCGGGCTGTGGGAACAGGGAGAGAGATATCTGGGCAGTGCTTGGACCCTTCTGAGGCATGAGACTCCAGTCCACATGTGGACAGCATCATTCCATGGTGACAGGTGAAAAGGGAGCACCCCTGGATGGGTGCAGGCCAGTGGCTGGAGAGGCACGAGGTCAGGCTGGGGGAGGGGAGGGACAGGGAAAGATCCATCCCTCATCAAGCTCTCACCTTCCTCCTCAGCCTGTGGCTTTTCCTACGAGCAGGACCCCACCCTCAGGGACCCAGAAGCCGTGGCTCGGCGGTGGCCCTGGATGGTCAGCGTGCGGGCCAATGGCACACACATCTGTGCCGGCACCATCATTGCCTCCCAGTGGGTGCTGACTGTGGCCCACTGCCTGATCTGGTGAGTCAAGGCTGAGGTGGGGTGGGTGGAGAGGTATTTGGAGCTGCTGTGGGCCCAGTCATCCCCTCCCTGCCAGCTGTTCTGGGCCCACAGTCCCAGCCCCAGCCTCATCTGGGCTCCAAGCAGGTGGAGGCTGAGTCCTGAAAATTCCTTCAGAGCTCCAGTCTTTTCAGTGTCCCACCGTTCGCTCCCCTCGTCTGGCCTCTCAGTCCCGTGCAGTCATTCCGCAGATGGGAAATGGAAGCTCAGAAGCCATTTGTCTGGCCTCATGCCTCCTCTCCACGGGAAGAAGCTCCTAGTTCTTTCATTTCACCCCCTTTGCACCCACATCCTTGTTCCTCCCTTCAATCAACCGTCTCTGACACTTCTTTGAGCAAGGCCCTGGCCTGGACACTGGGGGCAGAGGAGGGATGGATCATTCCTTCCAGCTTGTTGGGGGAGACAGAAAGGAAGATAGATGCTCACAAGGGTGCCTGGTTGGTGTGGGGACAAAAGAGGGAGTGTTCTGATGTTTTGGGGCCAGGAGTGCTGGCTGTGAGAGCTGACAAGTGAAATGTGTTCCAGGCCTAAGGGCCAACATACAGACTCCAAGGGGTACCCCGGGGTGCGCAGCTAGATAGCCAGGCCATGGCACATTCCATGGAGCTGGAAGGAGTAGAATTGCCTCCTCCAGGGCACAGCATGGGGTGAAAGAGTCCATGCTATGGACTGAGAGTAGAGTTTGGAACCAGAGAAAACTGGGTCCGCATCCCTTCCACTGCCTCCTAGCTATGCAGCCCTGAGTGGTTCATTGGGCTTCTCTGAGCCTCAGTTTCCCCCTCCATAAAATGAAGGGTCTTGAGGACTGGACCACACAGTGAGTGTGCAGGGCCCTGTTCATGTCTGTGGTGAGGAGTAGGCTCAGGGGGCTTGAAGCGGGTGGGTGGCCCCTCCTGGATCTTCTGGGAGGGCAGCAGAGTGGGGGAAGGCCCAGGCTGGAGGCTGGGGCAGGGGGCCTGGAGCTGATCATGGCCTCCCCTCACGGCCCCCCTAGGCGTGATGTTATCTACTCAGTGAGGGTGGGGAGTCCGTGGATTGACCAGATGACGCAGACCGCCTCCGATGTCCCGGTGCTCCAGGTCATCATGCATAGCAGGTACCGGGCCCAGCGGTTCTGGTCCTGGGTGGGCCAGGCCAACGACATCGGCCTCCTCAAGCTCAAGCAGGAACTCAAGTACAGCAATTACGTGCGGCCCATCTGCCTGCCTGGCACGGACTATGTGTTGAAGGACCATTCCCGCTGCACTGTGACGGGCTGGGGACTTTCCAAGGCTGACGGTGAGTCAAAGCCTCTGCAGACCAGGGCGGGTGCTGTGAGAAAGGACGTGGGTGCAGGCCAGGGTGCCACCACAGATGGATGTTTCTGAGGCACCTTCCCCAGGGAGCCTGCCGCTCCCGGGACCTTCCTGCCAGGCTCTCATCTCTGAGGTCTCCTTCCCCTTGAGGATCTCGTGGGGAACACCTCACTGCTGCTCCAGCCTCAGGGGACCCTGATTGCCTTTGAATCCTGAGTCAGGCCAGGGCATGTAAACAGAACTTCCTTGAAGGCAGAGAGGCACAGAGTAATACCTCACAGTCCACACCCACTGCCCAGGCATCGGCAGCTTGCAGCAGAGCACCTGAGGTCGGGGGAGCAGTCTTCTGTGTTGTAAAATGCTGCCCAGAAGGCCCACATGGCTGGCTAGGGGCCGTCTGCAGCTGGAGCTCATGGTTTCCCCTCCCCTCAGTGGGCCTCAACTCCTGGTCGTCCCAATTCAGGAGCAAGGCCCAGAGAGCAGGTGTGTTCTCTCAGGAACATCCAGGGGACCCTAGAACTGTCTACTTCCTTCAGGGGGTCCCCAGCCCATAAGAGAGATGCCCTTCCCTGTGGCCTCAAGGAACCAACTTACTCTCAAAACAGCTCAAGGGGGCTTCAGCCCATGTGGGAGGACCTGGGAGTGACTTTGTCATCCCTGCTGTGGCCTGTCTCCTGTCTCCCAGGAGCTTAGGCCAGGGACAGGGACACACTACTCAGGGAGGCAGAAGGAAGAAGCAGTGCCTGGCCTCCATGGAGGGGTCTGGGAAGGCTCAGCAGGGAAGAGGCCTGTGGGAGAAGGGATGCTTGAAGAGAAGGAAGGCTTGGCAGGCCCTCAGGAGGGAAGGAGTGGCAAAAGCCAAGAGGCCGAGTGTGGTGGAGGTGGTGTCAAGGGCCCCAGTGGCCTGGGCACTGCAGGAAGCGAGAGCAGGCCCGGCAAGGCTGGGTTGGGGGTACTCTGCTCCGGGGGCTCTGTGTTGAGGGCCCTAGATGGGTATGGGCTAGAACGAGGGCAGAGGTGTGTGGCTAAAGCAGAAAAGGTGGGACGTGGGGAACAGTGGAGAGAGGACGAGTGAGGCTGGCGGTAGTGGGCAGCGGTGAGTGGCTGCGCCTAAATGGGGCCCTGTCCCACAGGCATGTGGCCTCAGTTCCGGACCATTCAGGAGAAGGAAGTCATCATCCTGAACAACAAAGAGTGTGACAATTTCTACCACAACTTCACCAAAATCCCCACTCTGGTTCAGATCATCAAGTCCCAGATGATGTGTGCGGAGGACACCCACAGGGAGAAGTTCTGCTATGTGAGCGGCCTCTCCTCGCTCACTCCCCTTCAGGGGCACCTGGGGGAGAGGCATCTGGGGAGGGAGAGCGGAACGGTGGAGGTTGGGTAGGGGAAGGGAAGGGGGTGGGCAGGACTCTGGGATATGGGGATGGAGGATGTCGGGGGAGACTGGGAGGAAACAGATGGGGGCTGGGAATGGGGATGGCTGTTGGAGGTGAGAGGAGTGGGGGGTCCGTGGGGAGATGGAGGGTGGGTGTTAAGAGGTGGGGGATGAAACCCTTTGAGGAAGAGCTCCTGGGTCTGGAGCACTTCTCACCTATGTTGGCACTGGGGGACTGTGGAGGTGTGGTGTGAGGACATCCCGCCTGTCCTGGAGCTGGGTCGTCTCTGGCCTTGCCTGGCCTCCCTGACCCTTACTCCCCCAACCCTTCCCACAGGAGCTAACTGGAGAGCCCTTGGTCTGCTCCATGGAGGGCACGTGGTACCTGGTGGGATTGGTGAGCTGGGGTGCAGGCTGCCAGAAGAGCGAGGCCCCACCCATCTACCTACAGGTCTCCTCCTACCAACACTGGATCTGGGACTGCCTCAACGGGCAGGCCCTGGCCCTGCCAGCCCCATCCAGGACCCTGCTCCTGGCACTCCCACTGCCCCTCAGCCTCCTTGCTGCCCTCTGACTCTGTGTGCCCTCCCTCACTTGTGGGCCCCCCTTGCCTCCGTGCCCAGGTTGCTGTGGGTGCAGCTGTCACAGCCCTGAGAGTCAGGGTGGAGATGAGGTGCTCAATTAAACATTACTGTTTTCCATGCCTCCTTCTTCCCCGGCCTCAGAGGCCCCACGTTTCCTGGGCCTGCTCTGTTGGGAGTCCACAGGTGAACCAGATGAGGGTGAAGTGGGGAACTCCAGGCAGTTTACACTGAAAATTGCAGAGCCTCCAGGATCTCCCCCATTCAAAGGTTCGGGGTGGCTCCCGCAGAAGGTGGAGGGGGTGTGAAGGGGTGATATTAGGGTCAGATGATCGAGGGGCCTGGAACATACCGCCCAGGCTGAAGCTGGGGCTGCCAGGACCCAGCTGGGGTGCAGCTGTCTGGGCTGGAAAGTGGGTGCTCTTTCTGTGATAACTGTGGGAGTCGGGCTTTCCTTGACTTTGGCTGATTTCTGGCAAGAGGCTAGAACACAGCATTTCATTGCCCCAAAGAGCCATAGTGAACTTTGACCCTCTGTCTCTGTCTCCTGTCTGGAGACAGTGACAGACACCCACTGGAGTCAGATGTTATTCCAACCACCAGCAGCCAGGCCTGCCCATAAAAGGCTAGTGGTGGCCCCATGTCAGGGGAAGGGCAGGTGGAGCCTAGGCCTGGACTTCCCCAGTCTTCAGCAACTGCTGCTCTGTGTGACCCTGAGTGGCCCCTACCCCTCTGGACTTCTGCTGCCTGGCCACATGGGAAAATTCTGCATAAATAGAATGGCCTTTTTCACCCCTATGTATGAGAAGCCCATGGGTTGGACCCCAAGGGCAGAGGTCGGTCAACTGCCTCCATCTGGTGTCAGAGTCCTCAGCTTCCATGGCGGGGCCTTTGGCCATGGCTCTGCCCCTCACTGCTCCTAAGACCCCATGTCATGCGCTTTCCTCATCAGCCTGGATCACTCTCCTCCCTGTACAGTGATGATCCAGGTCCAGGTCAGGAGCCAGGTTTGACTCTTCTGTGTCCCCAGCACTGGGCACAGACCATCACAGGTCTATTGAAAATCATGAATGCAGCCTTGTGAACTCAGCACCCAGAGAGCTGGCAGCGTCCCTCCCGAGTCCTGTGCCTGCCTCCGGGATGGGCCCAGGTGACTGCAGCTGCCCCTCAGCCTCTTGGCTCCCATTTCTCCCTCTATCTCATCCTAATTCAGGCTGGCAGAAGAGTCAGGGAGGGGACTTTGGCCTGGCCTGAGCCATCTGTCACTGACTGCTGCATCACCCTCCACATAAATGCCCCAGGAATAGCGCATCCTGAGGGGTCATCTCAGGAGGCCATTTTCTAGGCCTGGCTCTGAGAAGGCAATCAGCTTTATTCACAAATCTCTGCAGGCTGCTTTTCCAGCAGGCTCTCCTGGCTCAGAAACCTCTGGTGTCTCGAGACCTTAGTGTTCAGGCCTAGGTTTCAGAGCCTTAGTCTGTTCGATGCCATCTGGAAGTGCCTCTGTGCATCTTCCCTCCCCCAGGTGCTATTTGGGCCTTTGTCTTCTGGTCAGAGATGCTTCTTTTAGGTGCCCGTAGTGGGAAATGGTAGAAGAGGAAGCTGCAAAGAAGCTGGCACTGTTATGGTCAGCAGGCAGAAGGCCCTGCTGTGATCTTCTAGGGCCCTGGGACCTCCCAGCACAGCTGGGCATAGAAGGGGCCACCAGAACAGCCCGAGGTCCCCCTTGGCTTCTTAAATATACTCTGATTCCCAAGAGGAGCCCAGACTCCAGCTCTCTTTCCGGCACCCTCTAGCCCATTGGCCTTAGCTCTGTGTACCCCTGACCCAGCCCTGCAGCCCCCAGCCCCGAGCTCGAGCCTCGGGGCCTCATGCCGGGCCTGGCAGCAGCCTCAGCTTCATCACAACGTGTGAAATGAGGGTAGCCCATTGCCTTGAGCTTGATGTCTGCTGGGCTGGGGGTTCCATTTCTGAAGCCACCTCTACTTACTCCCTTGAGCTGGATCCCCTGCCAGGCTTGGGGAAGTCTTCTCACCACTGGGGCTCCTCCCTGGCCAGACAGAGTCCCTCCTGCTGCCACAGTGTCCCCCAGTGACCCTCTCTGCCTCCTCATGGCTACTCTGGGTGTGGCCTCACACCCTGACCCATGCACTTCAGCCATTTCGTGCCAGAAAGGGTGGCTGAAGTAACCCCATATCCCATTACTCCTTCACAGCCACTGCCATCCCTGGCAGAAAGGGTGGGAGACAGGCAGGTCTGGGTGGGGAGAGCAGTGTATCTGCAGAGGGACGGTGGCACCAGACCACCTCTGCCGAGACAGTACCCATGTGGATGGGGTGAAAGGAGCCAAGCCTAGGCTGGGGGGCAGGACACCTACGAGATTGTCTGGTTCCTGCCCCTGATGGGCCATGAGGATGTGGCCATGGGCCTCAGCTTCCCTCTCTGACCACAGCCTCTGTGGTCCCCAAATGAGCTCAGAGTCCAACATGCCTGGACCCCGGCCACGGCTTGAGCTCCAGGGCCCGCCAGCCCAAGCTGCCCAGGATGTCTTCATTTCTCTCCTTTCTTCTTCTTGGCCTCATTCTTCTCATCCTCCTCTACTTTGATGGCCACTGTGTCCACACTGTCCTTCTTCTTCTTCTTCTTCTTCTTCTTATCCTCTGTGGGGCAGGGGGAAGAGACCATGTGATAGTGGTGAGACAAGGTCCTGGGGTCTGACTGTCCTGAGGGGAAGAGCCCCAGAACCTCCTACACTCTGCCTTTTTCTTCCTTCTTCCTACTGGAGAATAGGCTCATCGTTCTATTTGCCTCATGCCAACCAATTTCTGTGCTCTGGTCTCCAGGGGCAGGGCTGGGGCCCCTCCCTGAACCTGCTTTGGTTGGAGCAGAGGAACAGGGTGACTCCAGGCAGCAGGACTGAGGAACTGGCTGGCGCAGCAGGGCTCAAGCCAGGGCCAACTCACCTCCTGGGACTTCTGTGAGCTCATTGAGGGGTGGCACAGTCTCCAGCTTGTCTGTGTACATCTTGGCTGCCTTTCGCTGCAGGTACCGGGCTTCGATCTCCTTCCGGGTCCGTGGCACACGACAGTTGAAGACACAGCACAGCGTGATGACTGTAGGGAGGACAGAGCAGGCTTGGCTGGGGCTGGGGTTCAGAGACCCAAGGAATGGCATCCGCCTTCCTTCAGGCCCGCCCCCATCCACCCACATGTGTCTCACCCACCAGACCCTGGCAGGAGGCTCAGCATCTTGACAAAACCCCTGTGGACCCTATGATGACCAAGGTGGCTTTCCTAAGCAGGGCTGACTTCATGCAGCTGCACAGGCCCCCGTGCTTGGAAGGGACCCTGGCTAAATTATGTCACCAGTCCTGGTCCTGAGGGTCTTTCTGACTAGACTGAGAGTCACTGGAGGGTAAGGCAGAGGTCTGCACCATGACTTAAGCCATAGCTTCCTGGGGGCCATCCAGCACTTCCAACCCAGGCCTCCGGGTGTGCAACTTAGCTTCTCCTTCCCACACCACTGAGAGCTAGGCCAAAGTTGCCTCAGTCATGAGAGGACGTGGCTCTGCATGTCCTCCTCAGCCTCCCTGAGGACATCCCTGGGCTCTCCCTGGCTAGGGCGGGAGCCCATGAGAGGGCACAGACCCTGCCCTGAGGCATTCACCTCAGACGGAGTTATTTCAGGAGTGGTTTTCCGGCTGAGGGCAGCTGCACCCACGCCAGTTGGGCCAGGTCATGGAGCTGGCCTGTCTAGGGATGGGTAGGGCAGGTTAGGGCTGCCAGGACCTGGCTGGACTGAGTTTATTTTCCTAAGGCCCCCACAGCCTGACCACCTTGGCCCCAGCCCTAGAGGAGGGGATGGAGCTGGTTCCTATTATAAATCAGATGACCAGACATAACTTCCTGGCAGACTCCTGGGGGCAGAAGGGCCCACGGAGGATTAACCAGGTCTATTTTGGGGAAGATGGATCAGATCTATGTAGCCTGGACTGGAGTACCTTCTGGGGTCATTTTATGCAACCAAGTCAGAACCCCTTCAGACAAATATTGTGGTCCTACTAGGTCTCACCCAGGCTCAGAATAAAAGAAAAAAATCAATGAATGAATGAATGGGATGATCTCAAAGCCTTTGCTGTTGGGAACAGGACTGGACTAGAGTGAATGAATTGGGGAGCCAATAGCATCCAGGCATACACTTGGAGGAGGGTGCTGCACAAGGGCCCCAGCTATAGATCCGACTGTCCAGGGGTGGACCTGAGCAGACAGCAGGCCTTATCCAAGAAGCTGGGTCCTGGATTTCTCCAGAACCTGTGTTCATGCCTGAGACTCGAAGTTGGTACCCAATCCTAACCCTCCCGGCTTAGGCCACCTCTTCTAGCCACCCCACCAGGAACCTCCTTGGGACTATGCCCACTCAGGCTCCATGCAGGCTGGTCCCAGGCCCCGGGAGGCTGGGGCTTCCTAAGGAGCTCAGTGGGCCACTGACGGCAGCCAGAGCCGGGCTCAAACACCACCCCTCACTTCAGGCCTGCCCCGCACAGCCTGGCCTGTTTGCTTCTCTTCAAAGAAGGGGAGATGCAAAGAGCTTTGGGTCAAGTTCCAGGGCCCAGGCAGGGGCTTGGGATATAAGTCCCTGGGGCTGGAGGAGACCTCCAGGGGCACCCCATCTAGCCCCAGCCCCTTTTCCTGCAGGGCTTTGGGGGTGATGCTCCAATAACAGCCCAGGCAGACTGGGAAGCAGGAAAAATGTTTCCCCCCAGGAGAGGGAGCTGTGTTGCCCCCACTGCCTAGATCCGGCAATGGAAGGTAACAAGTGCTGCCTGCTGCTCAGGTGTCTTGGGACTATCCTTTACCCTTTCTAGGAAATGGGGTTAGAGATGGTCTGTGTGGTTGATGTCCAAGTGCCGCTTGGGGTCTGACACTGCAATTTTCTCATGTGGCCCCAGGCACCTTTGTTGTGTCTTGAGGCCCACAGTGCTCTCCCTGCTGCTCCGTAGACCTGCATCCTAGGCTGTGCCTGTGGCTCCTGTAGGGCAGATGACCCCCGAGCCCTGCAGCGGGCTGTTTCCCTCTCTGGACACCTGGCTGAGGCTGCAGGCACACCTATCTGTCTGTGGGGCCTCCACAAAGATGCCTGACTGGTTCTCAGCCTCGGCTGGGAACAAAGCACAGGCTCTTGCTCAGATGGGGGGCGGGGATTTTCTGCAGGGCAGATATTTTCTCTTGGGACAGCACTTCTGGTGCCAGGAGAAGCACGTGCAAATCAGATGTCACGTCTTCCTTGGAGCCCCTCACATCTGGGTGGGCTCTCTGTGGGCCACCCAGCTCTCTGGGGCACCTCATCCCGGGACAGCTCCGGCTGGGACGAAGTGCAGCTTTTGCCTCCCCACCCAGGGTGCACTCAGCAAATGTCCAGTTGGGTTCATCTGAGACCCTGCGTGAGGCTGCATTTCCTCCAGCCTCTGCTCACATCCCCTCTCCCGGAATGCCTTTCCAGCCTTCCCTCCTGCAAAACCCCACCTACCCTCCCACCGGTCTGCAGCTCAGAGGACCCTCCTCCTCAGAGGACCCTCCTCTGTGATGCCTTTGCAGGGGAGTGGGCTGCTTCTCCCTTTACCTCCTACATTCCCCCCCACTCTGCTTTTGCCTCGTGGGAACCTCTGTCAGACTGCTTTGTGCCATGGCAGCCTCCCCACTTGGCCTCTGTCTCCTGTGCCTTTCTGTCCCCTTCCCCAACTCCAGACCTCCATTCTGAGGGGAGGGCTAAGGGGAGCCGGCCAAGCCCATTTCTGCTGCGACTTTGCATCAAGAAGCTCCCAGAGCCCAGGAGAGGAATGGGTTTCCTGCTTTTAATTGAGGCGGGTGTGAGTCACTCCCGGAAAATGGTATTTGACAAGGCAGGGATTGAAGCCTGGGAGCCACATCTGCTGGGTGTCTGGGGAGCCTCTAGTGGAGGATGGCCTTGCTGGGGCCCCTGGGTGTGGGCCTTTAAGCTGGCCAAACTGCAGGAAAAGCATCAGGAGGCCAGCCATAGGGAAAAATGACACGTCCTCGTCCCAGTCCTTGGTTCAGTGGAGTTCCCTGTAATTACCATAATTGCCATGTGGCTACCTCCCTGGGTCCTGCAGAATACTTCAGGTCACCACCGGCCTGTCAGCCCTCCACGGGGAGTTTGTGTGGATCAGGAGGTGCCAGAAACCACCGCGGGTCTCCTGCGGGTGCCTGGCCTACTTGCACTGCCCGGAATTGCTGCTCTGAGCCCTCTGGGGGGCAGGGGGTGCTGTGTTCCCACTGCAGTGTGGTGGAGAGGGAAGGGAACAGCTACTCACTGATGGACAACACGAAGAGCGAAAAGATGCCCACCACGTGCCACAGGCGCATGTCCCAGAACACCACTGTCTCCTTGGTCAGCGGAGGCGGCTTGGGCTTGGGTGGGGCCGTGCTGGGCTGTGGGTCAGGAGAGAGGGGAGTGAGTTAGGCAGAGGCCAGCTGGCTGGAACCAGCTGAGAAGGGCCCAGGTCTCAGCAAACACTCAGCCCAAGCATATCAGAATCTCCTAGAATCAACTCTCTTAAGCATGCACTACCAACACCCTAGACCTTGGAAAGTTCCAGATTTAGAGCAAGAGAACTGAGCAGAGCCAGGTACTTGAAGTGGGAGGGTGGTTGATGCTTGGGGAAACCAAGGCCTGGAGGAGCAAATGTGGATGGCTTGTCCTGGCCAGGTTCAAGGCCCCTATGAACACACCCTCCTACTCCAGTCCTGGGCTCCACCCAGGCAGATGGGGTCTCAGGACCAAGGCCAGAGACAAGGCGAGGCCTGGGGGGTGCTGGCTAACTGGCTTTGCTCTCACATCTCCCCAGTGAGGGTGGGGTGTGGAGCTAGGAGTCTGGGCCACATAGTTCTGCCAGCTGGCCTGGACCCCTGCCAGGTGGCCTCCTTTGGTCGCCTACCCTACTAGGAGTCACTCTGAACAGAAGACTCTCCCAGAGTGTCCACAGGACAGGCACTGGATAAATAAAAGGTCTGCAGTGCTGTGGCGACACCTGGAGGCCAAAAGGCAGAAGTGCGGCTGTAGCAAGCCTGAATAGAGCACAGCCAGACACTCCCACTTTCCAGGTGGACATGACCCTGCCCTGGGGGACTGAGGGGATAGGACACTGCCCCAGGGTCTAGAGGACACAGTCCTGCCCCAGTTCTGAGAGGACATGGCCTCATCCTGGATATCTAAGGGACATGGCCCAGCCCCAGGTCTGAGAGGACACAGCCCTTCTCCTGGGTGTCTAGGGGACATAGTTCTGCCCAGGTCTGAGGGGAGACAACCCTGCTCCTGGCTGTCTAGGGACATGACCCTGGCCCTGGGTGTCTAGGGGACATGGTCCACCCTGGGTGTCTAGGGGACATGGTCCACCCTGGGTGTCTAGGGGACATGCTTCACCCTGGGTGTCTAGGGACATGACCCTGGCCCTGGGTGTCTAGGGGACATGGTCCTGCCCTGGGTGTCTAGGGGACATGGTCCACCCTGGGTGTCTAGTGGACGTGCTTCACCCTGGGTGTCTAGGGACATGACCCTGGCCCTGGGTGTCTAGGGGACATGGTCCACCCTGGGTGTCTAGGGGACATGGTCCACCCTGGGTGTCTAGGGACATGATCCTGCCCTGGGCGTCTAGGGGACATGGTCCTGCCCTGGGCGTCTAGGGGACACGGTCCTGCCCTGGGCGTCTAGGGGACACGGTCCTGCCCTGGGCATCTAGGGACATGGTCCTGCCCTGGGTGTCTAGGGGACATGGTCCTGCCCTGGGTGTCTAGGCGACATGGTCCACCCTGGGTCTCTAGGGGACATAGTCCACCCTGAGTGTCTAGGGACATGGTCCACCTTGGGTGTCTAGGGGACATGTTCCTGCCCTGGGTGTCTAGGGACATGGTCCTGCCCTGGGTGTCTAGGGACATGGTCCTGCCCTGGGTGTCTAGGGGACATGGTCCACCCTGGGTGTCTAGGGACATGGTCCGCCCTGGGTGTCTAGGGGATATGCTTCACCCTGGGTGTCTAGGGACATGGTCCACCCTGGGTGTCTAGGGGACACGGTCCTGCCCTGGGTGTCTAGAGGACACAGCTCTACCCTGGGTGTCTAGGGGACACAGTCCTGCCTAGGTCTGAAGGGACATGGACCCACACTGTAGAATTTGAGTAAGATCTGTCCCTGACCAGAGATGGATATGACCCCATGTCTGTCACTTAGTGTGGCTGAGGGACAGGGAGAGGGGTCTGTCCTCTGAGGGAGAGAGAACCCTGGGGCATATGAGCGAGATGTTGTGCACTGATTACTAAATAAGGACAGACACGAGAAGTCCCTTCTGGTTCTCTGAGAAGAAAGGCAACCTGTAGTTCGACCATCCAGCCCTTCTTCCCCCAGGTCCGTAAACATGGATTAGGCATCTGTCATGAGCCAGGCGCTTCTTCATCTAGTGAATGCCACCCTTCAGCGTGGGTTGCAGAACTCAAGAGAGGATCAGCAACCTGTCCCAGGTAACCCAGAGGATCTGTGGGCTGGGATTGGTACCTGATTCTCAGGCTCTTTTCTCCCTGCCAGGGTGAGCTATTGACAAGAAGACACCATTCCTCAGTACTTTCCCCTGGATATATGTGTGGGGTCAGACATGTACATAAAGTTGGGGAACATGTGTGAGGTTGGGCACATGTGTGGTTGGCATGCATGTGGGTGTGGTCAGGGACATGTCTGTGCCATTAGGGTTAGGGCCCTGATGGTGGCAGCTGCCCTAATTCTAAGGCTCAATGTGTTGGCCCGGCTGGTTGTATGACTGGAAGACTCTGAGGGCCATGGCAAAGTTCTCAGGTTCTGAGCCAAGGCAGCTCACTTCCTACACATTCTTGCCCCAGCCCTGATGTGGGTGGAGCTGGGCCTACTCTTACTGATAGGGGTCTTGGGTGGACGGCAGCAGATGACAGCTGGTCTTCTCCTCATGTTGGGCCCTGCTGGGGTCTGATTTCTGGAGCATGGAGGTCCCCACCTCCTTCAGAGCCTCACGGGCTGATGGAGGGTGATGGTGACCCACACAGGGCTAAGGTGGGTGGTGACATGGCCCCCAGCCCTGCCCATGTCTTTGGTGCTTCCGTGAGGGAAGAGCTAAGGCCTTGCTCAGACTGTAGGCAGATGTCAGGCAGATGGCCTCCAAATGCAATTTCCCTAGAACTGGGAAAAGATGAGTTCCTGGGGGTGAGGGAGAAGAGTCCTTGGCTGAGAACTGACTTAACCCCCACCCCCAGCTTTCTGTCTGCACCTAGGCCAGCTCAGTTTCTGTACCCAGGCCTCAGGGCAGCCTGTGAGGGGCCCAAGTACGCCTCACAGGGCTCAAGCCAGCATAGCTCCCCTTACAGGGACACTGGAGCTGACACCTGACTCTAGCCCAGCCTTGTGGTCATGCCCTCTGGGCAACAGCAGGGACAGGCTACATCTGGGTCCAGGGCTCTGTCCCTATGTCCCCATCAAACCCTCCAGTTCAGGGCTGTGTCCCCCCATAACAACTTCCCCATGGCTCTGTCCTCTCTATCCCACACTGTCCCCAAGCCCCCACCCCTCAGGACTTCCCTGGGCACCTCTCACTGCCTCTTGCATTTCTGTTTTCCTGCTCCCTCTGGTCCGCCCCTGCCTGCACAGCCTCCATCCCCTGCTCCTCCCTGGCCCTGGCTCCTGGGCCTTCTCCCTCTGGCCTCACAATTCAGAACTCTAGGTCTGGTCTGCCAGCTCCCTCGTTGGCTCCCCTTTCAGGCTCCGCAGGAGTGGGGTACAAGGGGGTTAGGGAGGCTACAGATGGCCCCACCCTTCCTGGCCCCAGCCAGGCTCTCCACCAGGGCTCTCCCCCAGCTTCTGTGCTATCTCAGCAGCTCCTCCCACCTCTCCCACTGTGTGCCTGCTCCCAATTTACCCTCCTTCCAAACCAGAACTCATCATGACTTGTCCCTGAGCAGAAACCTTCTAAAGCTCCCGGTTATCACCAGGACCAAGTCAGACTTCCCAGTCCCTAGGTCCTGCCCTGCCTGCCCCTCTGGACCTAGTGCTCCACATAGCTTCTCTGTAAAGGGTCTCCTCATCCTGCTGCCCCCACCCTCCAACTTGGAATGCCCTCGTCTCCATCTTAAGGCTATGTCTCCCCCTCCATTAGACAGGGGTCCCTGGAACATCTCTGGAGATAGAGGCTGTTGCCTCCAGAAGACCCTAAATTCAGGGTCTGTTCCATCAGACTAGAGGTCCAGGAAACCCAGGGCTGTGCACCTCCCTGCCAGTGAGACCAAAGGCTGGAGGATGGGGGCCCAGTATCCCCCATCAGTCTGGGCAGGGCTGTGTCCCCAAGTCAGGCTGGGAATCCCTAAGGTCAAGGTGAGTCTCCCCCGTCAGACTAATGTTCCAGAAATCGGGTACTGTGCCCTTCCATCAGACCAGGGACCCTAAGAGTGGGGCTGAGTCTCTCTCACAGCCTGGCAGGGCTTGGGGCAGGGCTGCATCGCCCGGGAGACTGGATCTCTCAGGGCAAGAGTAAGGGATCAAACAAGCTCCGGATCAAAAAGGCGTCCCCTCTCCCCCAGCCCCCTGCCTGGAGGGTGACAGCCTCCCCAGTCCCTCCGTGCCGCGGCCTCACCTCCACCAGCTGCCCGGCAACCCCCGCGAGGCACACCCCGAGTGCGGCGCCGCCCAGCACGCAGAGGGGACCCGCGCCCGGCCACCCCGCCATCTTCGTGCCACCGCGCCGCTTGCGGAGCCCAGGGACGAACGGGCCGGCCGCCGGTCACTGCCCCTGCCAGCCGGCGCTCGGTGGCCACGGGCTTTGGCCACGGGTAGTCAGCGAGCATCATTTATTCATCCTCGGTGTCAGGTTCCCGCGCCGCCCGCCCCCGCCATCGCTGCGGTGGAGGGCCCGCCCCCTCCTTCCCGGGAGATCGGGCCGCAGGCTCCCCCTCCCTGCCCCCACCTTCCGCATCCCCAGGGACACTGAGGTGGGGGTGGGCGGGAGGGAGGACAGGCTGGGGCCAGGTCCCTAATCAACAGGTCCCCCTCCCTTCTGCAAATGGGCCTCAGTTTCTCCATCTGGGACAAGGGGGTGGGACTGGAATCTGCTGATCTAGGAGGCCCTTCCCATTCTGTCATGCTGGATTTGAAAAATATACTGGATTTGAGTTTGGGGGGGGGGCAGAGCGGGCAGGTTGCCATGGTGACAGGCGCTCAGGGATGTC
Organism: Homo sapiens; assembly: GCF_000001405.40. NCBI lineage: Eukaryota > Metazoa > Chordata > Mammalia > Primates > Hominidae > Homo > Homo sapiens. The sequence goes on along the minus strand of NC_000003.12, from coordinate 46,700,988 downwards.
CTGGGCTTTCTGGCTTGGCTTCCTGCCCAGAGGCGGCTCTGGTCACCCTGGACACCAGAGCTGGAGAGCAGGGGATGGTATGGTCAGAGCTGCCAGCCGGCAGTGTTATGGAGGGTTCCAGAAGAAGCCAGCATCTTCAGCCCCACAGGACAGAAGTGGGCTGTCCCTGGAAGGGCTGGAGGACCATTTTCTGACCCTGGCTGCCCTCAATCTCTGCCCCAGCCTGAACACTGACTCTGACTTCAGTCTAAGCCAGGACCCTGACCTCATGCTGAAGTTGACCCACACTGCACTCTGGCCCTGACCCCATGTTGAGCCTTGACAACTGAGGGACAGAGGGAGGTTCTGAGGAGATGTAGAGACCTGGGTGGGGGCTGAAGACTTAGGAAGAGGAGTGGGGAGGCCTGGAGTTGGTAGACTCCCCTTCCCTCCTTTTCTTCCTTCCTTCTATTCTTATTTATCTCCTGCTGCTGAGTGTTAGGAGAAGCAGCCCAGGTGTTGGGCCCCTGGAACCCTTATCACCAGGGGCACTGGTGAAGGCCTGCGCAGGCTGGGGATGGCCCAGCAAGGCCTGCCCTGAGAACCAGGGAGACCCTGTGGCTCCAGAGCCCTGTGAGGTTCTGGCCTGGACATGCCATGAATGGGCAAGGACCACAGCAGGCTGCAGCAGGGAGCGGAGGGCCACCTGCGGTCACCTGCCAGTGTCAGGGCCCGGAGATGACAGCCAGGCAGGAAAACGAGAGCTGTTGGAGAAGGACTGCAGCCCAGGAGACCCATCGAGGAAACGCTCAACAGTGGGAGGTAAAGTCTGGGGACTGAGTGGGCTGGGCCACCCAGTCCTCCCCAGGCATGCCCTGGCCAGGCAAACAGGAACTCTGCTAAAATCCAAATCACTTGTTGCAGCACTCCAATCCCCACTTCCTCATGCTGCTGGTCACAGGCCAGGCTAGGGAAAGCCACACTGACCAGTCAGGGAGGTCACCCTCGGGACATGGGGTCAGGGAGGCTGGACAGGGTGAGGACTAAGTGAGCCTGTCAGTAATGCACTGAGCAAAGCATTACTCCTCTGTTTCTGTTTCTTATCCATGGCATGGGGAGGGTGAGACTCCCATGATTGATGTGAGGATGATATGAATTAATGAATATGGGAGTGCTGGCTCTCCTTAGCAGGACAGGCAGTGCTCTGCTGCTTACAGGCTCCCAATCACAGCTCAGCCCAGAGGAGAGCTGTTTCTGTTTTCTGTAAAGTTCATCCATCCATCAAGAAGTAGGGCAAGCCTAGTGAAGAAATCTGAAAGAAAATACAATCATATGTGTCCCCCGGTGTTCCCTGAGATGGCCACTGCTCTGCGTGGGTTCCACTTCTCTGCAGACTCCTGAACACAGCTGAGATCTTACAGTACACTATTTCTAGTATACTTTTGTACCCAGAACTTTTTTTAACCAACTCAAGTACTCTAGATCCTCCTTGACCCCACCACAGCCAAATACTATCACACGGGCTTCAAAATCAAACTGACTGAACTTAAACAGCAGGGTGTCCCAAAAGTCTCAGTGCAGTTGTAAGCTTTAATAACCTCAGAAGTATAAAGCTACAAATGTATGAGAAACACCATTTAGCCAGGCATGGTGGCTCACACCTGTAATCCCAGCACCTTGGGAGGCCGAGGTGGGCAGATCACCCGAGGTCAGGAGTCGAGACCAGCCTGACCAACATGGAGAAACCCCATCTCTACTAAAAATACAAAATTAGCTGGGTGAGGTGGCACATGCCTGTAACCCCAGCTACTCGTGAGGCTGAGGCAGGAGAATCGCTTGAACTCGGGAGGCGGAGGTTGCGGTAAGCCGAGATCGTGCCATTGCACTCCAGCCTGGGCAGCAACAAGAGCGAAACTCTGTCTCAAAAAAAAAAAAAAAAAAAAAAAAAATAAGAAACACCATTTGAAAGTTTAAGTTTCCTTTTGTGCCCTCTGAAGATGGTAAAAGTTGACTGAAAGAAATTTAAGTCGGCTGAGTGTGGTGGCTCATGCCTGTAATCCTAACACTGGGAAGTTGAGGTGGGAGGAATGCTTGAGACCAGGAGTTTGAGACCAGCCTAAGCAATATAGTGAGACCCCTGTCTCTCTAAAAAATAAAAAATAAAAAATAAAAAAAGAAAAGAAAAGAAAAAGAAACTTAGGTCATTCAAAATTCACAAAACTAAAGTAGCATAAGAGAATTTAAACAAACTTTCCAAAAAATTTTTTGGTAAATTCATAGCTTTATATGTCCTAACTTCTGAAGTTGTTAAAGCTTAAAACTGCACTAAGGTTTCTGGGACATGAGCATACTGCCGGCTGTGAACCCTCAGGTGGGCTACTTAACCCCTCTGAGCTTCAGTCCCTCATCTGTAAAACAGATATAATTCAGGATCATGGGCCAGGTGCAGTGGCTCACACCTTTGGGAGACCAAGGCAGGAGGATCATTTGAGCCCAGGAGTTCAAGACTAGCCTGGGCAACATAGCAAGACGCCATCTCTATTTTTTTTTTTAATTCAGTATCATGCACCAGCATATCACAAGCCTTCATTAAACGCTAGTCATTATAATTATTATCATTCTTGTTAAAGGCTGTGTGATACTACACTGTATAAAAACTCAGCAAGGGCCAGGTGCGGTGGCTCACACCTGTAATCCCAGCACTTTGGGAGGCTCAGGTGGGCGGATCATGAGGTCAGGAGATCGAGACCATCCTGGCTAACACAGTGAAACCCCATCTCTACTAAAAATACAAAACATTAGCCGGTAGCACGTGCCTGTAGTCCCAACTAGTCGGGAGGCTGAGGCAGGAGAATTGCTTGAACCCAGGAGGTGGTTGCAGTGAGCTGAGATGGCGCCACTGCACTCCAGCCTGGGCGAAAGCAAGACTCCATCTCAAAAAAAAGAAACAAAACAAAACAAAACAAAAGAAACAAAAAACCTTGTTGGATCTCTGTCCTATTGTTGGACATTTCCATTGCTTCCAATTCTCCAGTATTAAACACCACGTTAAGGCGAACATCCTGAAAGTTAAAGTAGTTTTGAAAACTCTCTCAAACTATATCTTTTCCTCTGCTCGTACACCAACACAACAACAATCATCCACACAGAAGTCTTCTGTGATCAAATGTGTGGGTTTTTTCCCTAAATGCCAAGCAGCAGACACCAACTGAGTGCCTTCCAATTCGATTCTGACATGATCTACCCGGAGATAGTGTCAGATCCCACAGATTGAGGCCTCAGTTCCCAAGACTGCCCACCCAGCCCCAAGACACCAGTTGCCAGTCTGGCCTCTGGAACTTCTGACCAACTGGCTTCACGCTGGGGTTCCTACAACCTCCTCTTTGGGCTTAATTTGCTGGAGTGGGTCACAGAACTCAGGGAAGCACTGACTGACTTTTACTGGCTTACTGTAAAGGGTATTACGAAGGATACAGCTGAAGAGATGCATAGGGCGAGATATGGAGGAAGGGGTATGGAGCTTCCATGCCCTCCTGGGCATGCCACCCAGCCTCCACACGTTCAGCTATTCAGAAGCCCTCTGAACCCTGTCCTCTTGGGGTTTATGGAGGCTTCACGACATCTGCATTCCTTCCTCCCAGAGTATAGGGCAGGACCCTCTCTGGGGAGGGTCTTAAGACTCGCAATCAGAAAGGTGTGGGAAAATTAGGGTCCTGACTTGGGGCAGGTGAAAGCAGAGCAGGAGAAGGTCAGAGAGATTCCGTTTCCTGGGGCCTGCCCTGAGGCCCAACACATTATAGCCAAAGACCGTAACAAGGGCAATGGGAGCTATGAGCCAGTAGCCGAGGATGAAAATCAATACCTAACACCACATGGGTTTTTTTTTCCCCCATCTTTGAGGGACTTTACATCTCTGAGGGCTTTTCAGTGAGGAATTTAAGCTCATAGAGGGGTTATGCCCTGCCTAAGGTCACACAGGAACTATGGCCTCCACCTCAGCCTTTGCCTCCAACCCAGGACACTGCTCAGTGTCCAGTACTGTTTCTGCTTCTTAGGAGGCCTCCACATCCCCCTGCACCCCAAAATCAGTTGGGCCCATCATATCTGGGGTTGGGGACCTCTGGACTCCAAGTCCCCCACCCTTGCTCCCTGGAAGACAGTGTCCCCTCCATACATGGTGCTGTGAATGCTGGTCTGCAGATCCCTGCTTCTCCCTCCTGTACTAATTTTAGCTCCTGTGAGTTTCCTGTAGGGACCCAGTCCAGCCTCCAGGGCCTCTGAACTGGAAGCTGTGAGCAAGGCAGGGGGTAGTGGCCAGAGGACCCTGTGGAATGTTCTCTCCTGGAGCCTGAAATCCCAGGGCTTAAAGTTTAGCTCTGGGGGAGCTGGGGGTAGGAAATGAGGACCCCCAGTCACAAAGCTAGGCTAGGATCCAGGGACTCAGCCTAGGGTGGGGGTGGGAGCTGGGCAGCCTAGGCCTGTGCCACAGCAGCTGGGGCCTGCTGGGAGTTGGCTGTCCCTGACCTCATCAGCCCCAGGCTCAGCTCAGAATAGCTGTGGGGCTGGGCCAGGCCTGTGTCAGACCTGCGTGTGCTTGAGCATGTGCTTTGTGTACTAAGGCACTGGTGCACATGGGAGTGCATGTGCATTCTGCATGCAGCTTTGTGTGTGGCTGGGTATGAGTCTCAATGGCTCCAGAATCACAGGTGCCATTCACATACGTGTGTGTTCCCTGGAGTAGTGTGCAGGTCTGTGTCCCTGTGGATGGGCACATGATCTGCACACGCATACCCAGGGCTGCCACTAGAGTTGTGCAACTTGGAGTCCTTACCAGTGGGTTCAATGGTAGATGGGTCCATGTGGCACAGGGACCCACCCATTCCCTGACTGTGGAATTGTATCTGTGTGCAGCGGGTGTGGGAGTGGTGTGGGTGGGTATACACATCTGTGGTGGGATTGGCTAGGGGCCCTTGGCTGTGCTGCAGGGGACTGAAGGCAGGTGGACTCAGCAGAGGCTGTCCTTTGGGCACTACCAGAGGCCTTACCTGGCCCCAAGCCAAGAATGAGCTGTAAGAGAGGCTGGGCAGGTCTTGCCCCATTTAGCAGATAGGAAAACTGGGCTTGCAATGCCCATGAGGTCACCCAGGGAATGGGGGAAGGACTGGTCTGCTGCCCAGAGCTCAGTCAGCCTTTCTATTCCCCTAGATGTGGCTGAACAGGAAGTCTGTGCTCTAGGGAGGAAGCCGTGGGAGCCCTTCCCTTCCTGCTCGAGCCCAGGCAGCACTGCCTTCCCTCAGCTGCACGTGCAGATGATGAAAGTGAGGCCCAGAGACACCTAGCATAAGATCAGATCTGTCCTGCTCGGGGCCTTGCCCCACCTGTCCCTGTTCGTCACAAGTGGTGAGGCCATATGCTCCTCCTGAGGCCATGGCCACTCTCCAGCCCTTGCCTCCCTCCTAAGCCCCAGGGATGCCTGGTGGCCCACACCCATGCTCTAGGGGACCCATAGATCCTCTAAACCGTGCTCATCCCTGAAGGAGCCCCTTGAACCCACCATACCCCTCCTCTCAGAGTCCCACATAACCCCGAGAAGGAGGCGCAGGTAAGATATTTCACCAGCAGGGGCACTACGTTACAGAGAGGCCACACACTGCCTGTGATCACACAGCAAGAGGAAAGCAGCACAAGGCCCCATACCAGCTCTTCCAGAATGTACCGCTACCTCCCACTGCCCCACAGGCACAAAGGATCCCCACAGGGAAGACCTTGGAGGCCTGTTTAGAACCTGAAGCCTCAGTTCATTCCACCTGCTGGGGCGGTGGCTCTGCCAGGCTGTGCTGTAGACTCAGGGAGCCAAGTGCCCCAGCAGACAGTCCCGCAGGCCAACAGGGCTGTGAAGGGGAGTGGGGGCCAAGGTCCGGAGCCTGGGGGTGGAGGGCATGGGGAGGGGAGGCTTTCCCAGAGGGCCAGAGGGACACCTCACCAGAAGCCTCCTTGAGGTAGCCCCCACCCACCAACACAGCAACACCTCTAGCAGGCAGGGACCAGAGGAGCAAGGCCTTTGGGAGTGGAGCCCCTCAGGCAGCAGGGGGTGCAGAAGGGGGCAAGAAAACAAGGCTGGAAAAGGGGAGGCCAGAGCTAGGGCGGGCTTTGGCAATGTGGGGAGGGATGGAGAAGCAGGAAGGGGCGGCTCTGCAGGATTGGGACCCAGGAGGAGAGCAATGTGGGGCAAAAGGGTGAGGTCACTGGGACCTGCAGTCACTCAGACAAGGGTCCCAGGCTGGAAACCCTCCAAGGGGTGATGTGCAGCTTGGCAGACAGTAAACTCCCACCTCGCAACAACCCAAGGGAGCCAGGGGATGAGCTTGGCAGGCCCCAGGCCCCTACTTACCTCCACTGGGGGTCTCTTCAGCCTGGCAGGTTGGGGGATGCCTCCCACCTCCTCAGTAGGGGGCTGAGTAGGGGGCTGGTGGGCCACCCTTTCTGCTCTTCCACGGCCGCCTTGGACCCTGAGCCTCCCCCTCACTGGAACCTGAGTGCCACTGAGAGCAATGGGTGACTAACCTGGTGGCCAGAGGGGGAATCAGGCTGCTGACGGGGGGCTTCTTTGTTACAGGTTTGAACTAAGTTCCCTCCCGCTCCCGGGGGGTCTGTCCCAGATAAGTCTTCAGCCACCCTTTCCAAGGTCTCAGGCCTTCGCACAAAGCACACGCGGCCGGCTTCATGCTCTACTAGGCCTGTTGAGACTCAGGAGTGGGGAGGAAAGGGGACTTCCCCAAGGTCGCACAGGAGGGGCGGCCGGCCGTGGACACCCAGCCCAGGGGGCCGCAGGGCGCCTCAGTATACCCCTCTACAGGCTCCAAGTTCCACGAACCCACACAGCGCTCCGCGTGTGCTGGCTTCTGTGACTCAGGGCAGACCCGGGAGGTCACGGGGCTGCACCACAGGCTCGCAGAGCGACTGACTGGCGGGGCGAGGTGGTGGCACGGCGGCCTCGGAGCCTTGCAGGGGAAGCGGGGCGCGAGAGGCGAGCCTGAGTGTGCGCGTGGGTGCGTAGGGGGCGGAGGGGTCAAGACTCCCACTTTTCCTCCCCGCGCCGGGTCCCAGGGGCCTCCGGATCCCGGGGGACGCCAGAGGGAGGCCTCAGGAGAGGCTTGGGGCGGCGGGACGGATCAATACCGCGCGCCAGCTCCTCGGTGGCCCGCCCGTGGCCCCCGCAACTCCAGAGCAACACCCGGAGGCGGGGCGGGGCGGGGCTGGGCGAAGGGGGCGGGGCTGGCAGGGGGCGGGACTGGCAGGGGGCAGGGTGGGGGTGCGAGCGAGGAGCCGCACAGGCAGTCCCGGCGCGGGGCAACCACAGCGCTCAGGTAAGGGCGCGACGAAGGGCGCGCGTCTGCGGACGGGTGTCTGCGCTCCACGCTTAGCTCGTCCAGGTGGGGGCTCCCGCCTCCTCGGCTGCTGCGGTCCCCGCCCAGCTCCTTGGTCCCGGCGGCAGTCATCCCCCGGCCGTCCGAGTCCCTCGTAAGATACCCCGCTCACAGCGTCGTCCTCCCTGCCTGGCTGCTAGCCTGCTTGGGTTCGGGGCAGCGCCCCGGGCCTGACCTGAGCCGTGGTGGCAGGGCCACGGGGCCCCAGCCAGCAGGAGAGACTGCCAGGAGGAGGTGACGCCGGCTGGTTAGGGCGGAAGGGCCCGACCCGGGATTCCAGGAGGTGGCCTTTTCGCATGGGAGCGGCATGGCAAATGCCTGGCGGCCGGAACAGGAGCTCGGGTCTGGGAAACTCCAGCGACTGAGTGTGTGCCTGGGCAGGGAGAGGAAGGGAAGCTGGGACATATGCGACAGCAGGGAGGGGTGCTTGTCTAGGACAAGAGGCTTGTAGCCATGGTGGGGCCGAGGAAGGGTGCAGCGGGGAGAGGCGAGCATGAGACTGAGGGATCAGGTGTGACAGTTCAGCGCCCCCTCCCTGGGGCAGTGCGTGTCTCTACTCTCCCCCACTGGGCACCAGACAACGAAGGGGCTGCCACGGCAGCCCATGAAAAAGCCTCCACAGCAGGCAGAACTTCCCTGCCTGTTCAGACCAGGAAATACCAGAGTGAGTGAGTGTCACGACAAGGTGTGTCAGGGGCCTAAGGAGCCAGGCCTGGGAGAGGACAGGGAAGGCCCCAGTGACCCTGCCCGGGAGGGACCTAGCGTGGACAGAGGCCAGGAATGCAGAGGAGAGACCAGGTCTGGCTACTGGTTAGAGCGCCACAGGGGCAGCCGCTGACTCACCTGGGCACGCCGTGACTGGCCAGTTCTGTCCTCACCCTGCCCCACCCCACCGCACCCCGTGGTGAGCATCAGGGCTGCCTGAGGACAGCTGTGAGGCAGGGCCCGTCAGGATCTTGCTCTGTGCCTCAGGTGAGTTGCCCACCCTCTCTGAGCCATCTAGCTAGGTGAACCTGGTGGGCTGGAGCCAGAAGTCTGGGTCTGAGCCCTGCACAAGTTCTACACAAGGGTCTCTGGACCCTCCCATTGTTCCTGGGCCTCAGTTTCCCCATCTGTACATTAGGCACAGCCTGTCACTAAGGAACCTTTGAACTGGAGGGAGGGAGAGGGTGAGGAAGCTATGCCCTTGACTGGAAGGGGGAAGGTTAGGGATGGGACAGGGGTTGGGGAGGGGGGTACTCCTGCAGGATCCTCCTCATATTAAGGTTCAGCACCTCCTCCTCCTGCCCTGCAAACGTGCACACTCATGCACATTCACGCTGCCTCACCCCTGCACTTACACTCTCCTCATCACTTCCAGGATGAAGCCCCAGACTCCCTAGCCTGGGAGCTGGGTCCCTCAGGGTCACCTAACCAGAATCCCAGCTTCCACTGCGGCCTTCCCCCAACCCACTGCCTCACCAGCCATGCTTAACTTCTGCCCGTTCCTCTGGGTGGTGTGACTCAGTTTCCCAGGGTTATAGATCCCTTTGGGGCCACAGATGTGGAAGACTCCCAGATTAACAGTTGCCAACTTGAGTCTGGAGGACTCACCCCCGGAGTCATAGGCTGCTTTGTGGGGTGGGGAGTCTAAGGACCAGATCCCCACACCCAGAGAAGCCCCCTTCCACCTGTTTGTCCTTTTGAGGGGAGACTTAAGTAGTTTGAAAAGCTGTGATCCTCTTTGGCTGGGCGCAGTGGCTCACGCCTGTAATCCCAGCACTTTGGGAGGCCAAGATGGGTTGATCACTTGAGGCTAGGAGTTTGAGACCAGCCTCGTCAACATAGTGAGATCCCATCTCTAAAAAAAAAAAAAAAAAAGAATAGAAAGAAATACAAACAAATAAAAAGAAAAAAATGCTGTGATCTGGTTGAACCCCCATTTCGTAGAGGGGTGGCTGAGGTACAGAGAGGAGTAAGGCTGTGGATAAGTTGAAGCATGTCCAGGGCTGAGCAGCCAGGTGAGGGCTGCTCCTGGGGGAGCAGCTGAGACTGGGCAGTGGGGACGAGGGACAGGAAGCCTGAGGAGGAGAGGCTATCTCTAGGGTCAGAGAGCTCCTTGCCAGGGTATGGTGTCGGCTGGGGTCATGGTGCTGGCCCCCCGGAGAGTGTAGGGATGTTGGTGTTCAAGTCTTCCTAGCAGCGAGTTATTTACTGCAGTATCTTTTCAACGTGCACTGATCTGGTTCCTAGTCTGCATCTCCTATCCTAGCCTCACCCTTTCTTCTACCTTCCCAACCAGGCTTGGATATCCTCACCTCTTAGCTTAGACCCCAGCTGACTGCCAGCTGAGAGTGAAAAGGTCACCCCCAAAGCGCCTTTCCATTCCAGCAGTTTCGGGAGATACGGGTGAGAGTTAGGTGGGCCTGGCTGCACCCCTATTCCCTTGGCTGGGCTTTCCTTGTCTGCCTGAGCTGACCTGGAGCCCCCTGTGTCCTGGGGGCCTGGGTCTGCCTCAGGGGCCCACAGAGGGAGAAGAAGCTGCAGCACAGAAGCTGCAGCTGGGTGTCTGGTGGCTTCCCCTTCCTGCCTCTCTCTCTGCAGCCTCACCCTCTCGAAGCAGCAGTAGCAGGAAAGGTGGGGCAGGAATGCCTGGCCTGGGCCTTTGGCCAGAGCTCTGAGGGACCCGCCCCACTCCATTCCAGAGCCAATTCCCTGGGAGTTGTAGGCTCTGCCAGGGGCCTGGGATGCCCGCATGGCACTCTCGGGGCAGGGTGGAGAGGGGAGGGCTGAGACCCCTTCCCACTCACCCTTTTGGGTCTGCCTGTGTCACCTGCCCATCGTTGGCTGCCCTGATTTTGTCCCCTGCCCCACACAGGTTGGCTAACTCCAAAGCCTCAGCGTGTCAGAGACAAGGAGAGAGACAGTCTGCGGGTCTTGGGCTAAAAGACCCTCTAACTCTCCGCCCCAGATACCTGATCAGGTCATTTGGGCAGATGAACATTGCCAAGTGAGGGTACCAGGGTCTGGTAGGGGAGGGCTTTGTTGGAGTAGAGCCTGTAGCCTGGCTGTGGGGGTAGGTTTGAGCCCAGGCCTCTCTTCACCCCTCCCTTTAGGCAGGACACTGCATTCCCAGGTGATTCCTGCCTGATTGGAAGGTCCCTCACTCCAGGGCAGGAAATCTCAAGGCTCAAGCCCACCTGCCCACCCCAAGGGCCCCCACCCATCCAGCAGGCACCCCTTCAGGGTGGATGGTTGTGATCAGTGATCCCTCTGTCTGGTTAGGGGACCATGGAGGGTCCAGGCTCCCATCCACATTGAACTCTCTCTCACTGCCTGGCACTATCTCCTCTACAACTGTCATACATTTATTTCCCCAAATGTGACTTTGGATCCCATCATTACCTTGCTCTAAAGTCCTCCATGGCTGTCCACGGCCGACTGAGGCACAGTGAAGCTGTGGTCCTTTGGGGTGCTGCTTGGTGGGCTGCCCTCAGAGGCTGGGCCCTCACACCCATGAGCCTTTACTCTCAGGGTTCCTCCACTTGCCTGCTGGGTCCTGTCTTCCTTTTCATTTCTTGCCCATCATTCGTGGCTCTAGCAGGAGGCCTCCGGACTCCCCCATACCTCCAAAACTCTCCTTGCTTACACAGCCTGGTTGGGTGACAGGGAGTCCCGAACCATGGGCTAGAGGACAGGGCTGGGATCCTCTGACAGTATGACCCTGTTTATAGAGACTGCAGAATCCCTGAAGGGAGACTTGATGGAAAGGAGGCTAAGACCAGGGCACTACTAATACTATCCTGGGCACTTGGGATCCATGGTGGATATTTGAGCAGAGGAATGAGCAGGCCAAACTGGGCTTAAAGAACATCTACCCTTTGGGGAAGAAAGGGTTGCTTCCCTTGGCAGCTCTGAGCTCTCTCTCTCCTTCAGGGACCCCTCAGCTGGGCCTAGGCAGGGAGCAGGGCAGAGGTCAGTGGCCAGTCCAGGAACTCCCCTTTGAGGCGATCTGGGCTCACTGCTCAGTTCTGATGTGGGTGGTCATGGACCTTGCTTCTGGGCACCCTGCCTGAGAGGATGGGCACTGGCCTTGCTCCTGTCTGTGCTATCTAGCTGTAACCTGTGCCCTACCTAGGAGGCCCTGAGTCCGGCACCTGGCCATGTGCAACCCTGAGGAGGCAGCTCTGCTGCGGCTGGAGGAGGTCTTCTCAGCCACCCTCGCCCATGTCAACAGCCTTGTCCTCCAGCCCCTGCTCCCAGCCGGTGAGTCTAGGCTTTCTAGTGGGGAGGGAAGGGCACCGAGGAATGATCCCAGGGACAGGAGACCTACCTTGTTGGACTTGCTGAGCCACAGCTTTCTCAACCTCAAATAGGAGTGGTGACACCTGGTATCAGCATCTTCTGATGCAGGTGGTGCGATCTTGGCTCACTGCAACCTCTGCCTCCCAGGTTCAAGCGATTCTTGTGCCTCAGCCTTCTGAGTAGCTGGGATTACAGGTGCCTGCCACCACGCCTGGCTAATTTTCATATTTTTAGTGGAGACGGGTTTTACCATGTTGGCCAGGCTGGTCTCAAAGTCTTGACCTCAAATGATCTGCCCGCCTCAGCCTCTCAAATTGCTGGGATTATAGGCATGAGCCACTGCGCCAAGTCTGACTGCTCCTTTTTTAAAGGAACGCTGAGGGGCCAGGCCATGAACCTACCTGTAGCCCAGACCAGGCTGTACAAAGAGATGGAATTCCTCCTTTCCCAGGGTAAAAAACTGGAAACTGCCCTTTGCTTGAATTTTCATCTTGCTCCCACCTAGGGCACCTGATGGTGCCGGGAGGGGAACAAGACTGACTGGAACAGGATGCCTAGGTTTTACTTCCAGTTTAATTCTCACCTGTGAGGCCTTGGACAGGTGCCTCTGTGCATCTGTGAAATGGCAGAGGACTGTGTGACCCTGTGGACTTCACATTCTGGATCTGAGTAGTCCAGGATGAGGAGGCCCAGAGCCAGGGGGGAATTCGTGTATGTACTTAGTTCCCTGAGGCTGTCAGGGTTGTCCCTGTTTAGTGAGGAGTGGGTGTGTCTCCTGTTTCCTCCTCGAGGATACTGCCCACTGCTCCAGCCTGCCCTTCCCCTGCTCAGCTCTAGGGTTCACCAATTCTGTCCTGCGGATCCCAGGGATGCAGACCCTGCTGCAGCTCCAGGGCTGGCCGGTGCTGGTGGCTCTCATGTGAACACCTGGGGCCTGTGCATGTTCCCTGGGAGATGGAGCCCACGTCCTCTACTCACAGTGTGACTGTACTCCTTCCCCAGCCCCAGATCCCTCGGATCCCTGGGGCAGAGAGTGCCTGCGGCTCTTGCAACAGCTGCACAAGAGCTCCCAGCAACTCTGGGAGGTGACGGAGGAAAGCCTGCACTCACTGCAGGAGAGGCTGCGTTACCCGGACTCCACCGGTCTGGAGTCCCTGCTGCTGCTGCGAGGTGCTGACCGTGTACTGCAGGCCCACATAGAGTAAGACCACTGGAGGTGGGGCTGGGGCTCATCCCTGGTGTCAGAGTGACACCTGGCATTAAGGTTCACCTGGGGTTGGGGCTCACATGGGTCAGGGTTCAAGCAAAGGTTTGGGCTCAGTCCATGGTTGGTGCTCACCTGGGTTCAGCCTCACCTGGGCTTGGGTATTCGCCTGACAGCAGGCTCAGACACTCCAGACCTGAGGCTTGGGGCCTCTCAGGGAAGACAGACTGTATGTTAGAATTGTCTTGTTGGCCCAGGAGTTGAGGTCTCCAGTGCCCAGAGCCAGGCCACTGTGTGGGCCCTCAGGGCTGCAGCTGACTAGTGGGTGGGATCTGGGGATCCCAGGGACCAGGGGCTTAGGTCTGGGGCTGAGGACTGGGTTTGCAGGGTGTCCCCTGTGCTGCCTGCAGGTACATTGAGTCCTACACAAGCTGCATGGTGGTGCAGGCCTTCCAGAAGGCAGCAAAGAGGAGAAGGTGAGCACAGGGCTGGTGCACTGGCCCCTGACAGGGTGGGAGTGCCTGAGTGAGGGTGGGGTCGGGGAAGCCCCCTCCCCAGAGCAGCAGGTGTCACAGCCCACAACTCATCCTGGAGGACTCCTGGCTCTACAAATCTGCACTGATCCACACTGGAAGAGAAACAGGGAAGGCCCAGTGAGGCCAGGAACAGAATCCAGACCCGCTCTAGCTGGGCTGGCCTTGGGGCGGGGAAGGAGGGGAATCCCTTCAGGGTGGATGGTTGTGATCAGCAATCCCTTCATACTCTGAGATATTGCTCTTAAACCTGTGAGGGCAACTCAGGTACTGTGTTGATCTGATAGGGTAGAGGTTTTGGGCCTGGGGCTGGCCCTGGGATCTGAGGGGATTAGCTGGGGCAGGGAGGTGGCGGTGTGGGTGCAGGAATGGAGGAAGGGGTGAAGGTGGTGCGTGGCCCTCTCTACACGCAGCGAGTACTGGCGGGGCCAGCGGAAGGCGCTGCGGCAGCTGCTTTCAGGTGTGAGCTCAGAGGGCTCGGTGGGCGCATCGCTGGGCCAGGCCCTCCACCAGCCACTCGCCCATCACGTGCAACAGTACGTGCTCCTCCTGCTGAGCCTCGGGGACACCATTGGGGAGGTGGGTACCAGGGGCAGCAGCATGTGGGGAAGCCGAGGGAAGGGAGGGATAGGGCCCAGACTCAGGGGGCTCAGCCTATACTCAGGAACCCTAGTACAAGAAGGACTCAGCCATGCCGGCAGGTGGGAGAGGGTTGAGGAAGTCACAGGCCTGTCCTGTGGTTTTCAGGGGACATGGGGGACGTGGCCCAGCCCTGAGGAGGGGGTCCGAAGACATGGTTCTGTCCTAGGGAATCTTAGTGGGTGAAAGCACTGCCCTTCCCTGCGGTGTCTGAGGCACGTGGCCCTGCCCTGGTAGAGCCAGCAGAGACCCAGAGAGCAGGGGTAGAATCACGTCCTGGGAATGAGGACACGTGGGCCCAGGGCCAAGCTGGGGAAGCACCTTCATATTCCACCCCCTGCCCCACCAGCAGAAGAGGAGCTGTCAGGGAGAGAAGGGCAAGGTCTGGCCTAGATTCAGGCCTCCCCACCAGCCGGGACCAGGACTGGGCTAGGGAAGATTCCAGTAAGCTCTCCTCTCACTGGCTGCCCTGTCCCCCTTCAGCATCACCCAACCCGGGAGCTGGTGGTGAACGCAGTCACCCTCTTTGGGAACCTGCAGTCCTTCATGAAGCAGGAGTTGGACCAGGCTGTGGCCACACAGGCTCTCTGGCACACCCTGAGAGGCCGGCTGAGGGTGAGTTGGGGGCCTGAGGGGCAGTTAGGGAGGGGGTTCCACATTGGGCATGGAGATGTTGGGGGGCTTGAGCTGCTTGCTGTATTCTCTGGGCCTCAGTTTCCCTATATGGAAGGGGGAGTGATGGCTGAAGCAGGTGGCTGTAAGGTCCCTCTGTCCAGCCATTCTTATCTGTCTGCTGAGCACGTCCTGGGCCAGGCCCTGACCCGGCCTAGGGAAGAGGCAATCAGCAGAACCAGTCCTCTCCCCTGGGGATATCACCGATCACACCCTTGCGTCACTGCCCACCATGGCATGGACTGCCCCTGCAGGGAGGAGAGTCCCCTGTGCCCTGAGGTTTGGACCTGGTGTGGAGAATTAGGAGACTAGGTAGAGGAACGAGAATTGTGGAAGGGAGGCAGGGGTGGCCGAGTACTGGGAGAGGACTGATAGGGGCATGGCTGGGGCCGTGGCACAGAGGTGTGGGAGGGGACACTGAAGCTTCAAGAGAGCCAGGAATGTATAATCAGTGCATTTCTGCCTATCTCTGACCCAGGGTCCGCTCCAGGTCTACTGGAGGGGGCCTCTGGGAGGTGTCTGGGGTACATTGGGAGGTGGCAGAGTGGCAGGCAGCTTGCAGGACAGAGGTGCCTAAGCCTTGTACTGTCCTCTTTGCCCCACCAGGATGTGCTCTGCACCCCTGCTCACAGACTCCTTCAGGACAGCCAGGACGTACCCGTGACGGTCGCACCGTTGCGGGCTGAGCGTGTGCTGCTCTTTGATGATGCCCTCGTCCTGCTGCAGGTTGGGGTGGGGCTGACCCAAGGTCTTGAGGCCACAGTAGGGTTCTGGGGTCTGGCTGGAAAAGGAGCAGTAAAGGGGCATGCTGCTGGGACTGAGAAAGTGGGCTGGGAGGGATGGTCAGGGATAGAAAGGCGTTGTGTTGGGGAGGGGCGGTCCACTGGAGCTGTCCCCAGAGGAGCATGGGCTGAGGGGAAAGGCTGTCCAGGGTTTGTCCCGGCTTCAGCCCTTCCCAGCTGGTGTCCTTGGTTACATGTCTTCACCTTCGTTTTCCCATCGGGAATGTGGGGGTCATTGTGAGTGAGTTTGTTCTACAGTAGACACCAGACAACTCTTAGTTCCCATTGTACTCAAATGAGAGAGGAACCCCAGACAGAAAGTCATGGGTGACTGAGGGGTGACTAAGGAGGGCTGGATGAGAAGGCTTCTAGAGAAAAGTACCCTACAGGAGCAGTGCCTGGGCTTTCAGCATTGTGGAAGTCAGAAGGGAGCCAGGCCTGAGGCTGGGAATTGTTACATGGCCAGTCACCAACTGTGGTTCATCCATCCTGAAATCATGTTGTCCTGGTGAGGTCCACAGCACAGTCTTCTCTACCCCTTAGAAGGTTGGCCTGGAACCCCCTTGCAGACAGGTGGCCGGGGCCTGGCAGGAAGCTGCTGCCCAGCCTAGACCTGTGTCCCCTGAAGCCTGATTTTGGGATTGGTTCTGATTTAGTTTGAATTCCCCTCCACTCCCAACTTCACACTCCACTCCAGGTACACTGATGAGCTACTGTCCCTTCCCTGTGCTAGCCCTCTCCTGACGCTGGACCTTTGCACATGCTGTTGTGTCTGGTGGGCCATCTCTTGTCCCTGGCCTGCGGCTGGCAAGCTCCTCCTCACCCCTCAGGCCTGGGCCTCCCACGTCCTCCCCATTCTGGTATGGAGCAGTGATTGGCCTGACTGGGCCGGGTAGGAAGTTGCTACACAAAATCTTCCCATAGGAAGGGGCTTTTTTTCTGGCTGTCAGAGCAGGATGGCATTCCAGGTAGAAGGAACAGTATGAGCAAAAGTTCACAGTGAGGAGAGGTTGGGGCAAGCTCATGAAGGTGTGATTGTGGAGTGGCCCTGATGGCGTAGTGGTCTGTGAGGTCTTAAATGTTAGGCTCAGCAGTGTCTCAACCCCCAGGCAGTAGGAGCCATAGAGAGGTTTCCAGCAGGGGTTGACCAGGTCCCAGCTTCATTTGTAGACCACTCTGGTAGCCACAGGGGGCTAGAGGCTGGTTCTGAGTTCCTGGCCAAGCTCTGGGGTAGAAAGGACATGGAGGAGCTGTCCCTGAGGTGGGGAGCAAGCCAGAGGGGAGAGGGACTCAGTCCTGGACATGCTGGGCAGAATAGCCTTGGTGGCCACACAAGGTTGAGCTTGGGGCAAGCCTTGGCCAGAGGGTAGGTGAGCATCTGGCCTGGGCTCTGGATGACTCCTGTGTCCATCCTCTTCCAGGGCCACAATGTCCACACCTTTGATCTGAAGCTGGTGTGGGTGGATCCTGGGCAGGACGGGTGAGCAACCCCCTCGGCTGACACCCCAGGCCTTCTTCCCTTTACCCCCATGACACCTGCCCACACCCTGGGACTCTGGCTTGGGCCCCTCCACCCTCCTGGACAAAGCTGGGGCCTACTCATCACCTCCGTCTGTCTAGGTGCACGTTTCACCTCCTCACGCCCGAAGAAGAGTTCTCCTTTTGTGCCAAGGACTCCCAGGGCCAGGTGAGTGTGGGTGAGCTGTGAACTGCGGGAGCGGGGTCAGAGGACAGGGTAGGAAGAGGGCAGAAGTATGCAACCCTGCAGGGCCCCACAGGAGTGCCGGCGAGTGTCTGGCAGGCTTCTGGGGACCTGGTCAGAGTAAATCGGGGTCAAGAATTAGAATGTCAAAAAGAACAGGGTATTTTTCTTTCTAAAGACAGAATTGGGTCCTGTGTTGATCCCTGCCCTGAGGTCTTGTTTGGCCCCTCTGGGCAGGCCCTGAAACTGCAGAGGAGGATCTCAGGTTGGGTGGAGGGCCCAGAGAGTAGCAAGAAGCAGTTGAAGGGTCCCCAAGGTGACAAAATGGAGTAGGAGGTGGAGGGTGGAGGGGGTGGTACCTGGAGCTACCCCAGAAGGCTTCCTGGAGGGAAAGCCTCCAGCAGCAGTGATCCCCTTCCCCATGTTCCCCCTCCCACCAGGCAGTCTGGCAGTGGAAGGTGACCTGGGCTGTTCACCAGGCCCTGCATGGGAAGAAGGACTTCCCCGTGCTGGGGGCTGGCCTGGAGCCCTCCCAGCCTCCCGACTGCCGCTGCGCAGAATATACCTTCCAGGCAGAGGGCCGGCTCTGCCAGGCCACCTACGAGGGCGAGTGGTGCAGGGGCCGGCCCCACGGCAAGTGAGTGGCTGGAGCTCTGGGTGGCAAGGTGGGACTCCCTGGGGGTCTGCGGGGCAGAGAGCAGCACACAAGCCTAATTGTCTCAGGACATGTTCCAGGAGCGGTTACTCTCTGTGGACAGTCAATTCTCAGAGTCCCTCTTAAGTCCTCTTGGACTGGGCCTGGCCCAGAGACAGTCTGTGCCAAATAAAGTCTTGATGGTGACGCTAGAGGACAAGGGGCAGCAACCACGCGCTGGCCTTACAGCCTGCAGGTGCCATTCCATTCTTAGGAGGGTGGGAGAATAATTCTCACATCTGTACCTCATTGTCTGGCAGTGTTGAAATGGCTTGCACACATTCTATCTCCATCGGTCCTCATGAAGACGCTCTGTATGGAGTGCTTTTACCCATTTCATAGGTACAAACACTGAGGCCTAGTGATGGGCATAACCTGCCCAAGGTCTCAGGGCAAGTGATAGGGTGAGCCGGCCTCAATCACAGGTCTGTGTGACCCCACAGACAGGCAAGCCTTTATAGACCATGTGGCCCCACCCCATGCCACAGCTGGGAAAACAGACCCAGAGAGCAGAAGGGACTCACAAGGCTACACTCTCAAGCACCTCCGCTAGTTTCTGATACCCTGCCTCCTTTCAGAAAGGGCTCGAGAAGACTTATGAACAAAAGGACAGAAAAAACACAGAAGTGGGGAGGAGGGTGGTAGAAACCCCACAGACCAGCATTAAACTTGAGCTTGATTCTTAGCTCTGAGCTTCCTGTTGGTCAAGGGAAAAAAGGGAACCTAGATGTCTCCAGGGCTTTCCTTATGGGATGTGGTGAGTGTGCCCCATGAGGCTGCTGGTACAGTTGGGCCAGGAGTAGAAAAGGGCTAAAGGGGCTTTCTGCAAGGAATGTTCGGAGCTCAGACAAGAGGGCTGGGTGGGTGCAGGGAGCCCAGTCCAAGGGAAGAGGAAGGGAGGGCGTCTGAGAAAGTAGGTGGCTGAGGTTGCTGAGGGGTGGGTAGGCCTGAGGCTCGTGAACCTCCACTGTGTTCCAGGGGAACCCTGAAATGGCCGGATGGGCGGAATCACGTGGGGAATTTCTGCCAGGGCCTGGAGCATGGGTAAGGCTGGCTGGGGCTACTGCTGGGAGGCGTGCAGTGGGCTGAAGGGTGCTTTCCTCCCCTGCTGTGGTCACCAGCCCGGCCCCATCCTGAATTCCCAAACCTCAAGCAGGAACTTAGAGACAATCCGGTCCAGCCCCCGCCCACTGTACCAAAGGGGAACCGGGGGCCTGAATAGGGGGCCCGTCTCAGCTCGAGGTCACAGAGGGAGTGGTACAGGCCAAAAGGTGCTCCAAGGTGCTCGGGACCAGGCTGGAGGGAGGGGTCCTGAGAGGGGCCCTTTGAAGGATAGGAAGGCTGAGGGCCTCTGAGAGTCTCCCTGTTGTCTGGAAGGCTCCTTGGGGGCAGGGATACTCCTGGGTGGCATGGAGTAGGTGTAATGGGCGTCTCAGGTCAGGGCTGATCCCCACCCCCACAACCATGCTGTCAGCTTCGGCATCCGCCTGCTGCCCCAGGCCTCTGAGGACAAGTTCGACTGTTACAAGTGTCACTGGCGAGAAGGCAGCATGTGTGGCTACGGCATCTGTGAGTAAGTGACCCTGGCTGGGGGGTTCATGGGCTGGGCCCATCCTCTGGGCTGAGCTCCATGAGGCAGAGCTCGTTGTTGATGGCCCTCCCCAGGTACAGCACCGACGAGGTGTACAAGGGCTACTTCCAGGAGGGCCTGCGGCACGGATTTGGGGTCCTTGAGAGTGGTCCGCAGGCCCCCCAGCCCTTCAGGTACACGGGCCACTGGGAGAGGGGCCAGAGGAGCGGCTATGGCATTGAGGAGGATGGTGACAGGTGAGCGCCCTGCAGCCACCACTCCCAGGACGGAGGGGTGGACCGGGCCCTCACAGACCAGATTGTTGCAGGACACAGGCTCCTGTTTGTCCCCCACTGTGTCTCTCTTAAGCCCCTCACTTCCCCTCCAGTCCCTCGGTTGCTGCGGAGGCTCAGGCTGAGCGAATCTTGGTCACGCTGACTGCAGGGTCGCCCCCGCCCCTCACCCCTCCTCATGGTGTTGGAGAGGCATTTCTGACCCCCTGCTCTGTCACGTCTAAAAACTGCAGCCCTTGCTGGCTCTCTGGGCTGTGTGATAAAGCCCTGGATCCTTGGCCTGGCAATCACAGCCTCGCCTGCTTCTCTGACCTCACCCCAGCTGCGTCTCCTGGGCACCCCTCCAGCCTTTCTGGACCACTGAAGTCCCCACGTATCCATCACATGCTCCTACCTCCATGGCTTTGCACACACTCCTATTCCCCCTGTCCTTCCTGCCACCTCCACGGAGAAGCCTCCCAGATGCCCTTCCCAGGCTGCCTCCCTCCCTCCTCCATTCTCTATTCCTCTTGGGGGTCCTGACCTCTCTGGCACTGTGTCTGTTGAGTGGATTCAGGTGATGTCACTGCCCCTTATCTGCACTCCCTGCCGCCCCGTGCCAGCAGAGTGCCCAGGAGGTACATGGGAATGAGTCTGATCCAACTCTGGCCACATTCCTCTCCTTCCAGAGGTGAGCGCTACATTGGCATGTGGCAGGCTGGTCAGCGCCACGGCCCAGGGGTCATGGTCACCCAGGCAGGTGTCTGCTACCAGGGCACCTTCCAGGCGGACAAGACGGTGGTGAGTGGAGTGTATCCTGGGCTATCCCTCTCTTTGCACCCCACTCCCGCTGGGGGCACTGAGGCTGAGCTGAGGCCTTTCAGGGAGGGATGGGAAAGGGGGCTGTGTTCCTGGGTGCTGGAGGGAGCCAGAACCTGGGCAGGAAGCCAGCTCTACCACCCACCTCCCCTGGCCCTGGCCAATCCCTGCTCTGCCTGACCTTGGTTTCCCCATCAGCAACTCAGGTTAAGAATACTTACCATAGACTCAATGAACTAACAAGAATGGAGCACTTGCTCATGATGATGCATTAGCTGACATTCACAGAGTCCTAACTTGACACCTGGCTCTGGGCTAAGCTCCCACCCTGATCTTGTGGGATCTTCCCAAGAGCCCTGCAGGTTGATGTCATTATTATCCCTAGTGTGTCCCTAGTGAATGACAAATGAGAGGTTCAGAGGGATCAGAGGACCTGCTCCATGTCACCTTCACTGAGTGGCAGAGCTGACACTCACACCCTGGTCTGCTGAGCCTGGCCGCCGAGCCTGGGACTCCCATGTTTGCCTCACCCATACCCTTCCAGGTGCCTGGGGAATGTGGGGCTCTGGCCTGATGGCTGTTCCTGTTATTATGGTCTGTTGGTTTGTTTATGCTCTACTTCATTCTCGAAAGGATTGAAGGAGGCCTTCAAGGAAAGAGGAAGACAAGGGGAAGAATAAGTACACAAAATAGATTTGGAAATAAGCCGAACACTAATTGTAACCCTTTCGGCTCTGAGCTTCCCGGCAGCCCATGGGGCAAGGGAGCCTGGTCAGCTCTGCCGTTCCCAGGGCCAGTGACAAGCAGGGAAGCAGGGATGTTTCAGAGAAAGCCCCACATTTCTTGAGCTCCCAAGGGCTTCCTGAAGAAGCCGCTGGGGTGAGGAGCCAGGGCGGAGGGTGTCATTTGGGGAAATCCAGGGATGGGGTCCTCGGGGCTGGTGCTTAGCAGGCCAAAGGCTAGAGTCCCAATTAGGTACAGTCCTGTGGGGCGTGATGAGGCTCAGGGCCCCTCTCGCCATGTGTCAGGGCACATCTCCCTTCTTTGGCCATCTCTCTCCACCCTGAGTTTCCTGGCCCTTCCTCACCCACCCTTTCTACCCTCCCTGGCTTCCTCTCCCCAAGGGCCCGGGCATCCTCCTCTCTGAAGACGACTCCCTGTATGAGGGCACCTTCACCAGGGACCTGACCCTCATGGGGAAGGTGAGGACCACTGAGGCCCCCCTCCACACCCTGCCAAGGCCTTGGTTGGTGTCTGTAATCTCCCCACTTAGACTCAGGGCTGGGGGCAGGTAGGGGAGGGCCTGTCCCACCTCCCTTGGAGCCAAGGAGTGGGCACAGCAACTCCACCCTGCCACAGAGTTGCGATTGATTCTGGAGTGAGGTGAGAGGGGACCAGTGGCCTTGCCTGCTATCCAGAGGGTACCGGTGGTCTCCTGGCTGTGTCCCTCCATACCCTCCTAGTTCAGAATACACGCCCTCCACCAGTACCAGTGCCTCGAGCAGCTGTCCCTGGAGGCACTGGCCTTCAGTGTGTGCCTCCCTGAGCTAACCCAGGAAAAGGCAATGTGTCCCCGCTGGAGCCTTTGGAAATGTAGGGGCTGTTTTGGTTTCATAATGACTGGAGCAAAGGGGTGGAGATCAGGTTGCTATGAATGGGACAGCCTCATGTGGCAAGACACCGCCCTCCTCAGGCGTTGCCTGTCCCTGGGCTTACCCCCACCCCAGCCCCTCAGTGGTGGTCTCCCCACTCTTGCCTGTGAGTCCCTTCTGCATCTCTCTCCTCTTCCTACCTCAGAGGTGAGCGAGCCCCTGAGACGTGGGCACAGCTGTTGGTGGGGGGCTCTGGCAGGCATAGAGGATTATGAACCCCTCAGCATGGAGCAGCTTGAATGGATGGCGGGAAGCCCATTCATTAGTCCTTAGCCTCTCTGACACTGATGGACAGGCTTGTGGCCTGTCATGATTGGCTGGAAGGGTAACTGGGCAGACAGACATCCCTGCTCCTTCTCCTGGCTCCCAGGGCAAGGTCACCTTCCCCAATGGCTTCACCCTGGAGGGCTCGTTCGGCAGTGGGGCAGGGAGAGGACTGCACACACAGGGTGTGCTGGACACGGCTGCCCTCCCACCAGACCCGAGCAGTACCTGCAAGAGGTGAGTGCCTGGCCCCTCTGGCTCTGGGCCTATCTGGGGATGTGTCTGTGTTTCCATCCCAAAGACTCAGGTCTCCTCAGAGGGGCCTTTTTGCACCCACCTCTTAGCCCTCTAGAGAGTTCCGAGAGCCCAGGGTGTACAACTCCAGTCAGAGACTCTTGGGATCAGGGGCTGTGTGGATATAATGCGGTACACCACAAAACTGGAGAGAAATATTATTTGTAGGCTTTGCTTAGGTCCTGCTTTTTTTTTTTTTTTGTCTCGAAAGGATACAATACGGTTTACAAACCAAACATACAGGAAAAAAAAAATAGAAAATAAGAGCATATGTTAACCTTAAAAGAAAGGGATATGTAGACATGTCCTACGGCATTTACAACTGATCATTGAGCCTGGCTCTGAGTTTCCTGGCAGCCAAGGTAAAGAAGGAAACTTGCTAAGTGGAATCACAGTCATTATCAAGGAGTATTCCAGAGAAGGATAGACTTCTTTTCCTGTAGGAACAGAGTTCCTCCTTGGAAAACAGTTGCTCTTGTTGCGTCTGTTGAGGAAGACTCAGTATTGCACAGAGGAAGGAATCTGTGTGGGTGGCAGTTCTAATGGGAAGTGGTCCCAGGCAGCATTTCAGATGTAGGGAGGGAGTACAGTTGACTACTTGGCCCGCTGTCCCTGCATGCTGCTTCTCCCTGACAGCAGGAGCTGGGAGTGGACAGCAATCCCTAGGGGCAGGCCCCAGCCTGGGTGTGAGTGTGGGCTGCGTGTAGCCTACGAGCATGACACTGGAGTGCAGGGCTCCATTAGACATGCGCAGCCAGGCCCCAGCCTGTTGGCCAGGGCGGGATCAACCACAGGAAGGAACCAGCTGTAAGGGAGGGCAGAGGGGGATGTCTTGGAGGGGAATCCCAGACTTTGGACACTGGTCTCTCTTGGACCAAGACCCCCTCTCTGGCTTGGCCTCCAGATCTGCCCACCTTTCTGTCTCCGTCTTTCCAGGATTCCATATGCTTCTGTCTGTCTTCTCGTCGCAGGGTAGATTCTCTGTCCCTTTCTCTGCTGCTCTTCCTCCTGGAGCCGTGGAGGTCAGCCCCCTCTGCATGGTTCAATCCATCCACCCTTCTTGGGGCTTGATCCTGGGCCAGGCTCATACCCCCACCCCTCCAAGGGCCTGGGCAGAGTCCTGCCTACCTCAGCTCCATCTCTCTCTGCCCCATCACCCACCCTCCATCCCCATCGCAGGCAGCTGGGCGTGGGTGCCTTCCCCGTGGAAAGCCGCTGGCAGGGAGTCTACAGCCCCTTCCGGGACTTTGTGTGTGCTGGCTGCCCCAGGGACCTGCAGGAGGCCCTGCTGGGCTTCGACGTGCAGAGCTCCAGGGAGCTGCGTAGGTCTCAGGATTACCTGTCCTGCGAGAGGTGAGGCCGGCTGTGTGAGCATGCACAGGTTAGGGTGGGCTGGGGAGGGCTTCCTGGGGGGAGGGGGCTGGGCCGAGGTGTGGGTGAGGGATGCTGTGTGTGGTGCCCAGGACCCACCCTGAGGACAGTGTGGGCAGTATGGAAGACATCCTGGAGGAGCTGCTGCAGCACCGGGAGCCCAA